>NC_000023.11:13955669-14258700 GCF_000001405.40 Homo sapiens
CAGAAGTGAGCCCAGTAGTCGACTGGGCACAATGGCTCATGCTTGTAATCCCAGCATTTTGGGAGGCTGAGGTGGGCGTATCACTTGGGGCCAGGAGTTTGAGACCAGCCTGGGCAACATGATGAAACCTTGTCTCTACTAAAAATACAAAATTAGCTGGGTATGGTGACATGCGCCTGTAATCCCAGCTACTGGAAAGGCTGAGGCAGGAGAATTGCTTGAACCCGGGAGGCAGAGGTTGCAGTGAGCCGAGATCGCGCCATTGCACTCCAATCTAGGCGACAGAGCAAGACTCTGTCTCAAAAAAAAAAAAAAAAAAAAAATTGAGCCCAGTATTTCAGCTAAGGAACAGAGGTTCAAATTCTGCCCCTGGCTTCACGCACGCTGTGAAACTTTGAATGACCTGAACCTGTTTGAGCAGCCCTTCCTCCTCTCTAGAATGGGAGAGGAATTCTGCCTCTCTTAAAAGGTTTGCTATGAAATGAACTCTTGGCACTCTTTAGGGTGTAGTGCCAAGCCTCACTCTCAGAAAGTTCTTGATAAACAGTAACTATGGTTACTGAGCAGCTGGGGCGGCCCTGGAAGGACCCAGTGTGGGCAAAACCTAGCTCATCTTCACTCCTTAGCTTCTTCAGAAGGCTTTGCTTGTCAATTCATGCTATTTTGTGTGGGGTTGTGTGTGTCTCAAGGACACCCTTTAACTGTGAGTGACCTCCAGACTTCCACTTGATGTATATATATAAATAGGTGGAGATATACATGTAAGTATTTATGTATATTTACTTATATAAATATTGACACCTCTCCCCTTTTGGTAGCATTAAATGATGTTTTTCTTGGTTGTCTCCTTTTATTAAGATTTTATCTAGATTTTCTAGTTTGTGTGCATAAAGCTGTTCATAATAGTCTCTGAGTTTTTTTGTATTTCTGTGGGGTCAGTGATAATATCCCCATTGTCATTTCTAACTGTGTTTATTTGGATCTTCTCTCTTTTTATTAGTCTAGCTAGTGGTCTATCTTATTAATTTTTTCAGAAAACCAACTCCTGGATTTGTTGATCTTTTGCATGGCTTTTTGTGTCTCCATTTCCAGACACTGGGGCCTACTTGAGGGTGGAGGATGGGAGGAGGGAGAGGATCGGAAAAAATACCTATCGAGCACTATGCTTATTACCTGGGTGATGAAATAATCTGCACAACAAACCTATATAACAAACCTGTACTTGTACACCTGAACTTAAATAAAAAAGTAAAAAAAAAATATAGATTTTATCAGAAGGAAAAAGGAATTCCTGGAATGGAACTCTAAACCCAGCATTAACTTAAGTTTGCTTTGGAGAGCTTTTTCTCCCTATGAGCTCAAACCATCTAGCAGTTCATTGCTCCCCACTGAAGGTGATGTAGCAGGGATGTCCACATGTGCATAAAGGGGGCTCCAAGGTGGGGGAGGTGGAGGACGAGTTAATGGCAAAGCCTGGTTGTTTTGACAGAAGCCACCGGCTGCTTAAACCCCATTCTCCCACCCCCACTGTGTCCTTGGCTTGGACCCACAGCAGTTGTCTCCCTTGCTGTTCCCACATCTTACTCATAATCACTGACTGTTCTCAATTTGTTTTTTCCTGATTTCCTTTTTCTTATTCTTCCACCGCCTCATTTTTTTTTTTTTTTTTTTTTTGGTTTCCATTTCCTCCTTCAATTCCTACCAGCCCCGGTTTTCCTTTCTTATGCTGTTCTCTGTGTTAACCAGGCGCAGCCAAACATTGCAGAGATTGCTTTGTACAGAGCCAGAGGGTAGCGTGGCCTTGAGTCGATGCTTCCCAGCCTTCTCTGCTTTTTGGTAGGATGAGGCCAAGTGATGTAGTGTGCTTATTGGTCCCACAGGACAGTGGTCTCTGCTCTCTGTAAATGTCTCCTCTGTGTACACACTGGTGGCCCTGGTGACCTGTTGGATGGTCATTTGGGTAAACTAAATCACAAGCACAGTTAGAGACTGATATGGTTTGGCTCCATGTCCCCACCCACATCTCATCTTGAATTGTACTCCCATAATTTGCACATGTTGTGGGAGGGACCTGGTGGGAGATAATTTGAATCATGGAGGTGGTTTCCCCCATATTGTTCCCATGGCAGTGAATAAGTCTCATGAGATCTGATGGTTTTATCAGGGGTTTTGCTTTTGCATCTTCCTCGTTTTCTCTTGCCGCCGCCATGTAAGAAGTGCCTTTCACTTCCCACCATGATTCTGAGGCCTCCCTAGCCATGTGGAACTGTAAGTCCAATTAAACCTCGTTTTCTTCCCAGTCTTGCATATGTTGTTATCAGCATCATGAAAACAGACTAATACAGTGACCCCTCTGTGTGATGAATTAGTTGGTTCAAGGGAGCCTCAACACCTCTCTCTGCCACTGGCCTGCCCAAAGCACGGTGTTCCCATGCTCTGAGCTGCTCAGGTTAAGTTTCATGTCTCTGAGTGTGACTCACAGCTACTTGGGGATGCTCTTGACCACGTGAATCAAAAGTTATCTGCCAGGGTCTGGATTTTAACAAGTTTTTTGGGTCACTGCTACTCAGAGTAGCAGTGGAACCAGCAGCAACAGTATCAGCTGGGAGCTTGCTAGAAATGCAAATTCATGGCCTCATCCTTGACCTCTTGCATCAGAAGCTCTGGAGGTTGTGCCCAGGCTCTGGGTGATTGTGATGCATGCTGATGTTGGTCTAGGTTAAGGTAGTATATTCATTTCCTAAGGCTGCTGTAACAAATTACCACAAGCTTAAAACAACCAAAATGTATTCCCTTAAAGTTCCAGTGGTCAGAAGAGTGAAATCAATTTCACTGAGATCAAGTCAAAGTGTCAGCAGCACTGGTTCCTTCTGCAGCCTCCAGGGAAGAATTTTTTTACTTGCCCTTTCAGTTTCTTGTTATCACCTGTATTCCTTGACTTGTGGCCACTTCCTCCATCTTCAAAGCACATCACTCTAATCTCTTCTGACATCACATTGCATTATCTTCCATCTCTTCCTGCCTTCCTCTCATAAGGACCCTTATGATGACATTGGGCCAGCCTGGATCATCTCCTCTTCCCCAAATCCTTAATCACATCTGCAAAGTTTCCTTTGCCATATAAGGCAACATATTTTCAGCCTCTGGAATTAGGACATGGACATATTTGGTTGGTAAGGGGGCTTTATTCAGCCTTCCACAGGCAGTATCTGAAAAGCTCCTTGTAAATATGTAAATTGTGTCACCTCAAAGCCAACAGACCAGCATTTATCGAAGGTCTTGGGTGTAATTATCCTACGAATCCATGCCATTCCAAAGGTTAGTGAGAGGAATCCCTAAGGTCCCTTTGAATGAGCACCTCAATATTCTAGGTGTTGTTAAGGGATTGTCTTAGAGATTCTCTAGAACAATCTCCTGAGCAGTAAGCATGGTTAGATCATTCCTATTAAAAGTCAGATAACTAGGACACTGGGCAGACAAGTAGCTTGCCCACACTCACACAGCTAACTTGAGATAGAGAGCAATGTGAGGCAGCCATTTTGACTCTAAAGCCACACAGCAGGTGGCTTTGCTGTAGTCCCTTATAGATGGTTTCTATTATGACCAGAGCAGTGCTTCTCAAACTTTAGTGTGCATCAGAATAATCTGAAGGGCTTGTTAAAATATAGGCTTCTGATTCAACAGGTCTGGGATGGGGCCCGTGAATCTGCATTCTAACAATCTCAAAGTGATGTGGGTGATATTGCCAATCTGTGAGTCAGGCTTTTACTAGCACTGCTGTGGACCTCTTAGAGTTCAGGCTGAACTCTAAGAACCTCCTCACTTCGAAAGAACTGATGCTCCTCTAGTCACTTGGTCAAACTTTGGCAAGCATCAGATCACCGGGAAAGCTTGTAAAATTCCTGGGCTGCACTTCTACAGTTTCCGATTCAGCAGGTCTGGAGTGAGGCCCATGGATATGCATTTAAGGCAAGCTTCCTTGATGCTGTTGCTGCTAGTGCCATAACCAATCTGCTCTGGTATAAAATGCATGTCTCAGGGTTAACCCAAGGCCGAGGGAGCTGGGGTCTTTATCTACCAGCTACTCTGTCTTAGTTGAGGTCTGCTCCCAGAGGGTTATAATTCCTCAGCAATTCAGGCTGAGTCACCTTCATTGGCTTTAGGGAAAGACTTTAGGCAAAGAGATATGGACACTGGCAGTTAGAAGTTGGCTGGTGGGTATCATTGAGGAAGTAAGACCCCCAGTGATATAGGTGGGGTACCGACAGTATTTTTTACAGCGAGTCACTCTACCTCACTGAGGCTTTCTCTTGTCACCTACAAAATGTATGGATGGGAAGTTGCAGAGTTATGTGTGCATAAGTAAAATAGACAGAATTCTAAAAATGAATCCCCCAAGATTTTATATTCCCTAATCCCCAGAACTGTGAATGTGATGAGCTACTACTCCTGTGATTGTGTTATGCTATGTGGTATAGCTGAGTTTTGAAAGGGACATTACTGCACCTGTAGTCCCAGCTACTTGGAAGGCTGAGGCAGGAGAATGGCGTGAACCTGGGAGGTGGAGCTTGCAATGAGCTAAGATCGTGCCACTGCACTCCAGCCTGGGCGACAGAGCGAGACTCCATCTCAAAAAAAAAAAAAAAAGGACATGACCTGGATAGTCTCATCTAATATCACATAATATGAGCTCTTAAAAGCAGAGAAATTTCTCTGGCTGGTTGGACAAGAGGAAGGCAGAAAGAAGCCAGAGAGATTTGAAACCTCACCACTGCTGGCTTGAGGATTGAAAGGGGCTACACAAGAATGAAATGAATGCAGGGCACCTTAAGGACCTGAGAGAGGGGCTCTCAGCCGGCAGCCTGCTGAGATTGGGGGCCTCAGTCCTACAACCATAAGGAAATGAATTCTGCCAACAACCTGAGTGGACTTGGAAGAACATTATTCCCCAGAGCCTCCAAAACGTCATGTAGGCCTGCCAACATTTTTATTTCAGACTAAAAAGACCCTGAGCAGAGAATCCAGCCATGCCATGCCTAGACTCCTGACCTATGGAAACTATGAGGTAATAAATTTGCATTGTTTTAAGCCACTAAATTTGTGGTAATTTGTTATGTAGTAATAAAAAACTAACATAGTGCGCTTACTTGAGCTTACATATGGTAAGCTATGGCTAACCCTGGGTGTCAACCAAACAATTAATAGAAAGAAGGAAACATACTCAACAAAGGGCAAGTAGCTACGGGCTGCATTTAGACTGCTGTGATAGGCTGAACAACATCACCCCCCAAAAATATCCATATCCTAATTCCTGGAACCTTTGACTATATTACATTATATGGTAAAAGGGATTTTGTAGATGTGATTAAGTTAAGGATCTTGAGGAGGGAGATTATACTGGATTATCTGGGTGGGCCCAATGTCATCACAAGGGTCCTTATAAGAGGGAAGTGGGGCCAGGCACAGTGGCTCATGCCTGTAATCCCAGCACTATGGGAGGCAGCCAGATCACTTGAGGTGAGGAGTTCAAGACCAGCCTGGTCAACAGGGCGAAACCCTATCTTTACCAAAAATTACAAAAATTAGCTGGGTGTGGTGGCCCGTGCCTGTAGTCCCAGCTATTCCGGAGGCTGAGGCATGAGACTCGCTTGAACCTGGGAGCAGAGGTTATAGTGAACCAAGATCACACCACTGCACTCCAGCCTGGGCAATAGAGTGAGGCTCTGTCTCAAAAAAAAAAAAAAAAAAAAAAGAGAGAGAGAGAGAGAGAGGCAGGAGGACGAGAAGTAGAAAAAGGAGATGTGACAATAGACAATGAAATCAGAGGTTGGAATGATGCATTTTGCCAGTGGAGGAAAGATTTTCCCCTGAAGCCTCCAGAAGGAATATGGCCCTGCCAACAACTTGATTTTATGTTTCTGAACTCCAGGACTATAAGAAAATACATTTCTGTTTGTGGTAATTTGTTACAGCACAAGCAGGAAACTAATACAATCACTATCTGAACACTGTGGCAATACCATGAGCAGCAGCATGTAAAGGCTATGAGCCTTTGTACCTGAGGGATGCAGAGCAGAAAAGCGTCTCTACTTTTTAGTATAGTTGGCAGATTGGAGAAAGTTCAGGCAAGTTATTGCCCAGTGACCCAGTGAAAGCCCCAGGGGAAAAGTGAGTATTGTACAACGTTTCACGGAAAAGGTCTACCGACTTTTGATTGCTTTATTCTTGGAAAGCCAACAGCTGGGGGTCAATTTGTAGAGAGGGAAGGAATCATGGATTGCTTCCAAGATCTCTGAACTAAACTCAAGTCACTGAATAGGGACAAAAACTGGCCTTTCAGTTTAAAAACCCAGGGGCAAGTTTGGCTACCTGGATGTCCACACTACCAATTGTATAGAAACCGTTTCCTGAATTTAATGATTTTCAGTGTTATTTTAGTCTGTTTTTGTTTTGTGGACAATTTCTCTGAAGAAACTCTTAGGCCCTTTGTTACTCCAAGAGTGCTGCATAGACCAAGAACATGGGGCAGCAGCAGCAGCCCTGGGAGCTTATTAGAAATGCAGAATCTCATGTCCCAAGACCTGCTGAGTCAAAACCCGCATTTGAACAAGATCCCAGGTGATTTGCACACACATTAAAGCTTAAGAAACCCCGTCTCTACTAAAAATACAAAAATTAGCAGGGTGTGGTGGTGGGTGCCTGTAGACCCAACTACTCGGGAGGCTGAGACAGGAGAATTGCTTGAACCCGGGAGGTGGAGGTTCCAGTGAGCCAAGATTGCACCACTGCACTCCAGCCTGGGCGATGGAGTGAGACTCTGTCTCAAAAAAAACAGTCCTGTTCTGGACAACCAGAAAATACAGACAGTATTTCATAGCCATAATTGCTTTCATTTTTATTATTTTTATTATTTTACATATATATATTTTTTTGAGACGGGGTCTTGCTCTGTTGCCCAGGCTGGAGTACAGTGGCGTGATCACAGCTCACTGCAGCCTCAACCTCCTGGGCTCATGTGATCCTCTCACCTCAGCCTCCCGTGTAACTGGTACTACAGGCATGCACTACCACGCCCAGCTAATTTTTGTATTTTTTTGCGGAGACAGGATCTCCCTATGTTGCCCAGGCTGGTCTCGAACTTCTGGCCTCAAGCAATCCTCCCACTGTGGCCTCCCAAAGTGCTGGGATTATAGGCGTGAGCCACTGTGCCAGGCCTATAATTGCTTTCTAAAAGGCAAAGGTACAATTTTAATTCTTCCAATGATTAAAAAATTGTTTTATCCTAAAAGTAATTAAATCTCATTATAGAAAAATGGAGAAGATAAAAAAGAAAAATATCACCTTCTTTCCTAAGACTCTAATGTAATGTAACCACTATTTTTACAATGGGTATATTTTCATATACATATACTGTACATCCACATCATGCTGTACATTCCTTTAAAATGCTTTTTCAATGAACGTTGTCTTAAAATCAGTTTTACCACCATTACTTCAATGGCATTATGCTTGTGGAATGGTTCATTTCACCTTTCCCCAATTTTTGGGCAACTGTTCACCAATGTAAACAATATTGTGATAAATGTCTTAGCGCACATAACTTTTTTTTAATTTAAGATTTTCTTTAGAATGGATTTCCAAAAGTGGAATTGCTGGGTTCCTGGTAATTAACACTCAAAAAAGAACATTTTAAGAAATCAGTGCTACATTGTCTGGAAGTGTGTCTAAACCGGGAACTTGTTTTTCTGAGCACGGAAATCTGTTTTTTCATCTAGATTCCACGACAGAGTGATAATACCTCACCTCTGCCTCCTGAACAACTCGGCCTGGTTTCAGCCTGTGAAAATGATGCCAGTCCTGGAAGATGCCTAGTGACATTGCGGAGGGATGACCTGCTCCCAACCAAGGATTCTTTTCTTCCAGGATGATGTCCTCCGTCATAGGTTATGAGATGTGCCCTATAACCATTTATGCCAACAGGACTGGTTCATTGAAATATATGGGCACCAGTTTTAACTGTTTTGGTGCATTGTGTTAGAAAGTAGCAGCAATTGAATCATTGTCGCTTGATTTCTGTCCCTTCGTTTTTCATGCCTGTCAGCAAGCAAAAGTGGGACAAATATTTGGAATTTCTTTTTTCTGGAACACCTTTTCTTAAAGTGTAAGATTTAAATGGTTTTCAGTACCAGTCATCACCATAATCAATTTTAGACCATTTCATCACCTCTAAAAGAAACATTAGGCTAGTTAGCAGTCACTTCCAATTATCCACCAACCCAGCTGCCACCCCCTCTCTCCCCACACCAGGCGACCTCTAATCTGTTTTCGGCTTCTATAGATTTGCCTATTCTGTACATTTCATGTAAATGGGAATCACATTATGTGGCCTTTTGTGACTGGCTTCTTCCACTTAGCATAATGTTGTCAAGGTTCATGCATGTCGTAGCATGAATCAGTACTTCATTATTTTCATGGCTGAATAATATTCCATTCCAAATAATATATATCCCTTCTATGGATGGACCACATTGTATTTATCCATTCATTGGTTCATGGACATTTGAGTTGTTTCCAGTTTTTGGCTATTATGAATAAGGCTGCTATGGGCATTTGTGTACAAGTTTTTGTGTGAACATATGTTTTCATTTCTCTTGGGTATACACCTAGGAGTAGAATTGCTGGGTGGCATGATAATTTTGTGTTTGACTTTTTGAGAAACTGCCAAAGTCTTTTCCAAAGCAGCTGTATAATTTTACATTCACACCAGCAGTGTATGAGGGTTCCATCGTTTCCACATTCTCACCAACACTCGTTCTTGTCTATCTTTCTTGTTATAGCCATCCTAGTGGGTGTGAAGTGGTATCTGATTGTGAGTTTGATTTGCATTTCCCTGATAGCTAATGTTATTGAACAGCTTTCATTGTTTATTGGTCATTCGTATATCTTCTTTGAAGAAACGTCTATTCCACTCCTTTGCCCATTATTTTAGTTATTTGTGTTATTATTATTGAGTTGCAAGAGTTCTTTATATATTCTGGATCTAGATTTGGTCTTTTTCTAAGCCATAGTTTTCGGATATGTGTGCGTGCATGTGTGTGTGTTTGTGTGTGTGAAATCCAGACATTAGGCATCTTTTAGAAATGGGCCCCTAGAGCAGAAATCGGACCATTTTTTTTTTGCCTGAGTCTGAGGGGATGATTCTTACAGTGAGTGAAACTGAACCACCTGTAAAAAGGAGAGTTTATTTTCTCTCTTTGGTGCCCCCTAGCCTCCCTACCTAAACACAGATCTCCAGAGATGGAGGAATGGAAAAAAGAAGTAATAAATCATTCACACTTTAGTAGGATCATCATGCAAATAACAATGTAAAACTCCAAATGAGAGGATGAGTCCATCAATTGAGCCTGGTGAAATCCACTGCAGAACGAGGTCTTAATGGAAAAACATAAATAATAAAAATTTTCAGGAAATTAGACCCACATTAGTAGGAAATAGAAATGTTTAATGTGTTGGACAAATGGTTCTGTCTGAAGAAAAGTGCTGATTCTTTCATTAATAACAGATATATGCAGGTTGATTTAAAACAATAACTGAATACCTGAAGAAAAGTAGGGAAGCTGTGCCCCAAAGGCCCCCGCCACATGATGGAGCAGCGGCAGGAGAAAGAATGGATGGATCTAGAAGGTCCTTCCGGTTCTTTCTTGCCTGCAAACAACTCTCAAGTTCAATCCAGCTCCACCTCTCCCCTGCATTCTCAGACCTCCTCAGTCCACCCAGGTCCCCTTGTTCTCCTACCGCTCCACAACGTCCTGTCTCTACCACATAACCTTGGATTGAATTCTCTGTCTCCTGAAATTGTTTTCTCTGTGAACATCTTTTCTCCCCAATCTCCTTGCAAGTTCTGGAGGCCTGAGACTGCCATTCCTCAAATATGAAGAGGGGATCTCTCATTATTTGTTGAAGCAAGTTATACTATGACCCATTATATTATGACCATAAGAGTGGGAAATGCTGCCAGCATCTCGCGCTGTTGTGCTTTGTCGCAGTTCTCAGGGCTACTGGCAGAAGAGGGGAACAGCAGGCCCGGGGGATGCAGCTTCTGTCCCACGCTACTTGGCTCTTTCTCTTTGCCTCTTCCCTTTTTGGCGCCTCTGCTTTCTATTTCTGCCTTTTTCTTTTCTTCTTTTTAAGCCCTTCTATCCTTCCCACTAACATAATAGGAAAAACTGGTATTCACAGAACTAAAAGCTTAGCAAGAGCAAAAAAATACCCGAATTATTTATTTGGTTCTTTTTAATTTTTTTTCTTTTTCTCTTCTTGTGTCTTTCATTTTTTAAAATTGGGCTGAGTGAGGTTTTAGGAATTTGTATCTACTTAGTACTGTAGATGTTGGAAGGGACCTGAAATAGACCATGCAGCCCAACACATAACTTTATAAAGAAGAAACAGAGATTTAGAGAAATTTAAGGAAAAAAAAAAAAAAAAGAAAGAAAGAAAAGGAGGTTCAGGAAAGTGCCTGCCCAAAATAGCACAACCGAGGAGTGGCAGGATCAAGGTTACAGCCTGGGTCTCATGGCTCCCTGTCCAGCAGGCTCACCCCTGCCCAAGGCACGGGATTTTTAGGCATATGAATGCCTAGTTCATAAGGAAGGAATGCTTGAGAAATGCCACTATTATCACAATTAGCAATATCTGCAAACGAGTTTCAGGTAGGCCGATTTAATAGCCTATAAATCTAGGAATTAAATTCAACATCAGACAGAAAGGAAAGAATACATTGCTTTGTCTGACAGTTTTTCTAAACTCATCATGGCAGAGTTTCCTAAAACTCCACAGCCTCCTACCCTGTAAAAATGCTTGCTTATTTCTGGCAGCCAATTAAAACCAAAATCTGATGCTATAACAGAAATCGGAAGCTGGAAAACTGGTGCAATATCCGATTCAGAAATGAGCGTGAATGTCAAGAGGCCTCTGCTGGCATTCTTGCGGCCCAG
Organism: Homo sapiens; assembly: GCF_000001405.40. Taxonomy (NCBI): domain Eukaryota; kingdom Metazoa; phylum Chordata; class Mammalia; order Primates; family Hominidae; genus Homo; species Homo sapiens. The sequence goes on from NC_000023.11 coordinate 13,966,664, forward strand.
CCCGGGCACTCGTGGCTTGGAGTCAGGCTGTCTGGTGTAATTAAAAGTCATGCTATCTGTTGGGGGAATGGCCTGTTCCAGGATTTGAAAAAAAAAAAATGCTGTAGGAAAAAGCTCCATGAAATGTATCTATTCCATGGAATTTCATGAAATATATCTGCATGATAATTGGCTGACATTATGGAGGGCAAGAGGCAAACATCGGGCCCTGAGAAATCCTCATTAACTTGCTTTGAGAACCTTCCAATGAAAATAGAAATAGGGCTTCCTTCCAGCAGAAGCCTTAGGACTAGCTTCCTCTGTTTTCATAGGCAGCGGAAACAGCAATCTTTTGTAATCGTTTCTTTTAGAAAACAAAAACAAAAACAAAAAAAACCTTGGTTCTGCGACGTAATAACAAAAAAAGAAATAGTGGGACAAAAAAAGAACCAACACACTGAGATAAAAGACATGGCACAATTGCTATTTGATGTTTTCTGAAAAGTATCATGATCTGCATGGATTTTTACTTCTTCAATCCTCATGATAGTTGAGACTGTGACTATAGCAATCAAATTTGAGTGGAGCATCAGTTGAATCAGCTCCCAGGATAATGCAATTTTTTGGGAGAATTGTGAAGCTCAGGGTTTTAGAAGTAATATTCATCTGAATCATGCTAAGATGCTGGTTGTCAGGGAGATGATCCATGTAGGACCGTGGGACAGGACCCAGCTAGGTGGCTGCCAGCGAGCCTGCAGGCCAGTCTTTTGAGACCTCTTGGTTCATCAATACATTCCAGGAGAGCACCATCCCTCCCCAGAGAGACATGGCACCAGGAAGGTACCCATGTTATTTCACTCCTGCCCCTTGTACCCTTGTGGTTCATACCTTACACCTTTAAAAAGCCAATGGAAGAAACCTCAGGGCCTGTGTGTCTCTAAGTTAACAATTTCTGACTTGAGAACAAGCAAATATGGGGCGTCAATGGTTTATTGAAATACCGAGGAGCTAGAGGGCGTTTGTTTTGTAGATATTCATTGAGCGTCTGCTGGGTGATCATCTGTTCGTAAGAGGCAGTGATGATCAGAACCATCGGAAAAAAGAACTAAGCCCTCTGGGAACTTACAGTCAGAGATTGGCCACGATTGGCTCCCCCTGTGCAAGGATGAGTTACGTAAAGAGTGCTTTTGTTTCACTGACACTGAGACACACATCTTCATCCATCCTCCACCCTACCCCAAGAGTCATGGGACTCAAAAGAAAATTGCAGGAACTGCCTGCTTCAGAGAATCTTAGGATACTTATTGGCCACACAGTATTCATAACATGGGAGTCAGATGGTATTTCACGTAGTCTGTGCCTGATTCCAAGAGTGAAATTTTTCGGAGGTTTGGTAAATCCCAGCATATCAGTGTTTACTCTGGGCTTCTCCAATGCCCTCCCATCATTAAGGCCACCCATATAACACAAGCTGAAGTAGGAGAGGGAACCAATGGCATTGTCTCATCCTTTCACAGTCCATGATTTATACCATTATGTCCTGGGCCTTAAAGATCCCAGGTTGCTTCAATTTGAACCATCAGGATCTGGGCTCTTCCTGATTGAATTGAAAAGCGGGAGACTCATTCCAAAGCAATTTATTGGATAAATAGAAGAAAGAATGAGAGAGTGAGGGAGTGAAAGAGGGAGAGTGTGGGAGCGATCAAGAAACTTTATACAGATGCCCAGGAAGCCTAGTGTGTTCAACCTGAAGGTTTAATTAGTTCGATGAGTCATCTCCACCCCAGACAGTTTAGAGCAATGGTTCTCAGTCTTGACTACACATTAGAATCCCCTGGGGAGCTTTTGAAAGGTACGGACACCCAAGTCCTACCCCAGATCAATTACACCTGAATCACAGACATCAGTTATTTATTAAAGTTTCCACTGCTATACAGAATCATCAGATGACTGAGAACCACTGAATTAGGTTTCTGATAGAAAATTGAAAAGAACCAGATTAAAAAATCCTCTGCCCTTCTGACTATACTCCAATTCTATTTACATGTAAGACCTCAACATGATTAGTATCAGGCCTCAGTAACCTCAACTTGTTACTATTCTCAACATTTTGTGTTACCAAGAGAATCCTGGATATATGTATACATAAACACATGTAAGTATGTAGTAATGTATCTATGTAGAGGTTGGCTCATGGCTATGTTTCTGGAACCAAGATACATAATGACTTCTTTTTCATCAGGTGAGCATTTGCCTTTTTTGTGGCCCAGGCCTTTGAAAACCCAGCCATTCCTTTACTGGGAGGTCATGTGTTGAGCCTGTGCTAGGCACCGAAGCAGATACAAAGGGGCATAACATGGCAGGGCAGGTCCGTGGAGCCTGGTCAGCCAGTGGGGAAGAAAGCATCATAGCATCCAATGAGACGGTGTTGTGACCAGGTGAACTGGGCACTAATGGAAGACTGGGACTGGATTGATGGGATCAGGGAAAGAGCTGACTTGAGTGATGAGCAGTAGCTTGCCTGGCAGCTCAGGGTGAATATGGAAAAGCAAGTAGGGGTGGGGTAGGAAAGAAATTAGTCCATGAGCCTCTTTCTTGTCCTCATCTATAATACACCATTGAGAAACAAGACAAAGCAGGAGTGTATAATCTTACTTTGTCCTAACAGGGTTTTGGACACTTGTTCGCATGGGAGAATGAGATACAATCCTTTCCCTTTAGGAAGCTTCAGTCTAATCGGGTGCTCAGAATTATGGCCTGCATTACCATTCTTTCCTTTTTGAATGGATTTCACCAAAAACAGATCATTGAATCTTCTTTAATTGAACGCAAAAGAAACCCAGCAACAGCAATTTAAAGAACCTCATTACATGTAAGTTTCCAAAGCAGTGGGCCTAAGACTTCAATGTGGTAATAACACCCTCTCGTTGTATGTCACTTTGCCATTTATTAGCATATTTGACCTTCAAAAAGCTTTGTGAGGTAGATGAGACAAGACAAGCAATATTATTCCCACTATACTTGACCCAAAGGGTCAAATGACTGACATGAAATTAGGAAGTAAGGCCTTGTTCTAGAACCCACATCTTCCTACTTCTTATCTCCTCTTAATTCTGCCCATTTCTTTTCTTCTGGCCGAACACCAATTTGTCACGAATGTCTCCATATTATGCCATTTATAAAGAAGAGAAGGCTAGTCCTGAAATAACTCAATTTGAGGAGAACATGTTAAATTTAATTCTTAGTTCTCAGTTTTGTATCTTAGCAACCACATATATTTAGTAATGACTACTTCGATGCCTATAAAGCATGTCCAATGTGCACTGGGTTTCATATGTACTCCTCAAGGAGGATCATAATTTAACTGCAGCTTTGGTTTAAAATTCTAATGACTCCTTCATACTCAGAATCTTATTTTTCACTCTCTCTGCTATGCATATGATGTGTGAAATTATGGCTCGCTCAAAAAAAATCTTTTTAAAGGAGGATGATACTAATTAGGGAATTTTTTTTTCCTTAAAAGTTGTCTATGACTTTAGTAAAGTTATGGGGATTTATATAGGCATGACCTTTTTGGAGAGTAATCTGATAGTGAGTATCAAAAACCTAAAATATATTCTCTATTTGACTTGCTAATTCCACCTCTGGAATCTGTTCTAAGGAAAACAAATCTAAAATGCAGACCAAAATTTATGCATAAAAATCTTCATTGAAGCATTATTTATAAATAATAAAGCATTATCCATAGTAGTGAAAAAGTGGAAATAACCTAGAAGACTAATAATTTAGTGGACTGGTTAAATTTTATATAGTCATAAAATAGAATATTATGTTTCCATTAGAATAAGTAATTCTTTTAGTGATAAAATGCTAATTATATTAGGTTGAGTGATTAAGTGGCATACCACAGTATATGTGTTTTATGAATCTAGCTATATAAAACCAGATAACTGAGAGGGAAATACACCAAAATGTTAAAGGTATTGTATCTGGGAGGTATTCTATTGGTAAATTTTTTTCTTATCTATTAATATGCCTCTGGCTTTCTCAAGTTATCTACCATGACTGTACATTATTTTTATAATCAGGAGAATGATTGTGTTTTAAAGACTGCTTGTGTACTAAATGTAGGTTTTTTGTTTTTTTTTTTTTTGAGACGGAGTCTCGCTCTGTCGCCCAGGCTGTAGCGCAGTGGCGCCATCTCGGCTCACTGCAAGTCCGCCTCCTGGGTTCACGCCATTCTTCTGCATCAGCCTCCCGAGTAGCTGGGACTACAGGCTCCCACCACCACGTCCAGCTAATTTTTTGTATTTTTAGTAGAGACGGGGTTTCACCGTGTTAGCAAGGATGGTCTTGATCTCCTGACCTGCTGATCCGCCCACCTCGGCCACCCAAAGTGCTGGGATTACAGGCGTGAGCCACCGCGCCCGGCCTAAATGTAGCTTCTTTACACACATTTACTTTGAATAGTTTTAAGAATCTGCTTCAGAGGGCGGTCATGTGAGGAGTAACTGGAAATCATCTTGGCACTGGCCTCCCTGCTTCTACTTCTGACTTCCTGTGACCCATTTTCAACACAGCAGCCAGAGGGATGTTCTTAAAATATAAGAGTGAATTTTTGGCCAGGCGCGGTGGCTCACGCCTGTAATCCCAACACTTTGGGATGCTGAGGCAGGTGGATTGCTTGAGCCCAGGAGTTTGAGCCCAGCCTGGGCAACATAGTGAGACCCCTGTCTCTACAAAACAATTTTGAAAATTCTCCAAGTTTGGTGGCTCACGCCTATAATCTCAGCTACTCAGGAGGCTGAGTTGGGAGTATTACTTGAGCCAAGGAGGTTGAGGCTGCAGTCAGCTATGATCATGCCACTGTACTCCAGCCTGGGCAACAGAGTGAGACCCTGTCTCAAAAAAACAAATACAAAAACGAAAAACACCCATATATGTATATAATCTAAAAGAGTCAATTTCCCTCCTCTCCAGGGGTTCCCAACTCATTAAGGCACTGCCTTTAGGACAGCTGACAAAGCCCTGTGGGATCTGCTGCCCCTCCTATCCACCTATGCTTTCCCACTCCATCTGCTCCAGTCACACTGGCCTCCTTGCTGTCCTTCCTATAGGCCAGGCATTCTCCTGCCTCAGGGCCTTTGCACTGTCTGTTTCCTCTACGGAGAATGCTTTTCTCTCACACATGGCTGCTCCCTTCCCATCTTCATGTTTTTCCCCAAATATCACTTCTCAGTGAACCTTCCCTAACCAACCAATTCAGATCTGTACAGCCCATTCTCAATCTCAATATCCATCCCACAATCTCTAACCCTCTTACTGGAATCATTTCTTTAAATTTTTAGGATGCTTCATCTTTTAATATACTATACAGCACCCTTTTTTAAATTATTATTATTTTTTTATTATACTTTAAGTTCTAGGGTACATATGCACAACATGCAGCTTTGTTATATATGTATACATGTGCCATGTTGGTGTGCTGCACCCATTAACTTGTCCTTTACATTAGGTATATCTCCTAATGCTATCCCTCCCCCCTCCCCACCCTACAACAGGCCCCGGTGTGTGATGTTCCCCACCCTGTCTCCAAGTGTTCTCATTGTTCAGTTCCCACCTGTGAGTGAGAACATGCGGTGTTTGCTTTTCTGTCCTTACGATAGTTGGCTCAGAATGATGGTTTCCAGCTTCATCCATGTCCCTACAAAGAACATGAACTCATCCTTTTTTATGGCTTTATAGTATTCCATGGTGTATATGCACCACACTTTCTTAATCCAGTCTATCATTGTTGGACATTTGGGTTGGTTCCAAGTCTTTGCTATTGTGAATAGTGCCGTAATAAACATACATGTGCATGTGTCTTTATAGCAGCATGATTTATACTCCTGTGGGTATATACCCAGTAATGGGATGGCTGGGTCAAATGGTATTTCTAGTTCTAGATCCTTGAGGAATTGCCACACTGACTTCCACAAGGGTTGAACTAGTTTACAGTCCTACCAACACTGTAAAAGTGTTCCTACTTCTTCACATCCTCTCTAGCACCTATTGCTTCCTGACTTTTTAATGATCGCCATCCTAACTGGTGTGAGATGATATCTCATTGTGGTTTTGATTTGTATTTCTCTGATGGCCAGTGATGATGAGCATTTTTTCATGTGTCTTTTGGCTGCATAAATGTCTTCTTTTGAGAAGTGTCTGTTCATATCCTTCACCCACTTTTTGATGGAGTTTTTTGATTTTTTCTTGTAAATTTGTTTAAGTTCTTTGTAGTTTCTGAATATTAGCCCTTTGTCAGATGGGTAGATTGTAAAATTTTTCTCCCATTCTGTAGGTTGCCTGTTCACTCTGATGGTAGTTTCTTTTGCTGTGCAGAAGCTCTTTAGTTTAATTAGATCCCATTTGTCAATTTTGGCTTTTGTTGCCATTGCCTTTGGTGTTTTAGACATGAAGTCCTTGCCCATGCCTATGTCCTGAATGGTATTGCCTAGGTTTTCTTCTAGGGTTTTTATGGTTTTAGGTCTAACATTTAAGTTTTTAATCCATCTCGAATTAATTTTTGTGTAAGGTGTAAGGAAGGGATCCAGTTTCAGCTTTCTACATATGGCTAGCCAGTTTTCCCAGCACCATTTATTAAATAGGGAATCCTTTCCCCATTTCTTGTTTTTGTCAGTTTTGTCAAAGATCAGATGGTTGTAGATGTGTGGTATCATTTCTGAGGGCTCTGTTCTGTTCCATTGGTCTATATCTCTGTTTTGGTACCAGTACCATGCTGTTTTGGTTACTGTAGCCTTGTAGTATAGTTTGAAGTCAGGTAGCGTGATGCCTCCAGCTTTGTTCTTTTGGCTTAGGATTGTCTTGGCAATGCGGGCTCTTTTTTGGTTCCATATGAACTTTAAAGTAGTTTTTTCCAATTCTGTGAAGAAAGTCATTGGTAGCTTGATGGGGATGGCATTGAATCTATGAATTACCTTGGGCAGACTATACAGCACCCTTCTTCATCACAGGCCTTAATCTGCAATTGGCTGGCCAAGAGATTGAGCTCTTCTAACTCACTTGCACAATGATAATGTGCAAATTTCATTTTGTGCCATTTGTCCTCTTCCAAAACACTTTTATTTTGGCAGAGAAATGAGCACATTTATGTATTCAGCCTTACATTTGTCTATTTATTGATTCGTATATTTATTGCACATTTATTAAAACTGACATGTAAAGATACATCATATCGGTCATCTTTGCTATATGATTTAGGTCTCTGCTAATTCTGTTTCAGCTGTTGGATACATTTCCAAAATAGCCCTGAGATAAATGCATACTTTATTTCATTAAAATATATACTTATTTGTTTTTTAATGGGTGGTATATTCACATGGCTCAATAGTCCAAAGATAGAAAAGTGTATACAATGAAACCTTTCATTTGTATCTCTGTCTTCAAGCTACTCAGTTCCCCTCCCTACTGATCAGTCCTGCTAGCAGTTTCATATGTATTCTTATGGAGATATTTTATCCATACAAAAGCAAACTCATATATAATATAATTTTTCTGTTTTTTACCCAAATGATAGTGTACTATACACACCATTCTGTACCTTGTTTTTATTCTGAGTTTATCAAGGAGATGATTCCATATCAGTACATAAAAGTTCTTACTCTTTTTGTAGTGGCATAGTATTCTGTCATGTGCATGCCTCATAATTGACTTAATCCTTATGGGTGTATGTCTGGATGTCTGCATTATTTCCAGTATTTTGTCATCATAAATGACGCTTCTCCATAAGTTACTTTGCACATATGCAAGTCTATCTGTAGAATACATTGTTAGAAGTGGATCTTTTTGTCATTTTATACATTTATAATATTGCCACATGTCTGATTTTTTGGATAGGGCACGGGATTATAAAGATATCAGTCCTCCATAAATGAATGAAAGATTCAACGTGATCACAACCAAAATACCGATAGCATCAATTTCTGGAGCTTTAAGTTAGCTCATGATGCACCTCTGCTCAACAATGGCTTTTCACCTTGCTCGGAGAAACAGTCCAAGTTTTTACATTTGCCTGTGAGGCCCTCCTGGATGTCACTCCCTGTTACTTCTCTGCCCTCACGTTCTTCTCACTCACTTTACTCCAGGTACACTGACTTCCCACCTCAGGGCTTTTGCATGTGCTGTTCCCGCCAGTCTTCCCCTAGGTATTGGTGCAGCTTACTCCTTCACCTCAACTGCCAGATTCTCAATGATGTCTGCTCTGACTACCTGGGTCTGTACTTCCCCTACTTCCTAGATAGGAACCTTCCCTGTTTTGTCTTTCTCCATATGGGTTGCCACCCTCGGATACTGTATCAATTTGACTGATTTGTTTATGTCTTTCTCTCCCAGGTGGAATGTAAGCACCCTGTGGACCGGGATCTTCCCTTTTCTGTTCACTGCTGTATCCTAAGTGCTTAGCCCTGCTGCCTGGTACTTCATAGGTGCTCAGTCAACATTTACAGATTTAAATAAACCTGTGAGAATGGCTAGGGAGCTCTGGGGGAAAGTGATTAATGGGTAAAGAGTGGTTATTAGCTTGACCAGCTAGTAAAATATGTTATAAAGTAACATAGTTTGGTTTCTGGACCAAGAATAAATTGAGTAGAAAAAAATAGAACAAAGAGTTCATAAATAGACCCAAATCCATATGATAATTTAAAATATAATGCAAGTCACGTATCAAATCTAAACAGATGGGTTATCCAATAAATAGCTTTGGAATACCTCTCTAGTTATATGGAGAAAAACAAAATGAAGTCACTACATCTCTCCTTAAATAGAAGGACCAATAATATACATGTAAAAAAATAGGCCGGGCACAGTGGCTCACACCTGTAATCTCAGCACTTTGGGAGGCCAAGGTGGGCGGATCACCTGAGGCCAGGAGTTCAAGACCAGCCTCACCAACATGGTGAAACCCCGTCTCTATGAAAAATACAAAAATTAGCTGGGCGTGGTGGCAGGCACCTGTAATCCCAGTTACTCGGGAGCCTAAGGCAGGAGAATTGCTTGAACCTGGGAGGCAGAGGTTGCAGTGAGTCAAGACTGCACCACTGTACTCCAGCCTGGGTGACAGGGTGAGATTCTGTCTCAAAAAATATAATAACAAAAATAAAAAATAAAACACACAAAAAAATCCAAGACTAAAATTCAAAGAAATTAACTTGGGAACAGTCTTTTGAGGCATGACATAAAACTAAGAAGATATCCTGAGGTCAGGAATCTGGAAAAGGTTAATAAATTTCACTAAAAGTAAATAAGCTTCTGCAGGGAAAATCATCATAAACAGAGTTAGAAAACAACACATACTAGTGAAGACTTTGCAACATATGTGACTTAGGATTAATTTCCTAAAATTACAAAAATCTCTTATAAATCTATAAGAAAGAGATAACCTAACAGAAAATTGGGGTAGGACATGAGTAAGCAGTTCTCAGAACAAGAAATCTCAATGGTCAATAAATAGTAACAATTTCATTTATAATTTTAAAATGCAAATTAAGATATCAAGAAAGTACATTAAAAGAATTTCAGATTGACAAAGATCCAGTGATTTGTTAATAGCCAATATGGGCAGGGAAGAGAAATAGACACACTCATCCACTTGTCGGGGGCAGTGCAATTTTGAGCAATCTCTGCAGAGCACTTTGGCAATAACTGCAAAATTCAAAGCTAGACATGCTCTTTGATATAGCAATTCCACCTCTAGGAATTTATCCTACAGAGACAAAAGTGTGCAAAAAAGATTCATGTTCAGAGATGTATATGGTAGCATTATTTACATTAGAAAATACTGGCCAAACTCTACAAGCCAGAAGAGACTGGGGGCCAATATTCAACATTCTTAAAGAAAAGAATTTTCAACCCAGAATTTCATATCCAGCCAAACTAAGCTTCATAAGTGAAGGAGAAATAAAATACTTTACAGACAAGCAAATGCTGAGAGATTTTGTCACCACCAGGCCTGCCCTAAAAGAGCAGCTGAAGGAAGCACTAAACATGGAAAGGAACAACCGGTACCAGCCACTGCAAAAACATGCCAAATTGTAAAGACCATCAAGGCTAGGAAGAAACTGCATCAACTAACGAGCAAAATAACCAGCTAACATCATAATGACAGGATCAAATTCACACATAACAATATTAACCTTAAATGTAAATGGGCTAAATGCTCCAATTAAAAGACACAGACTGGCAAACTGGATAAAGAGTCAAGACCCATCAGTGTGCTGTATTCAGGAAACCCATCTCACATGCAGAGACACACATAGGCTCAAAATAAAGGGATGGAAGAAGATCTACCAAGCAAATGGAAAACGAAAAAAGGCAGGGGTTGCAATCCTAGTCTCGGATAAAACAGACTTTAAACCAACAAAGATCAAAAGAGACAAAGAAGGCCATTACATAATGGTAAAGGGATCAATTCAACAAGAAGAGCTAACTATCCTAAATATATATGCACCCAATACAGGAGCACCCAGATTCATAAAGCAAGTCCTTAGAGACCTACAAAAACACTTAGACTCCCACACAATAATAATGGGAGAATTTTAACACCCCACTGTCAACATTAGACGGATCAACGAGAAAGAAAGTTAACAAGGATATCCAGGAACTGAACTGAACTCTGCACCAAGCGGACCTAATAGACATCTACAGAACTCTCTACCCCAAATCAACAGAATATACATTCTTCTCAGCACCACACCACACCTATTCCAAAATTGACCACATACTTGGAAGTAAAGCACTCCTCAGCAAATATAAAAGAACAGAAATTATAACAAACTGTCTCTCAGACCACAGTGCAATCAAACTAGAACTCAGGATTAAGAAACTCACTCAAAACTGCTCAACTACATGGAAACTGAACAACCTGCTCCTGAATGACTACTGGGTACATAACGAAATGAAGGCAGAAATAAAGATGTTCTTTGAAACCAATGAGAACAAAGACATAACATACCAGAATCTCTGGGACACATTCAAAGCAGTGTGTAGAGGGAAATTTATAGCACTAAATGCCCACAACAGAAAGCAGGAAAGATCTAAAATTGACACCCTAACATCACAATTAAAAGAACTAGAGAAGCAAGAGCAAACACATTCAAAAGCAGGCAGAAGGCAAGAAATAATTAAGATCAGAGCAGAACTGAAGGAAAAAGAGACATGAAAAAACCCTTCAAAAAATCAGTGAATCCAGGAGCTGGTTTTTTGAAAAGATCAACAAAATTGATAGACCGCTAGCAAGACTAATAAAGAAGAAAAGAGAGAAGAATCAAATAGGCGCAATAAAAAATGATAAAGGGGATATCACCACCGATCCCACAGAAATACAAACTACCATCAGATAATACTATAAACACCTCTACGCAAATAAACTAGAAAATCTAGAAGAAATGGATAAATTCCTCGACACATACACCCTCCCAAGACTAAACCAGGAAGAAGTTGAATCTCTGAATAGACCAATAACAGGATCTGAAATTGAGGCAATAATTAATAGCTTACCAACCAAAAAGGTCCAGGACCAGATGGATTCATAGCCGAATTCTACCAGAGGTACAAGGAGGAGCTGGTAGCATTCCTTCGGAAACTATTCCAATCAATGAAAAAGAGGGAATCCCCTCTAACTCATTTTGAGGCCAGCATCATCCTGATACCAAAGCCGGGCAGAGACACAACAAAAAAAGAGAATTTTAGACCAACATCCCTGATGAACATCGATGCAAAAATCCTCAATAAAATACTGGCAAACCGAATCCAGCAGCACATCAAAAAGCTTATCCACCATGATCAAGTGGGCTTCATCCCTGGGATGCAAGGCTGGTTCAACATACACAAATCAATAAACGTAATCCAGCATATAAACAGAACCAATGACAAAATCCACATGATTATCTCAATAGATGCAGAAAAGGCCTTTGACAAAATTCAATAACCCTTCATGCTAAAAACTCTCAATAAATTAGGTATTGATGGGACATATCTCAAAATAATAAGATCTATCTATGACAAACCCACAGCCAATATCATACTGAATGGGCAAAAACTGGAAGCATTCCCTTTGAAAACTGGCACAAGACAGGGATGCCCTCTCTCACCACTCCTATTCAACATAGTGTTGGAAGTTCTGGCTAGGGCAATCAGGCAGGAGAAGGAAATAAAGGGTATTCAATTAGGAAAAGAGGAAGTCAAATTGTCCCTGTTTGTAGATGACATGATTGTATATCTAGAAAAAAAAAAGAAAATACTGGCCAGTTGTGGTGGCTCACACCTGTAATCCCAGCACTTTGAGAGGCTGAGACAGGCAGATCACTTGAGGTCGGGAGTTTGAGACTAGCCTGGACAACATGGCAAAACCCTGTTTCTACAAAAAATACAAAAATTAGCCTGGTGTGGTGGCATGTGTCTGTAATCCCAGGCACTCGGGAGACTGAGGCAGGAGAATCACTTGAACCCAGGAAGCAGAGGTTGCAGTGAGCTGAGATTGCACCACTGCACTTTAGCCTGGGTGACAGAGTGAGATCCCTTCTCAAAATAAATAAATAAATACAAAAACTAACTGTCCAGTAATAAGGAAATACTGGTTAAATAAACTATTTTGCACCCATACAATGGAATGCTCTATAGCCATATAATAAATGACCTGGGGGCTTATATGTGATTATATGATACAAGACCCAGTAAATGCAAACCATGCATGTAGTGTATTTTCATTTGTAATATAATGGATATCAATATATATTATTGTATACGTACAAAAACTTTCTGGAAAGATTCATTATGTTACACCTGGGTAGTGGGACTTGAGTCTAGGTTTGGGGAGGAAAAACTTTACCTTTCTCTTCTTTCTCTCTTTCTTTCTTTCTCTTTCTTTCTTTTTTTCCTGCTTTCTTTCTTTCTCCCTCTCTTTCTTTTTCTCTTTCTTTCTTTCTTTCTTTCTTTCTTTCTTTCTTTCTTTCTTTCTTTCTTCTTTCTTTCTTTGTCTCTCTCTCTCTCTTCTTTCTTTCTTTCTTTTTCTTTCTTTCTTTCTCTTTCTTCTTTCTTTTTTTTGACAGGGTCTCACTCTGTCACCCAGGCTTAACCTCCTGGGCTCAGGTGATCCTCCCACCTCACCCTTTAGAGTAGCGGAGACTACAGGCACGTGCCACCACACCCAGCTGATTTCTTTTTTGTTGTTGTTTTTTTTTTGGCAGAGACAGGGTTTTGCCATGTTGCCCAGGCTGGTCTCAAACTCCTGGGCTCAAGTCATCTGCCCACCTTGGCCTCCCAAAATGCTGTGATTACAGGCGTGAGCCACCACACCTGACCTGGTTCTCATTTTTTCAATGTGCATGTGTTAGATTTATTATAACAACGTAAAAACAGGTTAAATTATACTCTAAACATGGTTCTAATTGTAGAGGACTAAGGTCCAACTGTGGAAGGTAGTTATAAATTGTATGGACTCATATTATCTTTGTCAGCAATAATAAAAGGAACTTTGCAGAGGCTGGAAGCTGGATTCAAAAGAGAATCTAAGAAATAGAGACTTAATGCCGGGCATGGTGGCTCACGCCTGTAATCCCAGCACTTTGGGAGGCTGAGGCGGGCGGATCACCTGAGGTTAGGAGTTCGAGACCAGCCTGGCCAACATGGTGAAACCCCGTCTCTACTAAAAATACAAAAATTAGCCAGGCATGGTGGCAGGCGCCTGTAATGCCAGCTACTCAGGAGGCTGAGACAGAAGAATTGCTTGAACCCAGGAGGTGGAGGTTGCAGTGAGCCGAGATCACGTCATTGCACTCCAGCCTAGGCGACAAGAGCGAAACTCCGTCTCAATAAATAAATAAATACATACATACATACATAAAAGAAATAGTAACTTGACTGAAGTCCATGAGGTCAGATAAGGTTATCTTCATCTCCCAACCAACGTAACATCCCCACTTTCCAAACAAAACATATAGATGATTAGCCCCAAGCATACAGTAGTCTGAGAGAGTAAGGTTTGCATTATGCATCTTCTTACTAAGGGGTGACCTAGGGAAGGTTATTTAGGTCATCTCCATCAGTTATTAAGCTCTGTGTAAGACAAACTCTAAATAACAGGGTTTTAAAAGTGGTAAATGTTTTTTTTCCTGTCTTGCAAAACAATCATTCCAAAGCTGGGAACCCCAGGGTTGGTATGATGGCTCTAGCTCCATGATCATCAGGGATATAAACTCCTCGTACCTTCCTGCTCCATGTCTTAGCAGATTGCTCCCATCTCAAGGTTGCCTCAGGATTCAAGGTGACAGCTGGAGCTCTAGCCATAATGCCAGAGTTCCAAATAGCAGGAAGGTATAAGGAAGAAAGGACAAAAAAGTCAAGTCTTGATTGATTTCGCTTTCTTTAAGCAACCTCCCAGAGGGCCCACACACTTTTACTTAGCTCTTATTAGCCAAATACTTGTCACATAATCTCACCTAGCCACAAGGGAGGCTGGGAAATGTAGTCTTTTAGCTGGTGACATTGTTACCCTGAATAAATCCAGCCTTCTGTTACTCATGAAGAAGGGGAGATTAGACATTATGCGACAATTTGAAGCGTTTTTCTACTCTTTAAGCTTAGTTTCATCTGCAACAATAATAGGCTTTCCAGGGGTGATGTCAGACTCAAATGAAATAATGAATGCAATGCTCTATTAATACTTGGTTCCTTCCTCTTCCCTTTTTAAAATTGACTTTCACAGTATTGTTTCGTCTGAGAAAGCAAACAATAATGAAGGCAATGTTGATTATATCATTTCTTCCAACTTGAGTCTTGAGTTTTCATTTATATCTGGCATAGTTGATTAATTCTAGCTTTAGGAAAGGTTTGCCCAAAGCCCAATTTGTGCAAATATTGCTTGACTTTTTTAAAAAGGCTGAAGGATTGCTTGGCCAAATTTTAAATATTAAGAAAGCTATGCAGCATAATAGTGTCTGATTTAGATGGCTTGTGTTGGGTATGTGGGGAATTGTATGTAAAATCTCAGAGGCAAGGCAGTATGAAAAGGTGGTTAATGGCATGAGCTATGGAGTCAGGATTCTGGGTTTAACTCTTACCTCACTGCAGACTAGCTCTGTGACTAGGTTACATTATAACTCAAAGGTGAAAATATTTTAAAGATGTAATTACAGTTCCTAATCAGTTGACTTTGAGTCCGTCAAAAGAGAGATAATCCTGGGAGGGCCTGAACTAATCAAGCGAATTCTTTAAAATAATTCTCTTGCTGGTTTTAAAGAAACTGAGAACGGTCCCTCCACACTCTTGGAACTGTACACCCATTGGAACCTTAAGGTAAACCTAACCAGGGAAGCTTCCCCCCAGAAGAAGATGACATTCTTGATGTGAACAGCTTTTCCCAAGTTCATGGAGCAAGACTTCTCTACTATCATGAGACTGTTATCTTTGAATATTTTTCCTTGTTTATGCCTCTATGAACAACAGAAATGAAAAGGGGGTCTCTTATGTGCACTTATGGGGTATACTTTTATTTGTGAAGGATTTTGTGGCCAGCCTTATACATTGATAAACTTATACTTTGATAGATAAAAGATGAAAGCCCAGTGTAGGTGAGAAACTTTAATGGTACATACGTTGCCTCATAATCAGTGAAATACAGAACACTGATTCACTCCTCTTAACCCACATCATGGGTTTAAAAAAAATGCCAGGAAGCCTTCACTCTTCTAGAAGGGCATCATTTGTTAGGTCCTTTTTCCATGGTTTGGAATAAAAGAGGCAATGATTAGAAATGTATCCCTCGTGATAGGCTCTATAGGAGATTCTACTGTAAAGGCTATGGTTACACAACAGACTTTAAATTCTTTTGTGAAAGTTATGCTAAATAATAGAATTGGCTAAACAGAGAAGTATCTGTGCAGCTGCTGGCACTTATGCCCTATGGAGAAAACATCAGGTATTATAGAGATTCAGTTGCAGGGGATTAATGAGATTGCTTAGTAAAGTGAATAGACTCTTTACCTAGCTCATTCTTTGGGAGCATACTCCAAACTCTATCCTCCTGATAGTAATAATAATAGTCTCCCTGGTGTGCCAAATTCTCTCCAAGTTTTTAAATGTTTACATACAGCCACCTCTAGAATGCCAAATGGCCTCTCTTCAACTGGAATGACAATGGCTGAAAGAAATGTATGATCATGAGGTCATCGTAACCCATGAATGTCATGCTGAGACCAGAAACCCAAAATGATGGTAACTGAGAGTGGCACTAAGGCCGTAAGTTTTGTCACATTCTCACCTAAGCTAGAACCTGACCAAAAAGGGGGAATTTTTTAAAAAACAGCATTATGGGAGGCCACTGTTTTGGACTGAGCTCATGCACTATACCCCAACGCACAAAACCCAATCAAAATGGAGCTGCTCATGCTAAATGTGACATAACCAAACTAATACTTTAAGGAAACACATAGATCCTGGAACAGACCAGGTTTTGTTTTTCTCCTCTAAACAGTATGTTCTAGCATGAGGGGGTGACTTCTACTCAGTCCTTGTTCCTACCTTTGCAAAACTCACTGTTCTACTGTTTCCCAGTGGGTTTCAAGACCAAATAAGTACAGTTACGATGGTAACAGTGACATCAGTGACTAAAGTTTTGGTCAGGCTGGGTGCGGTGGCTCACGCCTGTAATCCCAGCACTTTGGGAGGCCGAGGCGGGTGGATCACGAGGTCAGGAGTTCGAGACCAGCCTGGCCAACATGGTGAAACCCCGTCTCTACTAAAAATACAAAAATTAGCCGGGCGTGGTGGCTCATGCCTGTAATCCCAGCTACTCGGGAGGCTGAGACAGGAGAATCGCTTGAGCCCGGGAGGCTGAGGTTGCAGTGAGCCAAGATCGCACCATTGCACTACAGCCTGGGCAACAAGAGCCAGACTCTGTCTCAAAAATAAATAAATAAATAAATAAATAAAAATAAAAATAAAATAAAGTTTTGGTCAATCTTTCAAAATTGAGAAAATGACCAAAAAGAGGGAATTGTTAAAGCAAACTAAATGTGGCCTGAGAAGGACTCCATAATTCTATATTTGAGTCCTTGTGGACAAACTGCAACCTAACTTAATATGTAGACAAGACTGAAAACCTAACTTAGGAGTATGTGCCTGTAACAATAGCTGAGTCTCGGCCAATCCCAGCAGCCGTACTTCAACCATTCATACACTGCTGAGTGTTCAAACTGTGTTCAAATAAGGCAAACAACAACTTGTAACCAAACCAGTTGTTTCTGTACCTCACTTCCGATTTCTGTGCCTCACTTCCCTTTTTTGTCTATAAATCTTTTTCAAAAGAAAAAAAAAAGCAAATTGTAATGTTGCAGAGAGAGCTGTGTGTCAGGGAATGGTGGCCTTTAGGAGCTGAAAATGGTCCCTGGCTGACAGCTAGCAAGAAGACTGGGATCTGAGTCCTACAACTGCAAGGAGCTAAATTCTGCCAAGAACTGTGTGAAGTTACAAGACGACTCTGAGCCTTAGATGAGAACGTGGCTCAGCTGGAAGCTTTATTTCAACCTTGTGAGACCCTGAACATAGAACCCAGTTATATAGTGCTTGGACTCCTGACCCATGGAAACTGTGAGATAATAAATTTGTGTTGTTTTAAGCTGCCAAGTTTGTGATAATTTGTTACACAGCTATAAAAATACAAATTCAGGGAATGATTTATCTCAAATTCCTCTAGAATAAGGGTCAGCACACTATGGCCTGGCTCAGATACCAAATCCAGCCTACCACCTGATTTTGTAAATACAGTTTTGTTGGAACACAGTCCATGCCCATTTCTTTACATATTGTCTATGACTGCTTTCACATTGCAATGCTAGAGTTGTGCAGTTGCAATGCCTAAAACATTAATATCTGGCTCTTTCTAGAAAAAATCTGCTGATCCCTGATCTAAAAGAAGACCTTGAGATAAGTACTTGAGAGCAAGGATTTACTCTCAGTAAGTACTTGAGAGCAAGGATTTACTCTCAGTAAATACTTGAGTGGTGATTCCAGGACACACTAGGCAAGTGGGAAGATGAGACAGGTAAAGGAAGGAAGCCAAGGAAGGGTGCATTATTGAGCTGGCTATCATTGTGTGTGTCTGGGGCTTAGTTTTGCCAGAAAGCTCTGGGAAACAGTATAGAACATGCACCTCAGAGTTCTATAGCCACTAGGGCAAGGGAGTTGGGGTATTTATTTACCAACTTGGGTCAGTCATTGGTTGAGGAATGCTGCTTCCACGGCTTTGAAGAAGGCCTTCGGGCAAAAAGATGGTGACAGGCAGCTTTAATTGGCAAAATTAAAGCTGGTGGATAGTGGTGGGGCAGGGACAGGGTCTGCTACAGGAGGAAAAGGACCTGAGGACAAGTCTAACTTCTCTCCATTGCCTCACCTCTGTAACAACCTCTCACCAGAGAAAAAGGTGTGACACCTCTAATTAGTGAATTTGGTAGAAGGAAATGAACATGCTTGGCTCAGGATTTTTTGGGTTATTTCTCTTCCAAATTTGCCTGCCCACTTAAAGGGTCCATTCTGGTTTGCTCTCCACTATGAAAGAAGCTTATGGGGTAAGCACTGCCCCCAGAAACAGGGGAGCCCATAGTTAAGTTCAAGTCAATGGGACTGCATTAGGAAGTCCATTTGGAGCTGGATTTAAAGCCATGCTCCTTAATCATCTTATTAGTAACAAAGTTGATTATTTCCTTCTCCACTGGTTGGACTTCTCAATTGGTCCTGAACTTGGGCAGAAAAGAGGGCTGCAATTTGTTAGGCTCTTAAACTCCACAGATGATTATTATTTTTATGTACTGACTTCCTTACGTTCTTAATATAACCTAACAAATTACTGTGAAAAACTCAACCAGTGCCCAATTTGTGGGATGGATGTATTGTGGCTATATTTGCTCACTATAGTTTCCTTATACGAAACAAGACTGAGTACAGAGTATTGAATGTTGTATTGGAAACCTACTTTTCCAATTAGTACACACAACTCTTTTTCTGGAAAGATGACAGAAAAGTGCTGTGTACTGAAAAATGCTCATGAGGTATTAATACTCTTCTCTTCATAACTTGATCAACAATGGCCTTTTGTGACCTAGAGAGACACACTATATCCTAAAACAGAAATAACAGATATGCATGTCTACCATAAAAAGAGACTTGCACAGGGAGTGCCATTTACCCCCAGAGAAAGTGGAAGGAAGCCATATATGAGTGAACAGTAATGCCTTTTATGGTTTCTTTTTCGAAACTTGATTCTTATCAAGTTTCTTTTTTACTTCATGCATAATGACATTCATACATATGAGATTCTCTGCTATTTGTGTTGTTTCTATTTAGTAACTACTGCTATTTCTACTGTGCTAAAAAACAAACAAACAAACAACAACAACAACAAACTTGAAACATCTTATGAAATGGCCCTAACAGAAAGTAGAAAGAAAATTGACTAAGGAAATGGAAAAGTTGGACTAAGCATGTTATAAATGTGGTTCAGGTGGACAGAGGATGTGAGCTGGGAGTCAATGATGGGTGAGATTTGCCATGCCTGTCTTACATCTTGAATAGCCCAGATCCTCACTCTTGACCTGGGGCTTTCTCATAGTATGGCTGGTGGCCATGTGTATCAGAAAGGATTAGCCCCAGCTGTAGGTAACAAAGATTTCAAATCACAGTAGCTCAAGAAAATGAAGTTTACTTCTCTAATGTCAAAGTCAGGGTGGGGCAGTCCAGAGCTGGTGTGTGGCTGCTGTGTTTCATGAAGTCTTCAATGACCCACACTCTTCTCGTCTCAATGCTCTACCATCTCCAGGGTGTTACCTTCCATCTATGGTGGAGAATGAAGGTCAGCCACTATGTCAGAATTCTGGGCAGCAGGAGGAGAAAGGATGAAGAAGAAAACTGTGGAATGGGCATGCACCAGCTGTCTTTTAAAGGAGGTGCCTGGCAGCAGCCACAGGGCTCTTTTGCTCACACCTCATTGGTCAGAACATAGCCACATGGCCACACCTAGCAGCAACAGGGGCTGAGAAATGTAGTCTTTACATGTCCCTGGCTGAAAACCAAGGTTTCTACTACTATGGAAGAAGGGACTTAGATATTGGGGGATGACCACAATGGGCCAGAAATTGTTCACTGGGATGTACCTTCCATATGTTGTTCCCAAATGCTGGTTCTAAGGACTGTTGCCAACCAACAAGAAAGTATTCACTAGGCTCTATTGAAATGTAAACAAATTTGTGCAAAGTACAGATTTTTTAATAGTTTTATTTAAGGAACTGTCCTTCATTCTGCCTTTATCTTGCCTTTATGTCTTATGGACTTTTTAATGTTAAAATGTTATTTCTTTTTGAAATCAGGATGGGAATATGTGGTTGTCATTGGCTACCCTGTGTCCTTACTCCTAATCTACTTGTGTTCTAGGCATTCTACTGCACTCACTCCAGGGAGCCCCTTCCTCAGTCTTTGACAGGCACCCCACTTGAGTGCTCTCAAGTCCCTTTTCCCATGATGGTGTAATGGCCTGTTGACTTGGGTAGTGGGTTCAAATCTTGGCCTTCAAGCTCTAAGGTGCAGAAATAAAACCTTATTTTTCTGCATTTGATGTTAATTTCTATTTCAACCCATCATTCAGCAGAGTGAGGAAATGTAAATTTACTAGAATCATGACTCTTCCCTTTTCTGTGGCATTGGGTCTAAGTTTGGAGTTGGGGGTGGTGGAGGTAGGGATCTGGGCTTTGGGTCCTCTGTTCACTTCTGCATCACCTGAGGTGTCCTCTTCTTGCTTGGCTCTTTGTCACCCTTCCCCATGACTTCTGTTCCTCATCCCATTGTCAAGGGCCTATCTGGCCAGGCTTTCTCTCAGCTCTCCAGTTTCCACTGGGGGACATGGGAATAAACAGATGTGTTCTCACTGCGCTGGGTCACAGGAACTTCTGTGGAGCTCCCTAAGACACTGTCCTCTTCTGCCAACCTCTAATGTATGGGGAACACCCTGGCACACTCATGCATGGCTATGTGAGACCCCTCTTCCAGAGACCATAGGCCCATGTTGTAGAAGGCTTTTGCTTGCAAGTCAAATGGCTTAAAAGTATGGATTGAATCATTTTATATAGCAAGAAGGTTGGAAGTAGACAGGCTAATTCAGGTAGTCAGCTCTATTAAGCTTTCTCAGCCAATCTCTTGGCTTCCCCCTTAGTTATAACATACTTGCTGTGATGCCAAGCACCGTGTTCTCTCCTGACCATCCAAAGCAGCAAGAAATGGTATTTCACTTTCTTTCAAGAAGGAAAAATCTTTACAATACCCTTTCCCTTCACAAGTCATTGGGCAGGACTGGGTCACTGGATTACAATGGCTGGTTTAGAGCAATCATGATTCATTCCCTGGGGCTCAGTACATTGTCACCCACTGTCTGAATACTATTAGGGTTAAGGACAGCCAATAGTGTCTGCCACAGATTCTTTCTGTCCTCTCCTTACCCTAGAATCTTCTGGGGGTGGGATGCGGGCGTAGCAATTCTAGGACCAAAAGCATACTTGCGCACGTACAACTGCCCCTCTGACAACCTCCCTCCCACAGGGAGTCATCTGGTGGGGAGGAGTGGCTGGAAGAAGGTGGCAAAGTATTGTTTTATATTCTTCAATATTGATGGTATTTCCACATATGAGTTCTATCTGTCTCTCCTGAGCATGAGGCTTTCGGAACTCAAAAGCCCAGAGGTGAATCGTATTTTCACCGTTTCCAGATCTCATCCCTTCTCTCAGTTAATAAACAACTGAGCAGGGGCAGGGTTACAGGGCAGAATATTTTCTCATCACACTCATCTGTACCACCAGGTAGACTGCAGCTCCTTGAGGGCAGAAGCTTGCCCTTGTATCCCCAACACCTGACACTTAGCAAGTGGTCAAACTTGTCACAAACTAAAAAGATAAAGAACCTCTCCTAGGAGCAGGAAAGGGAGCTATTAAATAAGTCAACAGATTGAACACTAACCTTTGCAACAAGTCCAGAGAGATGATGTTTCAGGTCCCCCAAAGTTTCTGATTTTTCTGATCAGGACAATGAGGCACACTAGATCAAGCCAAGATGACTAGAGTATCATTCCATGTCAATACAGGATTAAGAAGTCACGCCTGTTTCACGGAAAGGGAATGGAAAGAAAGGGTCAAAGTTGGAAAATGTTCAAGATGGAAGGGATTTTCTGCAGTGAGTGCTACGGTGCCCAACAGAAAAATGGTAGAACTGGGTTATAGAACTTGAATTAATGCAAATTGTTATACTTTGGAAAAATGGTAGAACTGGGTTATAGAACTTGAATTAATGCAAATTGTTATAGTTTGAGTAAGAGCAGGTTGAGAGTTAAAGCTTACCTATGAGGAGCAAAACTCTTCTCTTTTTAATTAATTTTTTGAGAGAGGGTCTTTCTCTGTTGCCCAGGCTGGAATGCAATGGCACAATCAGGGCTCACTGCAGCCTCAAACTTCTGGGTTAAATGGATGCTCCCGCCTCAGCCTCCTGAGTAGCTGGGACTACAGGTGCATGCCACCAACCCTGGCTAATTTTTAAATTTAAATTTTTTTTTTTTTGGTAGAGATGAAGTCTTGCCATGTTGCCCAGGTTGGTCTAAAATTCCTGGCCTCAAGCTATCCTCCTGCCTCAGTCTTCCAAAGTGTTGACATTACAGGCGTGAGCCACTGTGCCCAGCAAAGACCATGTTTTTGACTTGTAGTATTATTAGTGTTTTTAAAAAAATTGTTGTTCTTGGTATTTCCTTTATCCTTTGGCCTTCCTGCCAACTCACAAACTCAAGCCCTGTCATTCTGTCTGCACTCATTGCTAAAAGAAGTATTGAGATGCAGAACACAGAGCAATGAAGAAACTCTTCCTGCCTTCTAAATTTCAAATCCTGGCCCTTAGGCCAGATTTGTACAGCGTTGTTAGGTGGGCCCTGTTTGGTGGCACTGCTCAGATCCAGTGTGCACTGACATGGGATTGCTTCCTCTGGGAAGAGAGGCGCCTTGGTCTTATTTGCACAAAGATGCCATAGGGGTTTGAAACAGCCTGCGCCTTAGCTGAGAACAGAAAGGGTTAAGGTTTAGGTAATAGATTTAGAGGAGTACTTGAGTGAGAGTCAGGCTTCACACATAGATCCCACACACAGATTTCAGAGACACTCATAGAAGTATATTATATCCTTTTCCCCTTTGAAAACATCTTCTTGCTTCTTGACACATGTGGTACAAGTCTACACTCATTTGCTCCAATGCACTGCAAACCAGTACTGTCCAATAGAGCCATGTGCGATCATGAAAATGGACTATTATGTGCTGTCCATGTGGCTGTTGGGCACCTGAAATGTGGCTATGTGACCAGGGAATTGCATTTTAAATTTTATTCATTTTAATTAAGTTAAATTTAAATGCCACATGTGGCTAGTTGTTACTGTATTGGACAGTGCAGACATTGAACATTTCCATCATTGAAGAAATTTCTATTGGACAGCATTATTCCTCCAGAAACCAGTCCTGAGATAGGACTTGAAATTCATTTGGAAGAGTAAGGGTGTGGGAAAGGGAGACAGAAAACAAAGGCAGCCAGAAAAGGCTGTGTTGTTGAGCGCATCTGCTCTGGGGGCAACTGCAGCTGAGTCATGCTGGGGAACTCTGGGAACAGATGTACAGCATGTACCTCAGAATCATCCCACCCAAGAGGTGAAGGAGTTGGTATATTTCTCTACGAATTCCTGCCAATCACTGATTGATGGCTGCCCCAGGGTGTGTGGCTTCTCAGCACTTTTACCTTCAGGCAGAGTCACAGAAGAGAATGGTTGGAGTTGGCAGGGCTTGAGTGCATGGGTCACCCACAGTGCCTGCCTCCTTCACTCCTGACCCCCAGGCTGCTCTCCAGGCATGGCCATAATGTATCATGTGCATCCTTGGAGACACTTTTGCATACATAAGTATAAATGCATATATGTAAAGAGATGTATTTTTTCCATTTATCCAAATGGGCTAATTCCATGTATACTCTTCTGCACTTTGCTTTTTTGTTTTTGTTGAGACAGGGTCTCTGGAGTCCAGAGCTGGAGTGCAGTGGCGTCATCATGGCTCACTGTAGCCTCAACCTCCTGGCCTTAAGCCATCCTCCTGCCTCAGCTTCCTAAGTAGCTAGGTCTACAGGCATGTGCCACCATGGCTAGCTAATTTATTATCTTTTGTAGAGACGTGGTCTCACTATGTTGCCCAGGCTGGTCTCAAACTCCTGGGCTCAAGTAATCCTTCCACCTTGGCCCACCAAAGTGCTGAGATTACAGGTGTGAGCCACTGCGCCTGGCCTGCACTTTGCTTTTTGCACTTAAAAATATACCTTGGAGATTCTCTGTTGGAGTCATTTCTTTAACTCCTTTTCTTGGCTGTACTTATTACAAACAAGTTCAGACTGAAAGAGAAAAGAGCTGCAATGGCTTGGCTGAAAGAATGCAAAGAGCCTTGTGTTTAGCTTATGGATTTAAAAGGCAAGCTGTTTGTTGAGATTGCAGAGTTTGGTTTAAGGCATTTTGGGATGGAGTGATTTTCCTGTTAAAAACAAATGAGAATTTGCTTGGTGATAAACTCAAGCAGTGTGTGGGCTGATTAGACAATAGAGCATACAATCAATGCATTAACCTCCTAGGATGACTGCAGCAGCAGATGGCAGCTGTCTCTGAGGGGGGACATCCTTAGCTTGTCCTGAACAGAGGCATCAGAAGTCCTGAGTTGGGGCCCCAGCTCTGCCATTGACTTGTGTCATTTTTGAAGCCTCGTGGACTTTCAGGGCCTCTGTCTTCTTGTCTATTAGGTGAGTATGCTAATGCCTGTTCTACCTCCTCTCAATGGGTTTGATGCGTGGACAGGCCAGTGTTACAAATCCAAATGTCTTCAGGGCTATTCAGGCAAGTAAATGAGTCAATTGAGGCTGTCCTAAGTAATAGGGAGTAGTGGGGACTATAGCTAAGAGGAGAATAAATGACATACACGCACACACACACTTTTCCCATCTCCCGTTTAAACATTTAAGCAAATACTATCCTAACCAGATAAACCACATCTGTGGACTACTTGCAGCCTTTCAGCAAGAGGTGACATCCTATAAATTTGAGTTATAACCTCCAAGGAAAGGAGGTGGCTCTGTTGTGACTGTTTACTGAGCCTAATCCCTATTGACTCTTTCAAAAACCATGTTCTTCCATTTCAATTGTCTCTTCCTGCGGCAATGAAGAGAAGCTTGAAGTTGGCTGTGAAAATGACTCCAAAATGTCAGTGGCTTGAAACAGCAAAGATTTATTTCTTGCCCACAGTACTCGTCTACTGGCCATGAAGCTGAGGCTGAACTCAACATCCTCATTCATGAAGCCTGATGGGAACTCAGACTTTATTCTCTGGCAGTTTTTAATCTCTACCAATAAACAAGTGAAAGATATACATGTATACAACGTAAATGTCAAATAATCCTTCACAAACTTAAGACTTAAAAAAGTAGTAGTCCTGTGCCTCACCTCTCCACACCTTATTCTGACTCTCAGAGGCCACCATTTTCAGGTGGTGACAAATGCTGTGGGAGAAATAAAGGCATCAGAGGGGTTAAGGAGTGCCCTGCTGTGGAGGCATTGCAGTTTTAAGTAGAATATTGAGAAAGTGACATTTAAGAAAAGGATGCAGGGAGTGATTTACATGGATACCCAGCAGGCAAGCTGTATAGGTAGAGAAATGTCAAAATCCAGGGGTGGGAGTGTTCTGGGCTGTTCTGGATCAGTGCTCCTCACATAGAGGGGTAGAGGAATCCCCTGAGGGTCTTGATGAAATGCAGACTCTCATTCAGTGGGGCCGGAGAGGGACCTGAGACTCTGCATTTCTATTGAGCTCCCAATTGATGCTGATGTTACTGGTCTAGGGGCCACATTTTGAGAAGCAAGGTCCTAGAAAAAGTTAGGAAGTCAATGGGGCTGGAGCAGAATGAGAGAAATGGGTGAGTAGAAGGAACCGATGACAGAAAGATAATAGGGGTCCAGATCGTGCCATGCTTGTAGGCCACTGTAAGGGCTTGAGCTCATATTGCAAGTGACACAGGAGCAGAAAAGTGACGATCTGGCTTATGTTTTAGAATAGATTGTAGGAGGGCAAAGGCAGTTAGGAAGCTATGGAACTAATCCAGGTGAGAGATGGTGATGCTTTGGACTAGGAGGAGGTGGTGGGATGGGAGAAGTGGGGAGATCCAGCAGGCTTTCTGATAGGTTGGTTGGAGGCATGAAAAAGGAGTTGCTTGAGCACCTTGAAGGGTGGAGTTGCCATTTCTGCACCATCTCTTACATCTATCTTCTCTCTCCAGTTCCACTGCCACTTCTCCAGGTTAGGCCCCATCAATTCGCATTACTGTCATCGCCTTTGAACAGATACTATAAACATATTTGTCTTGAGAAATGGCTTTGTTCATTCCTAACCTTTGTAAAGACCTTGTGGTTGCTCACAGCATCCATGGTTTAGCAGGGAGGACCCTTCATGAACTGGCTCTTCTCCATGCTTCTATGTCATCACTCTGCTTCATGAACTAATTGTTCTAGCCCAGGGCTTCATGACTGTCTCCCCATCATGATGCACAGGATATAGGGGGTGTTGAGCTGTGAGATATTTGCAAACACTGGCACAGTCACCTTAAGGCCACCACATTGTCTCCCAGTCAAATGCTTTAATCTGCTTTTGTTGTGTATACTTTTTTTTTTTTTTTTTTTTAAAGAGACAGGATCTCATTCTGTTGGAGTGAAGTGGTATGACCTCCTGGGCTCAAGTGATCCTTCCACATCAGCCTCTTGAGCAGCTGGGACTACAGGCATGCACCACCATGCCTGGCTAATTAAACAAAAAAAATTTTTTTTATAGAGATGAGGTCTCATCATGTTGCCCAGGCTGGTCTGGAACTCCTGGCCTCTAGCAATCCTCCCACTTCAAGCCTCTCAAACTACTAGGATTACAGGTGTGAGCCACCATGCCTGGCCTGGATGTATATAGTTTAAGAAAGCAAACCATTTGTAAACTTTCCTTCACTGTTCTTTTATCATTATATCAAATTATTTACATCTGTGCTACTCAATGTGCAGTCTATAGACCAGAGCATCACCTGGGAGCTTGACAGAAATACATGTTCTTGGACCCCACCCCAGACCTACTGAATGAGAATCTCTGACAGCAGGGCCCAGGAATCTGTGTTTTAATGAGCTCCCCAGGATATTCTAACACATACTAAAGTTTGAGAAGTAGTACCTGTCATACCTCAAATTAAACATCAGTAGGTCCCCACACCATAGTTGAGAACAGCCAACTTAGCCTAGTGGGTGCAACTCTGGCTGTACAGGAATCACCAGGGAAGCTTTAAAAAACAAAACCAAAACCAGCAATGGCTGGGCCCCGATGACCAGCGATTCTGCTTTAATTGGTCTAGGGTGGGATCCAAGTGACTCTAACATGCAGCCAGGTCTGAGAACCTCGCAAGCTGGCAGACGGATCTCCATTCTGTTTCCAACACACAGCCGTATTTTCTGCCTTGCACTGTTCTCTCTTCCTGGAGTGCTTGTTTGTGCCATCTCCATGTTGCCAACTCTATTCATTCCGGGAAGCTGAGCCCAGACTCAACTCCCACACACATTGGCCCCCGAGCTTCTCCTCCCCTCAGTTCCTGCTGCATCTGAGCTGCACTGTCCTCACTAACCAAAGTCTCTACTACCTTTGTCACATTTGTTACTCAGTTTTGTTACTTTAAAAATTTTTTACTACATAATGTTTGGTGTAATATCCATTTCTGATCTCTTTTATATCTTTGCAGTGACCCAGAAAATGGTGGATGGATGCTTAAAATATGTTTGTGGTGAAAGAACAGTTCCAGTAGCATTGGAGAGAATTCACATTTTATTGAAACCTCATGGGTGGCTGCTATGGCACTTGTGGCCAAATGTGACCCTTACATTGTACTCTTGTTAAAATGAGGCCTCATTCCATGAAAAACTGTTCCTCAAACTGTCCCATGGAGTATTTGTGGTCAGCATATATGAATACCATTCTATAGAACAACTGTTCTTTGACCAGAAAATAAAAATTAAGAAATACTACAAACCACACGATTTCTGCATGTATTAGTCAGGGTTCTCTAGAGGGACAGGACTAATAGGATAGGTGTCTATATGAAAGGGAGTTTATTACGAAGAATTGACTCACACAATCACAAGGTGAAGTCCCACAACAGGCTGTCTGCAAGCTGAGGAACAAGGAAGCCAGTGGTGGATCAGTCAGAGTCCCAAAACATCAAAAGTAGGGAAGGCGACAGTGCACTTAAGTGCCCACTGGACCATGCTGGTTCTGTCACCTGCAATTATAGGAAAACCTCCTCTTCTCCTTTTCTCTTCTTGAATTTGTTAGCTCACTCAATGGCGACATTACCCCCAATCTCCCAAGCCAGGGGCTCAACTCCCTATCAGGATGGTAAAGTATAGCACAGAGGCAAGGGCTCAGAAAGACTTGAAACCTGGGTTCAATCTTCACCCCTCAATGACGCTTTCTAGCTTGCTGGCTTTGGACAAGTTACTTAATCTAAGTTCATTTCTGTATCTGGGAAATGAGAAATTGACTCCCAGTGTTGTGCTGGGATGAAATAAGGTAGCATATGTAAAGTGTTCAGTGCACAGCAAGCTCGTATTATTACACTCATCACTAACCAATCACACATTTCCCATCTCTATTGGTTTCCTGTTACTGCTGTGACAAATTACCATAAACTCAGTGACTTAAAGCACACAGATATGTCCTTTTATAGTTCTGGAGGGCAGAAATCTGAAAGGGGTCTTACTGGGCTAAAATCAAGGTGTTGGCAGGGCTGCATGTCTTCTGGAAGTTCTAGGGGAGAATCCGTTTTCTTGATTTTTCTGGTTTCTAGAGACTGCCAGCATTCCTTGATATATAGCCCCTTCCTTTCATTACTCCAACCTCTGCTTCTCACATTCCTTCTTTGACTCTGACCCACCTCCCTCCCTCTTATAAGGACCCTTGTGATGACATTGGGCCCACTTGGAGGATACAGGATGCTCTCTCCATGGCAAGCTCCTTAACTTGGTCACATTTGCAAAATCTTTTGCGATGCAAAGGAATGTATTCACAGGTTCCACATTGTGGAACGCTGGACACACTGGGGGGCCTATCACACCATCTCAAGGACCCACGTAGGTCAACATCCATGCCTACCCTGTCATTTTCTAACTTCCCACTCTGTTTGAAGCTAATGTGAAGCTCAGTCAAATCTAGCTGGCAATGAGGAAGAGCAGTCTGAAGATCAGCATATCTGGTAAATCTGCAATGCTTGTCTTGTATGTCCATTATATAAAATGGGGACATTACGACATTTGGAATATTTAAAATGGAAAAGAGAAATCATAGAACCTACTATTTTTAAGGATTTGAAGGCCTACCACATGGATGCGATCTTGTGCTTCTGTGTCCACAAGATGGTCCTCTATTAAGTATAATATTGAATTGACTAGCCATTAAATCTCCTTCCAACTCTGTGATTCTCAAAGTCATAAGACAAGGGCTAATTGTATATCTGTATTAGTTCGTTTTCATAATGCTGATAGAGACATACCCAAGACTGAGCAATTTACAAAAGAAAGAGATTTAATGGACCTACAGTTCCACGTGGCTGGAGAGGCCTTGCAATCATGGCAGAAGGTGAAAGGCCTGTCTCACATGGCAGCAGATTTGTGAGACTTATTCACTATCATGAGAACAGCATGGGAGAGACCTGACCCCATGATTAAATGACCTCTCACTGGGTCCCTCCCGCAACACATGGGAATTCAAGATGAGAGTTGGGTGAGGGTACAGCCAAACCATATCAATATCCATAGTTACATAGGAGCTTGGCAAAGAAATAGAATCTTAATCCTATACTCTAAGCAGTAAAATTCTATAAGCTATCATGTGAAAAGGAACACAAAAGGGGTGCAGTAGATTACTTGCAAAAAAGGCTGCAATAATTTCTCCCATCCCTGTATGCACATCCTCTTGCAATGTGACTCAAAGCTCTTCCCATCAAGAGGTGGAGCCTATTTTTTCACCCCTCGAATCTGGGCTTGGCCATGTGATCTGCTTTGGGCAATGGGACATCAGAAAATATGAAGAAAGCAGAGGCTTATAAAACGCTTGCATGCTGTGGCTTGTCTTTTTTTTTTTTTTTTTTTTTTGAGACAGAGTCTCTCTCTGTTGCCAGGCTGGAGTGTAGTGGCGATATCTCGGCTCAGCTCACTGCAACCTCCACCTCCCGGGTTCAAGCGATTCTTCTGCCTCAGCCTCTGGAGTAGCTAGGACTACAGGTGTGCGTCACCACGCCCAGCTAATTTTTGCATTTTTAGTAGAGATGGGGTTTCACTGTGTTGGCCAGGATGGTCTCAATCTCCTGAACTCGTGATCTGCCCACCTTGGCCTCCCAAAGTGCTGGGATTACAGACATGAGCCACCGTGCCCGGCTGGCTTGTCCTCTTTTGTTGCTTTTGGGACCCTTGTTATAACTACCATGGGAACAAACTCAGGCTAGCTTGCTGGAGACATGTGGCCCAGTTGCTCCTATTACTTTAGCAGATAACCATAAGACAGCCAGCTCCAAACCCCAGATATGTGATTGAGGCCATCCTAGACTAACCAGCCCCTGGCTGACCCATCAGCTGACTGCATCTATAAGAGTGAGCCCAGGGGAGACTGGCAGAAGACCCACCTAGCTGAGCCCAGCCTAAGTTGCCAACCCACATAAAAAATGGTTAAGTCACTAAGTTTGGGGACGAGTTGTTATGTAACAAAAGCTAACTTACACAAGGGGCAATTTTTCTGATCAAAAGAATCATAGAGGCCGGGTGCAGCGGCTCATGCCTGTAATCCCAGCACTTTGGGAGGCTGAGGCGGGCGGATCACCTGAGGTCGGGAGTTCGAGACCAGCCTGGCCAACATGGCAAAACGCCGTCTCTACTAAAAATACAAAAATTATTAGCCAGGTGTGGTGATGCATGCATGCAATCCAAGCTACTCGGGAGGCTTGAGGCATGAGAATTGCTTGAACCTAGGAGGCAGGGGTTGCAGTGAGCCGAGATCATGCCACTGCACTCCAGCCTGGGCGACAGAACAAGACTCTGTCTCAAAAAAAAAAAAAAAAAAAAAATCATAGAAGTGATGTATCTTAAAAATCCCGGAGGCAAGAATAAATTAATAGTCACGACGTATTTTTAAAATTAGGAGAAAATTTAACCTCTATGAAGGAAAATCCACACTTCAGCTAATGTGACCCTAGGTATGTTACTTATTCTTACCATTTTTGCTTTTTTTTTTTTTTTTGAGATAGAGTCTTGCACTGTCATTCTGACTGGAGTGCAGTGGGGCAATCACGGCTCTCTGCAGCTTGACTTCTCAAGCTCGGGTGATTCTCCCACCTCAGTCCCCCACATAGCTAGGACTATAAGTACATGCAACCACACCTGGCTAATTTTTAAATTTTTTTTATAGAGAGGGGGTGATATGGTTTGGCTTTGTGTCCCCACCCGAATTTCATCTCAAATTGCAATCCCCACGTCAAGGGAGGGACCTGGTGGGAGGTGACTGGCTCATGGGGGCAGTTTCCTCCTTGCTGGTCTTGTGATAGTGAATTGAGTTCTCACGAGATCTGATGGTTTAAAAGTATCACTTCACCCTTCGTGCTCTCTCTCTCCTGCTCCACCATGGTAAAGACATGCTTGCTTCCCCTTTGCCTTCCGCCATGATTGTAAATTTCCCGAGGCCTCCCCAGCCATGCGAAACTGTGAGTCAATTAAACATATTTTTTTTAAAAAAATAAGTTACCCAGTCTCAGGTATGTCCTTATAGCAGTGTGAAAACAGACTAATACAGGGGACCTCACTATGTTGCCCAGGCTGGTCTCAAACTCCTGGGCGCAAGAGATCCACTTGCCTCGACCTCCCAAAGTGTTAGGATTACAGGCATGAGCCACTGCACTTGGCTTCTTATACTTACTTTGAACCAACTTGTTCATCAGAAAATTGGGGCTTATGCTTTATAAGGTGGTTAGGAGAATACAAGGCAGGTAATGTGTGTAAGTTGTCTAGCACTATAACACATATTACATACCTTGTAAAGGCTGAATCCTTCACTTTCCCTTCTGACTTGTCATTCTGGTGTCACTGTCAGATTCTATAGCACTCAAAAGAAGAAAAAAGGCTTTGTAAAGTCTTTTTTTAGACAGATAAAAATATATCTCCTCCCTTTGAAAAGTGGAACAAGTATAACTGATATAAACACAACTTGCAAAAATCGATATTAAATTTTTGTTTTTTTTTAAAGCCTTCTTATTTTGGAATTATTTTCAAATAGAAAAGTTATACAGACAGTGCAGAGTTCCTATACACCCTTACTCAGTTACCCTCATTGTTAACATTATACATAACTATGGTACATGTGTCAAAACCAAGAAATTTACATTGGCATATTCCTGTTAAATAAAGCTACGGGCTGTATGTAGATTTTTTTTTTTTTTTTTTTGGTGAGACAGAGATTTACTTTTGTTGCCCAGGCTGGAGTGCAATGGTGTGATCTCGGCTAACTGCATCC
The DNA here is from genome assembly GCF_000001405.40 of Homo sapiens. Taxonomy (NCBI): domain Eukaryota; kingdom Metazoa; phylum Chordata; class Mammalia; order Primates; family Hominidae; genus Homo; species Homo sapiens. The sequence goes on from NC_000023.11 coordinate 13,999,360, forward strand.
TCTGCCTCCCAGATTCAAGTGATTCTCCTGCCTCAGCCTCCTGAGTAGCTGGGATTACAGGCATGTGTCACCACGCCCGGCTAATTTTGTATTTTTAGTAGAGATGGGGTTTCACCGTGTTGCCCAGGCTGATCTTGAACTCTTGACCTCAGGTAATCCGCCCGCCTCAGCCTCCCAAAGTGCTGGGATTACAGGCGTGAGCCACTGCGCCCGGCCGGCTGTATCTAGATTTTACCAGATTTTCCACTAATATCCTTTTTCTGCTCCAAGATCCCACATTGCATTTAGTTGTCATGTCCCCTTAGTCTCCTCTGTGACAGTTTCTCAGTCTTTCTTTGCCTTTTGTGACCTTGAGGATTTTGACTCATACTGGTCAGGTATTTTGTCAAATGCCCCTCAATTTGGGCTTATCTGATATTTTTCTCATGTTTAAATTGGGGTTATGGGTTTTGAGAATCCCACAGAGGTAAAGCTCCCTTCTCATCATATCATATCAGGTTGTCCACAACATCAGCAGAACTTACGACTGGTGATGTTGACCTTGATCACATGGATAATATGGTATCTGCCAGGTTCTTCCAAAAGCTGTTATTTTCCCCTTTCTGTACTTTGTTGTTTGGAAGTGAGTCACTAGTCTAGCCCACACTCAAATGGGGGAGAGAGAGTGAGGCATGGTGGCTCACACGTGTAATCCCAGCACTTTGAGAGGCTGAGGCAGGAGGATTGCTTGAGCCCAGGAGTTTGAGATCCACCTGGGCAATATAGTGAGGCCCCATCTCTTAAAAAAAAATTAGCTGGGCATGGTGGCTCATGCCTACAGTCCCAGCTACTTGGAAGTGTTGAGGTGGGAGAATTGGTTGAGCCCAGGAGGTTGAGACTCCAGTGAGCCAAGATCACACCACTGTACTCCAGCCTGGGCAACAGAGCAAGACCCTGTCTCTAAAAAAGAAATTTAGGCCGGGCGCAGTGGCTCACGCTTGTAATCCCAGCACTTTGGGAGGCTGAGGCGAGTGGATCACAAGGTTAGGAGATCGAGACCATCCTGGCTAACACAGTGAAACCCCGTCTCTACTAAAAACACAAAAAAATTAGCCAGGCGTGGTGGCGGGCGCCTGTACTCCCAGCTTCTTGGGAGGCTGAGGCAGGAGAATGGCGTGAACCCGGGAGGCGGACCTTGCAGTGAGCCCAGATCGTGCCACTGCACTCCAGCCTGGGTGACAGAGCAAGACTCCATCTTGAAAAAAAAAAAATTTAAAAAAGATGGAGATGGAGGGGTGAGTCCCACATCTTGGAGGGGCTAGTATCTATAGCTATTATTTGGAATTATTCTGTAAGGAAGATTTGTCTCTTCTCTCCATATATTTATTTATTAGTCAATCATTTATCAGTATAGACTCAAGTATTTTTATGTTATACTTTGGGTTACAATCTAACACCATATTATTTATTTTGTTGCTCAGGCTGTCCAGTTTGGCCACTGGGAGCTCTTCTGGGAGTGGCTTCTGTGCCCCTTTGACATGCCGCCGTCCTTTTATTTTGTTTTGAGTATATTAGCTTTGATGTAAAACTTGGTTTTCTTCCCCATCTATCCACTGAAATTGCTTTAAGGTCCTTCAGATGACAATGGTTTCTAGATTGTCTACTTTTCTGTCTTCAGCTTATCAGACCTCTCCGTAACATTTAGTACTGTAAAGCTCTTTCCTTCAAATTCTATTTCATTTGAAAAATTTACTACGAAATTTTCAAACAAAAACAAAACTAGAGAGAATAGCATACTGCATCTCCACGTGTCCATCACTCGGCTTCAGTAATTCTCAACATTTTGCTGATCTGATTTCAACTGTTGCCTCTCCCATGCCCTGTCACTGGAGCACTTTAAAGAAAACCCCAGGTATCATATCAGCTCAACTTGAAATAGTTCAGTGTCTTTAACAGATAAAAACTAAACGAACAAAGAAACAAAAAACCCATAACCATAAAACAATTATTATACCTAACAAAGTTAATAAGTCTTTAATATCGTCTAACACTCGGTCCATACTCAAATTTCTTCAATGATCTAAAAGTGTTTTAATAATCAATTTGTCCAAGTTAGGACACATACAAGTTCCACACCATATCCCATAACACCTCCTCGCCCTCGCCATCACTCTTTCTCCAACATGCGCTTTTTTTCCCCTGAGACAGAGTCTCACTCTGTCGCCAGGCTAGAGTGCAGTGGCGCAATCTGGGCTCACTGCAACCTCCACCTCCTGGGTTCAAGTGATCCTCTCACCTCAGCCTCCCAAGTAGCTGGGACTACAGGTGTGCACCACCACACCCCGCTAATTTTTGTATTTTTTGTGGTTTCACCACGTTGGCCAGGATAGTCTCCATCTCTTGACCTTGTGATCTGCTCGCCTCGGCCTCCCAGAGTGTTGGGATTACAGGTGTGAGCCACCATGCCCGGCCCCAACATGTGCTTCTTAAAAGTCCATTTGTGGCCTGGCTTGGTGGCTCACGCCTGTAATCCCAGCACTTTGGGAGGCCGAGGTGGGCGGATCACCTGAGGTCAGGAGTTAGAGACCAGCCTGGCCAACATGGTGAAACCCCGTCTGTACTAAACATACAAAAAAGCCGGGCGTGGTGGTAGGCACCTCTAATCCCAGCTACTCTGGAGGTTGAGGTGGGAGAAACCTTTGAACCCAGGAGGCGAAGGTTGCAGTGAGTGAGCCAAGATCACACCACTGCACTCCAGCAAAAAAAAAAAAAAAAAAAAAAAAAAGTTTGTTAAAGAAACTGGGTCTTCCATCCTATGAAATTTCTCACATTCTGGATTTGGCTGATGACATCTTCAGTGTCTTTTAATATACTGGTCTTCTCCCTGAACTTCCTGTGACTGGTAATTAGACATAGAGTCTTGATTAGATTTCGGTTGCAAATATAGATGATAGATATACAGATAAGATGGGTAGAGATAGATAGATAGGTGATAGATAGATAGATAGATAGATAGATAGATAGATAGATAGATAAATAGAGTTCTTCAGGGCCCCACTGTCACAGGTCAATTCCTCTTAGTTTACATACTGTCCCTTTTTCCACATTCCTAAGGCCGAGGGCTGAAACATCTATATTTTTATTTTATTTAGTTATTTATTTATTTGAGATGGAGTTTCGCTCTTGTCGCCCAGGCTGGAGTGCAATGGTGCAATCTCGGCTCACTGCAACCTCCGCTCACTGCAAACTCCGCCTCTCTGGTACAAGCCATTCTCCTGCCTCAGCTTCGGGAGTAGCTGGGATTACAGGTGTGCACCACCATGCCCAGCTAATTTTTGTATTATTAGTACAGACAGTTTTACCATGTTGGCCAGGCTGGTCTCGAACTCCTGACCTCAGGTGATCCACTCACCTCGACCTCCCAAAGCGCTGGGATTACAGGCATGAGCCACCACGCCCGGCCAACATCTGTATTTTTAATGCAGGTCCTCTCTATTGAGTTCCAAACCCAAATAGCCAGTGAGTGGTAGGATGTCACTGGATGTTTTTTGAACTCCTCAAATTCACTGTGTCCCAAATGGAATTGATTGTCCCTCTCAAACCTGTTTCTCATTGTTCGCTTTACCTCAGTGACTACAACTTCCATCCAAGACACACACCTGAGCCATCCTAGGCTGGTTCATCACCTGGCCCAAGTCACCAAGCCATGGGATGTCTATTTCTTCGGTGTCTCTGGAATGTGTCCCCTCTTCTCACTGCCTTAGCCTCAGTTATAAAATTCAGTTAAAGAATGCAAATGCATTATCCAGAGTCACACGTTCTCAAGCCCAGCAGGGACTAGACCGTAACCTCATGCTCAGCTCCAGATTCAGCTCAGCTCCTGTGCTTTGAAGACATGTACCTTCCACTTCCTGTGAATGTGGTTGTTAGAACCAGATTTCAGCATGCTGGAGCAGCTAACGGCAGGGAAGTTAGGAGTCAGAATATCTGTGTTTGAAGCTCACATCCATCACTTGAAGTGAATGTGGTGATGTTGGTTAATTTCTCTGTGCTTCAGTCTCCTCATCTGCAAAATGACAATAATATTCCTTCAACACATTTCTGAAATTCCCAAAGGTCTGAAAACTGGAAGGGTTTTTCTTGTTTTAAAATTTGTTTGGCAGCACAACCTGACTTGACCTTAATGATTTGATGACAAAACCTGACCTGGATGGAACTGAGGATATTTATGGTCTGTATTTATCATACTTAGAATATTCTTCCATTTTATAGTCCAGCTATCTTGGTGGCAGGCTACCCTAGCCCACTGGGCCAAGTTCTAGAATATGCTGTTTTACTTTTCAAAAGTACAAAAATGCCTACATTCTGAAACATACATGATCTAAGGGTTTTGGAAAACAGGTTTTGTACCTGTAATAGCTACCTCATAGGTTTGTCATAGATAGATTGCTAAAGAAATTAGTATTTGTAAAGCAATTAGAAGAGGGTGAGGCTTATAGTAAGCTCTATTTAAGTGTTTGATAAAGTAAACATTTCCTGTAACATTTAACCCTAGAAATGAAGTGAAAGATAAACTACTTTGTTAGAATAGAGTTTGATAAACTTAGGGGCCTCCATCAAAGCTGGGTTATTACCATTGCTTTTCTGTTCTAAAGAAATTAAACATTAGACAGATAGAAAAACCCCCTTTGAGTGGTGTCTCAACCTCTCCCTACTCAGAACTAACCACTATTCTGAAGTTGGGGTGTATGTGTGTGAATCTTTTCCATGCATGTTTCTAGATTTTAGTACATATATGCGTGCATGGTGTGTATTTTTTAAAGTTATGGCTAAATGTTATCATGCTATACCTACACAACTTCCTTTTTCACCTCGACACTAGCATTTTCATACATGTAGTCTAGCTCATTTCTCTTAAGGGCTCCTGTAGTATGCCATCATTGAACACTCCACAGTTTACTTACCCACATCCTGTAGATGGGCACTTAATTTGTTTCCAATTGTTTGCTATTATTATGTGGCAGTGCCCACTCTCTTGTGCACCTCCTTGTGCCCACATGGAAGAGTGTCTCTTGGGCATATACCTGAGAGTAGGATTGCTGGGTCATATGTGCCTGTTTTAACTTTGCAAGAAAAATGCCACCGTGCCCTTCAATAGGGTGGACCAACCTATACTCCCATAGCAATGTGAGTTCTCATCTCTCTACGTCCTTGCCACACTTGGCATTTTTATTCTTTTTCTTTTGTGAGACAGCATCTCGCTCTGTTGCCCAGGCTGACACGGCCTCAGCTCACTGAAACCTCTGCCTCCTGGGTTCAAGTGATTCTCCTGCTTCAGCCTCCCAAGTAGCTGGGACTACAGGTGCATGGCACCATGTCTGGCTAATTTTTTTCCTGTATTTTTAGTAGAGACGGGGTTTCACCATATTGGCCAGGCTGGTCTCGAACTCCTGGCCTCAAGCAATCCAACCGCCTTGGCCTCCCAAAGTGCTGGGATTACAGATATGAGCCACCGTGACTGGCCAGCATTTTTATTCTTTTTAGACATTTGCCTATCTGAAGGGTATGGAATATCACTCTTATTGTAATTAGTGGTTCTCTGGTTACCAGTGAGGTTGAACACCTTTTCTGCAATAGGCTTGTAAGTGGTCTGCCTGCCCCCCATTGTGTGATATTGTGAGATAATAAAAAATATATATATTTGGTCTCTGACATAGACCCCCTGAAACTCTTGTAGATAGAGGCACTAGGAAAGTCTTTTGTTGTAATACTTGGTCTTTGACCCTGGTTCCTGACACAGAGCTCCTAAATGCTTTGGAATTTCCTGGGTGATGGGAGTCTTTTGTTCTAATGAGGTGACTCTTGGTGGGCTCTTGGACAGCTTCGGGATGGGGCCAGCTGCCAGGGGAACCAACCACATGATTAGAAGGTTGGAATTTTCAGGCCCACCCCCTAACCTCCAGGGAAGGGAGATGGGCTGATGGTTGAGTTGGTCACTAATGGCCAATGATTTAATCAATCATGACTATGTAATGAAGCCTTCATAAAAACCCCAGAAGAACTGGGTTTGGAGAGCCTCTGGATTGCTGAACATGTGGAGGTTCCTGAAGGGCTGCGTGCTCAGAGAGACAAAGAAACTCTGCACCCCTTTCCACATACCTTGCCCAATGCATCTCTTCACTGTTCATCTGTATCTTTTGTACTATCCTTTAGTAAGCAGGTAAACTCAAGAAGTGTGAGCCTGAGTTCTGTGAGCCTTCCTAGGAAATTAATTGAACCCAAAGAGGAGGTCGTGGGAACCCTAATTGATAGCTGTTCAGTCAGAAGTATACGTGACAACCTACTACTTGTGATTGGCATCTGAAGTCGGGGGCAATCCTGTGGTACTGGGCCTTTAACTTGTGGGATCTGATGCTACCTCCAGATAGATAGTGTCAGAAATGAATTATAGGACACCCAGTTGGTGGCCCCTGGAGAAATTGCTTGATGTGTAGGGAAAAGCCCCCTGACATCTGGTGTCAGAAGTGCTCTCTGTTGTATTGAGTGCGAGTAGAGAAAAAAGAAGTTTGTTTTTTCCATCAGATATTGGTGCCTCCAACACATGTTCCCCTCGGTGGCAAAGGTGGCCTTGTTAAAAGGCCATGTGATCCTATCAGTGAAGACATCCACAGATTCTTCTGTGACTGGCCAAAGAGCTAGGGACACTTTTTTTTTTTTTTTCACTCTGTCATCCAGGCTGGAGTGCAATGGCGCAATCTCGGCTCACTGCAACCTCTGCCTCCTGGGTTCAAGCAATTCTCCTGCCTCAGCCTCCCGAGTAGCTGGGACTATAGGTGTGCACCACCACACCTGGCTTATTTTTGTATTTTTAGTAAAGACAGGGCTTCACCATGTTGGCCAGGCTGGTCTCGAACTCCTGACTTCAGGCGATCCGCCCACCTTGGCCTCCTAAAGTGCTGGGATTACAGGTGTGAGCCACCGCTCCCGGCCTGAGCTAGAGACATCTAATAAGCTCTGCATGCCCATCTACTCTCACATACACAGGGACACAGGGAGAATAGCCATCAGACTGTCACCAACAGACAGAAGCAAAAGTAGGATTTAGAAGAAAAAAAGGGAGAAAAAAAATCCTGAGGGAAGAGACTATGGTTTAACTAACTGTGATGGAAGAAATTCAAATATTTGTTGGATAAACAAACAAACGAGTCACGTGTGCCTTGTATCACAAATTATCTGAGACAAGCAGGAGGAAGGATGGGCTGGCATGAGGTGTCCAGAAGCCAGCGCATCCATTCGGAGAGCTGACAGGGAAACATTTCTCCGTATTTAGAAATTTTATACTCAAGACTCCCACTGGCACTTCCCAGTGATTTTTAAAGACAGGTAATAAACGTGTCAACATTTATTGAGTATTTACCGTGTAGCCAGCACTGTTTTACAGGCACTACTCAATGTGGTCCGCACAATGACCCCACGAGAGAATTATTAACACTCATTTTAAGGATAAGGAAGGAACCAGAAGCACTGAGAGGTGAAGCCTTAGGTAACAAAGCCAGTAGGGGTGAGACCGGCATGGTGATTTCTTTAGGGGAGGGTATAAGAGTCCTTTGCGAAGAGAAACATTTCACTTTCAAATGCCTCAGCACCTGCTGCAATTCCAGGCTTTGGTTTGTACTTGTATCTCAGTCACAGTTATTTTATAGTTAGGCATATGAATTTAAAATGAAAGGGAGAAATACTAAAGATTTGAAATTTTAGTTATGTGTCACCTCAAGGGAAAGTTAATTATCATTTTTGTCGGCAACACCTACACACAAATTGTGACTCCAGTAATAAAATGAGAGCTTAGAAAAATAAGCACCCAGGGCTGATGAAAATAATGCATTTGTCTCAGGGCAGGGGCTGAATGTGAAGCCAACTGTTCTTAGAGAGAAACATGTCAATACTAAATCTTTTCACCAGCCTTTGATGGATGTGCTAATCTTCTCAGGTCAACATGGGCTCACCCTGGCAATGTACTGTAATAACTTATTTAAAAGGCAGCTGGCTTTTATAAATGACCTGCTCCATCAGCTTTTAGATTTCATTTTCAGAAATGTATTCCTTTATCAAATCAATATTTGCTGTATATAGTAAGAAATCAACTGTGCGTTTTCTGCAACAGAGGTGACTGCAGCAGTGACCAGGTTTGGGAATTATTGTTCTTTTTTTTTTTTCTTTTGAGATGGAGTCTCACTCTGTTGCCCAGGCTGGAGCTCGGCTCACTGCAAGCTCCGCCTCCTGGGTTCACGCCATTCTCCTGCCTCAGCCTCCCAAGTAGCTGGGACTACAGGTGCCCGCCACCACGCCCGGCTAATTTTTTGTATTTTTAGTAGAGATGGGGTTTCACCGTGTTAGCCAGGATGGTCTCGATCTCCTGATCTCGTGATCTGCCCACCTCAGCCTCCCAAAGTGCTGGGATTACAGGCATGAGCCACCGCGCCGGGCCGGAATTATTGTTCTTTGCTCTCAATTCTGTATGACATCTAAGCTCTGTAGACATAATGAGATAACAAGAATAAAAATGTCAGGCAGGTGATTTTCATTCCATGAGAGGTGCAGTTGGCAAACTACCATCTGTAGACCAAATCTGGCCTGCAGTCTGTTTTTGTTTTTGTTTTGAGACGGAGTCTTGCTCTTTCTCTAGGTTGGAGTGCAGTGGCGCGATCTCAGCTCACTGCAACCTCTGCCTCCTGGGTTCAAGCAATTCCCCTGCCTCAGTCTCCCACGTAGCTGGGATTACAGGCACACACCACCATGCCCGGCTCATTTTTTGTATTTTAGTAGCGACGGGTTTCATCATGTTGGCCAGGATGGTCTCCATCTCCTGACCTCGTGATCTGCCCACCTCGGCCTCCCAAAGTGCTGGGATTACAGGCATGAACCATTGCGCCCGGCCGCCTGTTTTTATAAATAAAGTTTTATTAGAACACAGCCACACCCATTTGTTTACTTACTGTCTACAGCTGCTTTCACACTACAAAGGGAGGGTTGAGTAGTCACAACACTGACCGTGTGGCTTGCAGTGCCAAAGATATTCACTCTCTGGCCCTTTATAGAACATGCATCCCTCTCCACTACAGGTAGTGGTATTTGTCTCACTACACACTTGGCTCATTTTTAGTGGGGGCTAATGGAGCTAGAGTCAGAGAGGATATCTGGTTTTTTAAAGGCATTTGTGTAGTTCAGACAGGTTAAAGACAAGAAAAGATAAAAAAGCAAAACACCAGGCAGTATCTCTAGGCAAGAACGTTAATGAATTGAACTGTTACCAACAACATAAAAAACCAGTATAGTATATGCAAAATTATTTTATGTCAGGAGAAAATTTATCATGTTGGCAACAGAACATGTCCTGCAGACCTCCAAGTGGCTGGCATAGTACATCCACCCCGTGACAGGCCCACTGGGACTGTGGTGAACATGCCTGTACCCCAGTACAAAGTCCCCTTTCCCTAAGAAATGTACAGAAGGAGAGATAAAGAGCGTGTACCCAAAAGGAAGAAGGAGAGGCTGGGTACCCTGTGCCCTGAGCTCAGAACTTCAGGGGGATGACCGGCCAGTACTTGGGCTGCTTTCGGTCACAGTGCTTGTCAAAGCTCAGCTGCACCGCGGCCTCCATGGCTTGGATCTTGGCAGCACTGTCCCCGTACAAACGCTTCATCTCGGCCTGGCGCCGCTCACCAGGCCTCTCAGTTGGGGCTTCTACCGACCGGCGGGTGTTGCAGTACAGGTCGTGGTCAGCGTTCACATAGCTGTCCAGGCGCTCTGCATCCAGCTGCTGCTGCCGCCCTGAGAACAAACACGAACGTGAACATGAACATAAACACACGTGTGTGCACTGCAGAAGGAGCCCAGTGAGTGCTGCTGCTGCTGGCCATGCCATCTGCAGCCCCCTAAGGTCCCTCATCTTTCCCTTTCCAACTGTGAAACCAGGCCCAAGTGTTCCAGATGAGATGCTTACCAGATTTTGAGGCAAGACCTGCAGATTATTATCATCATTCACCTACCAAGGGGTTATTATACACTGAGAGAAATGGCAAAGAGTTGAGTGCCTATAGTCCCACCTACTTGCGAGGCTGAGGTGGGAGGATGGCTTGAGCCCAGGGGGCAGAGATTGCAGTGTACCACTATACTCCAGCCCAGGTGACAAAGCCAGACCCGGTGTCAAAAAAAAAAGAAAAAGAAATGGTGAAGAGCCACAAGGAAACTCATCACTCCAAACTACCAAACCTCTGCAACAAGCCCTGAAAACACAGGAAAGAAATGAACCCACCTGAGGTTCTCTCTTTTCATCTGCACGGCCCACTCACCACCTGCCCAGCTAGGAATGGCTGATAGAGCTTGCTTGGTTTCAAACACTGCCCCAGGCCAGCAGGGAAACAAAAAGCTTCCTGGAAAGTCCAGTGTTGCGAGCAGTGCTTACCACCATGAATGAGGTGATGTGGGGGGAAAAAATCACTCCTTTGGAAGAGGTATTGATTTTAGGTAACCTGGAAAAGAACAAGTGCTAGCAAGCACAGTATGCAATGATGATGGATGATTGATTATCCTTCCACAGATTCGAAATGCAAATCATACCAAGCAAGGAAAAGTTAAATGAGTCAACACTTGCTGAAGGAAGAAGGGTGAGGAAAGGGCAATTCTACAAATGGAATTAAGGCCTCTGACTTCTAATCTTCCCGCTATATCAAAAAATCTGCAATAATGGGTTGGTTTTCTCACTACGGGATTTGACTTTCCACTTCATAGGTTGGCCTAGGTTAAACTGCAAGTGGTATCATTACATACTTTTAATCCTACTAATTTAAATGGATTCTTGTAAAGCAAGAAGTATCTATTCAATTTACTCTTCCCTCTGTTTTTTACTATGGCAAGTCCCAATATCATAATTTTTATTCTTATGTAAACTGCAACAACATAAAAGTATCAGTAAGACAATGCTGCATAAGGTTAAATTTAGCCAATTTCCATAGCTCTTGTAAGCGACTCTGTCAAGAGAGAAATTGACAGCAGGGAACACATATCCACGGCTACTATGGCTATCAAGAGAAACACCACGAGATAAGGAGTGAAGATGGTTGTAGGGAAATAAAAGAATCATATAAATCATTCTTCCATTGTTGGTCCTCCCTGTACTAATACATGGAACAGAACATGGTAGTGAGCTAATCAAGTGTGAATGGAAAGATATTTATAAGGCCATGCATAGTCGCTCGCATAAATCCTGCTCTTTATAAGCATCATCATGGCATTGGAGGGAAGGAGTTTTATAAACTTGGAAACATTATTAAAAATGTATGTGGCCATTGCTGTCTTGGAACATCCACAGTTTATTTTTACCTAAGGGCTTATATGAATAAGCCCAATGACTATCAAACACAATAAAAGCTGCGTAACTGCTACCTCACCCATGGAAAAAATGTATGATTAACTCATTGGGCAATGCAGAATGAAACCAAAATATTGGCCTAATATGCAAATGAATGGGGGCCACCAAGCATTTGTTTCTAATTTTTGGTCTTTCTGCCAAGTTTGAAACATCAGCATATAAGTTGTTCAGTTCTCACAAGTGTTTAAATTCTATGCCCCCTAAACTGAGTTGTGTTGGAGTGGCGTGGGAGTGGATGAGCCAAACAGTGGGTTAGAGAAAGCACTCGACAACCGCCATGACAGCTTCTTATTTCCGCAAGAGTTCTGTGTGTTCCTGGTACTCAGGTCAGGGTGAAAGCCCCGCTGGGGACTAGCTTCTCCCTGGGGGCATCTCTGTTTTTCTCCTGCCTCTGTCCTGGGATGATTGAACCTGACTTTGAAGGAAAGCTTAGCTTCGTGCTTTTAGAAGGAAGAGCGGGGGTGACCTAGGACACTGGGTCTTGGTATGGGCAGTACAGACTGGTGAGATATATTCAGTCACTAAGTTCATACAGGCCTTTCCCACTTGCCTCTTTCTAGGAACCTTGAGCAGGCAGTGGGTGGGCTGATGGCACTGCCCAGGCTTTCCAGGAAAGGTAGAATTTGGCTAAAGAATCTCTCATTCAAGGGCTACTTTTCTGAAGGCTTGGCATTTCCACATTAGCACAACACAGTCCCTCTGCCATCTATGAGCAGCCTTGTACCCATTACCAATCCTATGGCTCTCTTTTTTTTTTTTTTTTTTTTTTTTTTTGGTCTATCTGGAGGAGACGATCCCACAGGTGGGTTTGCTGAGTGCCTTGGAGTCTCTGCATCCAGAGGGCAGAGCCCACAGTCAGAGTTCCCAGACCACTGTCACATTACTCTCAAATTTATCCCAAGACTATAATCAGCTTCACTGACAGATCTGGTGACACAAGACATGTTCAACTTCCTGCATAAATCCGAGTCTTTGAGTTTAGAAGTTTGAATGAACACTGAGATCTTAGCTATCCTAAGTATTCTCTGTCGGTAGGATGTTGTGAGTTTAGTCTTTGAACTTTTGCATCTTTTTTTTTCTTTTCCTTATAATTTAAAATGTTTGTAACAATTATATATAGAGAGATGTGTTCTCTTATTGTTGACATCTGTGAATGATACACAATGTTAACACAAAGCAACCCCAGTTAATGATGCTGGTACAATTTTCCAACTTTGTACTCAGCGTGTGCCCATGGGTTACCATCACATGATTTTAGTTCTTAATAAAGTTCATACGGTGTAAGAATACAAAAATAAAAGACACAGCCCTCTGCTTTTGATTCTTATTTGTTTTTCATTCCCATTCAGGCTTCCTCATGAATTTTTTTTTTTTTTTTCGCTCTGTCACTCAGGCTGGAGTGCAGTGGTGCAATCTTGGCTCACTGCAACCTCTGCCTCCTGGGCTCAAGCGATCCTCCCACCTTGGTTTCCTGAGTAGCTGGGACTACAGGTGTGTGCCACCACGCCTGGATAATTTTTGTATTTTTTTTTTTTTTGGAGATGGGGTTTTGCCATGTTGCCCAGGCTGGTCTTGAACTCCTGAACTCAAGCGATCCACCTGCCTTGGCCTACCAAAGTGCTGGAATTACAGGCGTAAAGCCACCGTGCCTGGCCCCTCATGAAAATTTAAGACCCAACCCTTATCCCCTCCTTGCCTCTCAAGAGATTTGGAGGTTTAATGGTTTCCTGCATAGTGAACAGTGGCCCTAAAACACTGAACTAAAGGGCAAGAAGCCTGTCACCTGCGACCTACCCTGTGGGGGTCATTTATGGTGGAAGGGCACTGTCACCTTTACTCACAGCTGTACCCCCAGACCTGAGAGGACACAATGCCTGACACAAAGCAGATGCTCAGGAAGTGACTGTCAAATGAATGCTCAAAGGCCATGCATGATTTTTTTGTAAACAGCTCTTTTCCTTCCAGATGCTGTTAAAGAACAATAATGACAACTCGGGGATTGAGAAACAGATGCTCAAATCTCACTAGGTGCTGGGCAGAACTCCCTTCCCTGTGGGTTCCTCAGAGCCTCCCAGGCAGAGGGGCTATGGGGGGGGGCACCAATGAGTTGGGGTCGGACCCTGTTCTCTTACATTCGAATTGCTTTGCCTCTACTTACTCACACAATTTTTTAAAAAGTCCTAAGGCTAGGCTACAAGTTGAAAACCAGTCAGTTTAAAACCAAATAACTGCAGACAGGCTGTGCACTGATGGTCACAGCCAGCATGTGAAAGTACTTTAGCGTGTACTGACTTAGGGGACCAAGTAAACCTCAGAATGGAGTATCAGAGTTTGAAGGCATCCACTCATTCTGTTTTCTATTTATTGCTTCCTTCCTTCCTTCCAACGAAAACGGATTCTCAATCACTGGCAGTTTTCCTTGCTGTCAAAACAAGGTGAGCGCTCAGCCAGCCAGATGGAAAATCATCTGACCAAAGCAGACCAGTACGGACATCACACTTCAGATGCCAATGAACAGTTGCCTTGTCATGGAGGGTTTGGTCATTTTTATTGGAAACAGCTGTAGGACTCAATGTTGCCATACACTTTTATAGGGTATTTTGGCAAGATAATTTGTTTTAATATGAATCAGAAATCTTTTTTGATTCTATTCCAGCTTCAAAATAGGATTGTAGTGGGTTGAATAGTGTCACTTCAAATCCATGTCCACCTGGAACCACAGAAGGTGACCTTATTTGGAAATAGGGCTTTGTAGATGTAATTAAAGGATCAAGATGAGATCATACTGGATTAGGGTGGACCCTAACTCCAATGACAAAGTCCTTGTATGAGACAGAAAAGGACACACAGACACAGGGGAAAGGCCACATGAAGATGGAGGCAGAGATGGAATGATGCTGCCACAAGCCAAGGAACACCAGGAAACACCAGAAGTTGGAAGAGGTGAGGCCCTACAGCCTTCAGAGGGCGTGTGGTCCTGTTGACCGCTTGATTTGAGAACTGTGAGAGAATAAATCTGTTTTTTTTTTTTTTTTAATCCACCCAGGTTGTGTAATTTGTTACAGCAGCCCTGGGAGGCTAATACAAGGGTTAATATGCATATAGGTTAAAACAAGAACAATAGGCATGTATTATTAAGGAAAAGCTTTACTGGATTCCATCTGGGTTCAGGATACATAATCCTGGTATTTTTCACATCAATCTATTTGTCTACATGATGTGACCAATGTCACATCACGTAATAGTCCATAAAGGAAAAAAAAAATCATGGAAAGTTACCAGGACTTCAGAGAATCTTATATAGCAGGAAAACTTTCATCCAAGATTATTCCACACATAGAGCCCAAAGGCAGAACATGTTAGAGGATAAAGCATGGAGGCAGCAAGTGGCAAAGAATGTTTTTTCCCCTCACTTTCCTAGGACTAGTACATCTTTCTGATTATATTTTCTGCTATTTTGCCAAAATGAATAATTGTAGCACAACCGAGGGAAAGCACAAACTTGATGTATGCCATGAATGCCTCATTTCTGGCTTGTCAGCAACCACCCAGAACACAGGTACATGCCAGCAGAACTGGAGCCATTTCAGACTGGTCTTCTCTCTTCGTCGCACATCCCTTGCCCCATGACAAATGTAATCCTGAAGTTACTGGACAACCGCCATTTTTACTTTTACAACAGAAGTGCATTTTCATGTTCCTTTCCACTTTTCTACAGCCATTAACACGTATCATCTCACTGATCGGTTTTGTGCACCTGTGAATATCTGCACCAGATGAAACACACACGCATGTCAGGATTGTGCTCAATCACTGCAATTTCATCCTTCAACCTCATTGACTAAAGCAAGACAGCTCACTAAATACTGGGCCATAAACTTCACCGGGTTCTCTCTAGGTTTGACTGACTAAAGGCTCACTATGAAAACTACAGTCTCAGCCTTCCCACTCAGATGGACACAGTGTAATGGAGCAGATGTCTCCCCTCAAACGTATGAAAACCACATCTGGGCATATGAAAACCACATCTGGGCTCTCTGGTAAGAACAGCACTTTGAGTGTCTAAGCCGGGAGTGAACTAAGTCCTTTTTTCTCTCATTCCAAATTGACCCTATCCCTCAAATTGGCCTAGTGCATACCTTACTTCTTGACAGCTGCCCCGCGGTGCTCCTCCTTTGACTGCCTGGGTCACTGGCTCTACCCCTCATGTGCATGTATAACCATGAACCACACCATAGACACTCTTCTTCTATGTGTCACTTTACATTTCATTTTGTCTCCTCTTCCCAATGGGGTTTAAGCTTTTAGAATATGTCCCTGTTTTGAGCCAACACCCTCAAAACATAGGTCATAAATACCTGATTGGCTCAAACCCGAGAAAACAGTGGTGGTGTTTGTTTCAGAGGGCCTTACTCTCTTTTGAGGGTGACTTCCACTCATTTTCCCTCTAAGTATTAGCAATATAACCTTGCAGTCTCGACCAGTGGTCACTTATGACTACAAAATGGTATTTTTCTTAACCTAATAATAAACATTTTTCCTAAGAAATAATTGAAAACACAGCTGACCTTTAAAACTTCATAACTGTAAACTTTCTCATAAGTTATTTTCCATTGAAGCTTTAAGTAACGGAAATATCTTGTTAGGAAATGATGACAGACATAATCAAAAGCATGCATGTTCCCACTGTACAAAAGGAGTTCTTATCCTAGTCAAGCTTTTGGTGTTTTTTATCCTTGAAATATGTTAAAGTAGAGACTATCTGGAATCTGAGTAGCAATCACAAAAAAGAACATACTGTCCAATCTGAAGGCCTTTATCCTAAGAAAATATTAAACAAGACTCAGGCGATGATGAATTGCATAACTTGTATGTTCCTGTGGAAGTGAATAATACTGAAAAGTTAAATCTTTCAAATTTAGTGACATTTCCTCTTGCTAGTAACATTTTCTAAAATCCTGTGTTCTTCAAAGCATTCATGTTCAAAGCTGAAAATGTCCTTATTGAATAAGTAGCTTCTAGTGGTTTTGAGAGCAAAATGAAACAAAAAACTTGAACCAATTATTCATACTACCCAGGTCCCTTATCTCTTTATTAAAGCTTTTTCCAACAGTGTATGTAACTAACCCTCCATGAAAATTTCTGGTGAAGGTAATGAATTGGAAAGCGCCATGGGCACTCAGATTACTTACATATGAATTCCATCATTCATTACCGCTTGAAGAACAGTTGTTCATCCTGTACTCACCAAAAGTGCTGCTGAAAAAAATAATGCTAGTGATCTATTGCCCATTATTTTCTTACTGGTGCAAGATCGGGCCCTGGCAGCTGCTTCTAATATAGACGAAGTCTTTAGATTCCAGTCTGACACCACAGTCTGTTCTCACCCTCACCAGACAATTCTCACATCTCCCTGGGACCAGCTAATGCATTCAGGGAAGGCTGTAGGAGCATGACACAGACGCTAAGAAAAGTAGTTTTGAATCATGCTGTAACTACACATTTTAAAAATACAAAGAATTGAAAGCTTGTTTAGGGACATTATTAGTAATATTGAAGTGGGTTAATTTTCCCAGTCCATGTACTTTACTGCATTAAATTTTATCAAGCAAGAATATCCTTGAAACAGAACTAAAAACTGTGTTAATTGCTAAATTTGATAGACACCAAAACTTTCATTCTTTCATGTCTTTAATATTCTAAATCAGTTTAAAAGTTTGAAAGGTGCCACCCAGAGCAGAAATATGACCTTTCTGAAGTCACAGAACATCTTATTAAAAATATGCAGAATCTTAGCTGGGCGCGGTAGCTCATGCCTATAATCCAGCACTTTGGGAGGCCGAGGCAGGTGGATCACCTGAGGTCAGGAGTTCAAGACCACTCTGGACAACATGGTGAAACACCATCTCTACTACTAATAAAAAAATTAGCTGGGTGTGGTGGTTGGCGCCTGAAATCCCAGCTACTTGGGAGGCCGAGGCAGGAGAATCACTTGAACCCGGGAGGCATAGGTTGTAGTGAGCTGAGATGGCGCCACTGTACTCTAGCCTGGGTGACAGAGTAAGAATCTGTCTCAAAAAAAAAAAAAAAAAAAAAAATATATATATATATATATATATATATGTACAGAATCTCAATCAAGCACTAATCAAGGCAAACGGTATCAGAGAAAAACCAATTTATGGTTAATAATCCATGTTAAAGGATGGGTTACTAGCAACTAACTGTAACAATAACATTTATTGGGCACCAACTTGGTACCAAGCACCATTCTATAACTTTTCTCATATTATCTCATGGATTCTTCACAATTACTACCCATTAGGGATTCTTCATAATTACTACCCACTAATTAGGATCCTATTTCATAGGTGAGGCAACTGAGGCAAAGAATGGTGAAGGCAGGGGGCTTACAGGAGGACGAGAACCTCTAATCAGCGAGTGGTAGAGTGAGGCTGGACCTCTGTGATTCAAGCAGTTCTGCCACAGCTGCCTCCATACACTGTTGCCAGCAATAATATGAATACTGGAAAATGAGGTTCAAGATGGAAGTTGCAAGGGTTTTCATAAAATTCCCTTTTATGATGGTTTGCTATCTAGATCACAGTAAAACAAATAAGTAATACAGTTTTTTCAGACAGATGACAAGAACTGTGGGTTTACTTTATGTCCCAGTCACAGATTGCATTTGGGGACAAAGAAAATTCTCCCAGGGTGATTGTACTCCTTTCCTAGGGCTGCCATAACAAAGTACCATATACTGGGTGGTTTAAAACAACAGAAATGTATTGTCTCATGGCTCTGGAGGTCAGAAGTCTGCAATCGAGGTGTTGGCAGGGCCATAAACCCTCTAAAGGTGCTAGGGAAGGATCTGTTCCAGGCCTCTCCCACCTTCTGGATGTTCCTTGGATTGTGGCGACATAATGTCAATCTTCACATGGTGTTTTCACTGCATGTGTGTCTGTCTCTGTGTCCGGATTTTGCCCTTTTTATAAGGACCTGAGTCACATAGGATTAGGATCCCTGTAATGACCTCACTTAACCTCAATTACCTCTGGAAAGACCCTGTCTTTAAATAAGGTCACATTCTGAGGAACTGGGGGTTAGGATTCCACTGTATCTTTCTTGGGGAGATACAATTCAACCCAGATGATGAAAGTGCAATTTGGAGCCGTAAAGTAACTAGACAGATTTGGAAATAATATGAAACACAGAGATGAAGCTTATCAAGTTTATAATGCACACAAGGCCTAGCTCATTCTGTAAAATGTCCCACAGAATCACTGCAAGTGTAGCACTCTATGGGTAAGATTTGCCAACCTCTGATTTAAGGCTTCTAATTCACACTGAAAGACTTCATTTATTCACTCAAAATAATATTAAGTGGCAAGTATGACTTAGCAGGTAATTTTCATGATTTTGTTTACCTACCTAGAGTTCTACCTAACAATGGCAAGAGGGAGGAATAGGGATGGTTGTTAACAATATCTGTAACTGAACCGTTCACATTTTTTCTTTGGTGCAAGGACACATTTCATTGTTTTATCTTTATTTTATTCATATCCACTTTTTATTGACTAACTCAAGTTTATTTTAAACCAGCAGATAATTCAAAGTCACCTTTGAGATGACTGGGATTTGCTTCCATCCATAATTACAATTTCCATCATAAAAGTATCAACCTCTAGTGGGCAAAACATGTTATTCTACTTTCTGGTAAGGACAAGAGTAATAAACTCGATCTCCATCCCATTTTCTCTGTCAAAAGCTGTAACAAACAGCATTCCAACCCAAACATGGACATGCTCCAATGCTTCTCATTTGTTGTATATATTAGACTAATGGTTGTTTCGTATCTATATTTTTAAAAAGGGTAAAATTTATTTCTGGAGATCAAGCAAAAGTATTCTGTGTGTAATAGAAAGTACTGTCTTAAAAGTATTTGTTTGGATATACTTCTTTCTTTCTTTTCTTTTTCTTTTCTTTCTTTTCTTTTCTTTTTTTTTTTTTTTTTGAGCCAGGGTCTCGCTCTGTCACCCAGGCTGGAGTACAGTGGTGTGATCGTGGCTCACTGCAGCCTCAAACTCCTGGGCTCAAGCCATCCTCCCGAGTTGCTGGGACTACAGGTGTGAGCCACCACACCTGGCTGGATATACTTTCTAATATGCTTAAAGAAGTACACAGTTTAAACAAAAGAAAGGAAGTCAAAAAAATCTGAACAAGTAGTTTAGTGAAGAATCACGGACGAAGATACTAAAGGATATAATATTTTATACAAAGCCCAGTGCTCAGTTCTTGGCATCCAGTGGGGATCAATAAAAGCTAATTCATCATTAGGAAAATGCTGACAATGACAGACAGGAATGAAACTCCCATTCCCAGGTTTCTACGCTTCTGTGTCATTGGAAAATTGTAGGTAAAATGTCATACAATTAGGCCTCACTTAAAACAAAATTGAGAATGAATACTGGTTATAATAGGGAAAGAAGCATTTGTATCTCAGTTAGAGGTACTTAGAAATGGTCTGGTGAATTTTAATAGGAGAGCACAAAAGCTGTTCTAGTTCTTTCTAGTAAGGTGGTAAGAAATTTAAAAAGAAAATTCCTGTTTTTGACTGAAGATATAAGACCTTTATCATAATTCTCTGACCCCATGGACAGGGCCTCAATGCAGAACCAACAGGAAAGTTGTAAGTGCCAGGCATTTCGTTACTCTGTTTAGGTTCATGCTATTTAAGATTTGGGACCTCTAGCACCAAGGACATCTCCAAGATGTGTCCCAGAGGAATGGCAAAAGTATTTTAGGAACCTAGCAGTCTCAGGGACAAGTCCTAGTATACAGAAAGCAGTACAGGAAGTAGAGGTAGGCAGATTTGGTTTGGATCCTAACAGCAAATTACTAGTTGTGTACCACGGAACAAGTCAATTAACCTTTTTAAGGTTCACTTTCCTCATATATAAAATGAGTTTAATACTCTGAGGGACTGCTGTGTAGATCAGAGCACGCACACACACAAGCATGCATGCATACACACTCCATTTGGTAGAGTGTCTAATGGTTAATAAATAGTAGAACTACTATTAGGATAAGCTTTGTTCTGGAACAAAAAAATGTCTTATACTAAAACAACTCCAGAAACTAACATAAGCAAGGTACAGCATCCCCATAGCTTTTCCAGGCTTAGGACTGGATTTGGAATATTACCCTAGCCAATGAAGAATTATAAAATTACTTTATATATTAGAGAAAAAAAATGTAAAAGGCAGGGCAAGGAAAGGAAGCATGAAGAGACAGAGGCCTGAACTTACGTCGTTCTTCTCTATGCCTCTCGGTCTCTGCAAAGTACTGGCGGAGCTCTTCAGTGATTTCCATATTGCTCAGGTCACATTCTACCTCTGCATCTGACTCAGTCTCCATCTCTTCCTCTTTGGACAAAGCTTGGTCTTCTTTTGTGGATGCCTGGATCCTACTGCTGTAACGTGGATGCTGCCCAGATCTTCTGAAATGTGAAGAACTGCAGGGGTAGTCCTGCCAGGCCACATGATGGTCATAGAAGGACTGAGGATACGCAGCCTCATTATCGTAAGAGCTTTGGGGAAGAAGCGCAGAAGGTAAGTACCATGGAAGATTGAAACAGGATTCCACGGCCTTCCTGTAGGCATTGTGATGGCTTTGCATCCAAGCCATTGCTTGATGATAATGTTGCCAGTATCTTGCATATACCGGATGAGAATACCAAGGCCTGGTAGCTTTCGATGTTGATGCCTACAAAATGAAAGGAGGTGGAGGGTGGACACCAAAGTGTTTATTATCCTCAAGAGAAATCTTCAAATGTTTAATCTGCTACCCAACAGGTATTTACTTAGTATTTGCTAAATACCTACCTACATGAGGAGGCTACTGGGCCCAAAATATTGTGTGAGATAGGTCCAGGCCCACAGTGGACACCAAGTGTATGCACACTTGCTAAGTCCATGTACATAAGGTATGCACAAGCCAGCCAATTAAAGCTATGGAGCATTATAATGTGGGGATGAAGGCTAGTGATCGTTTCTAGATGAGACGCAGGGAGAGAGAAGACTGGATGTTTATCACCTTAGCCCTCTCTACCCACTGTAATTAAATGACTACTGCCAACTGAGCAACGGCCTGCTAAGAACCACACTAGACTGACAAGCATGACAGACTTTAGTTTTTCCCTTTCTGCCCCCTAAACTAACTTGCTGGCCTGAGCCACCCCTAAATGCCTGGGGTAAGAGATGTCTAGGAATGCACCCAATAGTGCTTTTACTTTTGTATTTCTTAGGTCTTCTCCATCGTGCAATGAGAATACCAAACTTTAAAGACTAAAATTTACCAGCAAACTATCGCAAGGACAAAAAACCAAACTCCGCATGTTCTCACTCACAGGTGGGAATTGAACAATGAGAACACATGGACACAGGAAGGGGAACATCACACACCAGGGACTGTTGTGGGGTGGGGGGAGGGGGGAGGGATAGCATTAGGAGATATACCTAATGTTAAATGACGAGTTAATGGGTGCAGCACACCAACATGGCACATGTATACATATGTAACTAACCTGCCCGTTGTGCGCATGTACCCTAAAACTTAAAGTATAAAAAAAAAGACTAAAGTTTACCTTTTTTACTTACGAGCTCAAAAAAAAAATAAAAAAATAAAAATCTTACCTTTACCGCTGCCATCTCTGATTGTGAAAGTCCAAATGGGTGCTGAAACTAGGAAAGAAGAATCACAGTGCAAACGTCTGATCAGTATGGCTGTGTGATATTTGTGGCTATTCTATGGTTTGTGAGGCAGCTCCCAAGGAACTGCCTCTTCCCAGGACCATGCCTGATTTCATGCAACCTATCTATATGACGTTGGTTCCTGGGCTATAACTTTGTGGTCTGAAAAGGAGGGATCCACTTAGGTTTGATTAAGTGGGTCAAAAGATCCTGCATGGTTCAATTACTTATTTCCCTATAGGAAGTAAAGTCTATGAAAATGACCATATAAATATTTAGTAGTTAATGTGTGTGTATATATATATATATATATATATATATATAGTATATATATACTGATATATATACTGAGGCTGGAGAGATGTCTTATTCTCCAAGTCCCAGATAATGTATATGTATAATGTATAATGTATACACACATATATATGTATATGTATGTATACACATATATATGTGTGTATATATAATGTATATATACACATATATGTATGTATACACATGTATATATACACATGTATATATAATGTGTATATATATGTGTGTGTGTGTATATATATATACACACACACACAATATACAAAACATGAACTAAAAATTTATAGTTATTACTTTATTTACTAATCCTTAACTCATGCTAATGCTTACTTAAATTAACCCTGGGTCTTCCTGAGGCTTGAGGGGAACACATCTTTCCAAATGACCAGAAACCTCTGTTGGGTCTTGCCTTAGGTTTGGGACTTGGAGAATAAGACATCTCTCCAGCCTCAGTTGTGCCCTGGGCTTTAAGTTCCCCAAATGGGCTTTGTTTTCATTTTGATTGCAATATGCATTTCTCAGCCAGCATGTGACATCACACTCTCCTTGCCTAACCACCCTGTCTCTTCACAGGAGAAAAAAACACTCCATGGAGTCTCTACTGAGGCACCAGATAGACTGCCTCTGGCAAATAGCATTGCTCTGCTGAGATTTACTCCTTTTCTCTCTACCCACCTGTTGTGATTTGCTGATTCGATGCATGAAATACCCAAAAGTAATGGCTAATCTGCAGCTGTAGCTTTTTCAATCTATTTAAAATAGACTTTTTTTTTTTCTATTCAGAGGTTCAGAGCTACACCAGAATGTACTTTTAAAAAGTTAAACAAAAATATCCAAAAATGCATGATAATTTAAGTTTCTGTGAGACAAAACCACTAACACAATGTAATGCTGAGCAAACAACTACTTAGGTTTTGAAACTTTGGAAATCAGATACCAAAGCAGTCTTATTTTTCCTTTTCACTTAACTATAGGGTAGAATTAAAACATTCCCCAACCCTTAAGAAACAAACTTTACTTGTTTTATAATCTCTATCAGATGTTTTGCTATGGTTATATTAAGAACTGAGATGCTAAATCAACCACTTCTATATTTTAAGATTTAGCTGAAAGAGAATCATTCACATTCTTTTTGAATATAATAAACTTTCAAATAGGGTATTTCTAAGAGGGCTGACATAACCTTCTGTAAATTTATCTTAAACATAGCCCATAGTTCCTGTTCCTTGTCTTAAATTCAATACTATGCATACATGCAACGAATATAAACTGAAAAAGTTAACAAATGCAGTGTAAATTAAGTTCACATTAATCTATAATTTTAATGTTTTAAAGGTTTAAAACATGAACAAGTACCTGAAAACCTAGCTAACTGCTATGTGCTTTCCGGGCCACTGAAGAAATATAAAAGTTAATACTTAGGTGGCTTACCACTCAGAGAAATAAAACATACTTGAAATTATGTAGAAATTAGTATGTACTTAAGAGCAAAACTGTAAGGTGCAGCCTTTAAGTGGCTAATTCACTAGAACCAGGTTTTATATTCCTTTTTTTTTTTTTTTGAGACGAAGTCTCACACTGTCACCCAGGCTGGAGTGCAATGGCATGATCTCTGCTCCCTGCAACCTCCGCCTCCCAGGTTCAAGCGATTCTCCTGCCTCAGCCTCCCGAGTAGCTGGGATTACAGGCGCGTGGCACCATGCCTGGCTAATTTTTGTATTTTTAGTAGAGATGGGGTTTCACTATGTTGGCCAGGCTGGTCGAAACTCCTGACCTCATGATCCGCCCGCCTCGGCCTCCCAAAGTGCTGGGATTACAGGCGTGAGCCACCGTGCCCGGCCCAGGTTTTATATTTTTATCACTAAAATCTGAATAATTTTCTGAGAGCCTGCAGCACATAATGACATTAACGCAAACTGCATGTGTATCTTAATCAAATTTGTTTTATAGATTAACAAGCAGCACAGGAATTAAATTAGAAAAGTCTAGGAGACATCTGCATGTGTTCTGGAAATTAAGTGTTTTGAATCCAGACTTCTTTCTACGCATCATAAGGCATTTAGAACCAGGTCAACTAAAATATCAATTATTCCAAACTGGGAAGTGTGATAGCCTCAAATATGGAATAAACACCATTGAGATCAAACACTACTATAGACAAAATCTTGTTTTTAGTTATAATTGGGAAAATCCAGTGTGGTATTAAAGGTTGTAGCACCAATATTCTGAAAATCCACCAGATGGCTAAGAGAGGCTCCATTTTGCAAAGCTGGAAGTTTAGGCATGTGAGATAAAGTAGACTACCATTTTAAGGAGTTCAAGGGTAATTGATGATGTTCTCCAGGCTGCTCAAATGTCAATGGCTGTGATTTAGAGGGAGGGGCCAGACACTGTGGCTCACGCCTATAATCCCAGCACTTTGGGAGGCCGAGGTGGGTGGATCACCCGAGGTCAGGAGTTCAAGACCAGCCTGGCCAACATGGTGAAACCCCATGTCTACTAAAAATACAAAAATTAGCTGGGTCTGGTGGCGCACATCTGTAATCCCAGCTACTTGGGAGGCTGAGGCACAAGAATTGCTTGAACCCAGGAAGTGGAGGTTGCAGTGAGCTGAGATCGTGCCACTGCACTCCAGCCTGAGTGACAGAGTGAGACTCAGTCTCAAAAACAAAAACAAAAACAAAAAAAAAAAGAAGAGGGAGGGAGCACTAGTTTGAGGAGAGGTAACTTTGATCCAACAAATCATCTGGTAGAAGGGCTGCTATGTTAGAAGGCCTCAGAGATCACCCAGGTACATCCTGAGCACTTATGCAAGAAAGAAGCCAAGAGAATCATTTGAGATGACTGAAGAAAGCCAGTTCCAGCTTCTGAACCAGAGGCAGTTCAGAATAAGCCCAGAGTGCCCACTATCTACATTAATTAAATATATTAATTCATCAGCTAAGGTGCTAGACTCTTAAGACCCAGGACATTATGAAAGGATGAATTTATGTTAATGATGGAGTGCAAGAAACTCTGTAGGCAATTTTGCTTTGCTTTGATTATGCTTTCCTCACAGTTTTGACCACTGGGACATTTATAATCAAACTTGCTGCCATCTTCCATCAAGTTTAAAGTCCTGAGGCTGTATGTAGACTGTGCTCATCTCACTCTTGGCTTTATTATTTTCTCTCCCTAAATCCCAAAATGTACTTGTACTTGTAATAGCCTTTTACATTTTAAGTCTTTTTAAGATTCCTAAAATCCTATATTCAAATTAACCAATTTGAATAATTGACTTGAAGAATTACACATTCGTCTCTCAAAAGTCAAATAAGGCATAGAAAAACATGTTTAAAGGAATAGCAACTTGCATAGAGCTTTATAATTATTTTTAGCTAGGTCTTTCCAGTATTATTACTTTATGCCAGCAATTTTTTTTCAGTAAAGGGCGAGATAAATATTTTAGGCTTGTGGGCCACATACAGTCTTTGTCGCATAGTCTTCACGTTCTTTGCTTTAAAAAAAAAAAAAACACACACCAAACAACCCTTTAAAAATGTAAAAACAATTCTTAGCTTCCTGAAGTACAAAAAACAGGCTGTGGGCTTTTATTTTGCCCACCCCTGTTTCATGTTAACACATTTTGAAGTTGTATAGATTCTCTCTGAATATACTGAGCATCCTAATTGTTCCTCAGTTTCCACTTGGGAATCAGTAGACGAACTTCACGATTCTCACACGTTTCATAAATGATTAGGTTTGGAGAAAGACTAGTGGAGGCAAGAAAACTGACTATGACCAATAGCAATCATGTTGACCGGTTGCTAATATGTGGGACAAAAAAACACTCTCCATGACTAAATAAGGAAATTGGATCTTTTCTTAAATATCCATATAAACATTTAAAGACTTAACTAAAAATAACAATAAAAATTCTGCAAAACCATATCAATCAGCAGGGCTTAGAAAGCAAACAGGACAGAGCTCTGAATCTCTATTCCCTGGAAAGAATATATATTCTTTCCTGCTAAGCAATCAGTTAGTCAGTTAATATCAGTTAGCTCCCAAGGGAAGAAGAGGTCCTCTTCTAGAGATAGGTCCGATTAGCTTTTTTAAGCTGGTTATTTTCTTCACGCATGGAGAACTTAAGGAGCTAATAAGAATGCCTGGGTTTCTGAAAAGCCAACATCTAAATAATTATAGACATTACAGCAACACCTTCAGAGACTACTACCTCTCAAAGAAAAGAGAGCTGATGGTTGCTGCAGATTTAGATGCCCTTTGGTCTTTAATGGTCTTTAATTCGATCTTTCATTCCTCACCTCCCTGGGAATGTCTCCCACTCTTTTATGGCACAAGCCTTCAGGGACTGAACAGTAACTTTTCTCCAATGGGCTGGTGGAGCTGAAAGAAAAGAGATTGGCAATGTCAGGGAAGGCCGGGATCCGCAGCTCTACAAACCCGGCAGCCCTCTCCAGTGAGCACAATGGCATAATGGCCACCACCCAGCTGAGCCCAGGCGAGTACAGAGACCATTCATTGTCTGTCCTCAACCACCAAAGAAGGAAGGAAAAAAACAGGGTTGAGGTCATTCACTAAACACTGACGAGGCCTATAGGCAAGGCAGAGACTGAGTCTTGAATGATATATTTTTCCATATAGCCTCTCTTAAAAAACGGATTTACACTTCAGTACATCTGCTCATCCTGCAGGATCTATTTTTAATGCATAAATATACACAAAGAACAATAGATAAGAGCTTTGTAGTTTTCAATGGATAAAATGTGACTATTTCCATCAAGTTACCAAAAAATTTCACAAATAAGTGGCTTTGTTGACAGGTAGTGCCATCAAATATATTCTTTTAATTACATATTTATGTTCTTATAAATATAGAATATAGGACAAATCGTAGCAACCAAAAAAGTAAAATAAAAACACAAATTCCCCTAAAAACTAGAATGTATACTTGAACTAGATTTTCCTATCTTCCTTTTCTACTAGAATTCTAAAAATACATGAAAATTCACCTGCTTTGATCTTTGCACAGAAACACATTAAAAGCCAATCATTAAATAAGTTACTCTGGCTAAAGCCCTGAAAGTCAAACCTTCCCTACAAAGCTCCAGTGATTTGGTTCTCTGAACCAACCAGGTAATTTGGAGGATTTAGTTAGGTCTTCAGTACACACTGTTTCAAGGAGATCTGCTGGACACTGCAGCAAAATAAGTGAAGGTATGGTGAGAAATCTGAGTGAGATAGATTGAGTCATATGCGGTTCCAAGGAATCTCTCTGTACATGCAATAATAACCCTATCACAGAAGATGTCTTCCAATAATACACACAACAGTAAGAACTTCCTCACTAAGACAAAGAATATAATAGGGTTTTGTTGAGGGCTGGGCTTCCTGCCCCACCTACTTGGGCAGCCCTGCCCCCATCCCTGGCTGGTTGCTGAGGCTGGCAAGCTCATCTGGCTTGATGCCCTCATGGCCTCCCTCCTGTGTCTTTGCATGGTCCCTGCTTAGTGATTTGGACATCAAAGATGGCTCAAGTCCAAATGGCCTTCTTCCACCTGCAGACATCCAAGCTCCATCTTGGGCAGGACACAGGCCTACTCAAGTGCACATGCCACTGTGTTCAGAAAGCCTGCATCTCCCCGTCTATAATAGCTACAGTTAAAACTGATAGGCAAGGGAGCCAAAAAACTGAGTTTTATTTTCTTTTCATTCCCTCAATCCCCAACCCCAATTTACCCTCTTCTGGATGTTGTAATAAGTACTGTCACAAAGAAGGCATAGCATGGGGAAGGAGTAAGGCTGAAAGGATGCAGTTAACAATTCTTTTTTTCATACAAATGACATTCCACCCACAGAAGGGCATTGTTTAATTTGTCAGCAAGTGTGATGAATTTGTGAATGGGTTTATTTGCAAGTTCTCTGAATCCCCTTGTGACTAATATCAGAATCAAAAGTGAAATATGAGGCCAGGAACAAAGTTACCCTCTGACTCAGGAACACAACAAGCAATGGGATGACTGAGAATGACATAATGATAACATAGTTCAAAAGAGGAAACAGATAAGTTTGTTTCACAGCAAGCATGTCCTTCATAAGCAAAACCTAGTGTGACCATAAGGTAATAAGGGTTGAATAGGCAGGTTCTGCAAATTAAGAGCATAACAGCAAAAACCATGGCTAGTTTAAAGTAGTTAAGATCGCTAGTACATTTCAGGCGTCTTATTTCAAATTTACTTTTTTCTATAAACATATTCACGGTAATTCCATGTTAATCTCTCTTTTCTGAATTTATAGGCACTCACTATGCCTCATTTACTTGGGCACTTACTCAGTTACCTGTAGGCATGGATTCTACAATCTACTCCTTTTAAGTTTCCTATTTTCCTTCCAGCATAAAAATAATAGCTAATATTTCATGCTCTTAGATGCTGCTGAAATTGTTGAGCTTGTCTGTTGTTTCCTGATAACGTTCTCTCCTCCTGCATCTACTCCCCAAAATCTCTGAGGACCTAGTAACTCAAAAAACTGACTATAAAGCACCAAATCTTTTCAGGAAGCAAATATTTAAATACATTATGTTTTCAAAGATCTTTTCAATTCATCTGATATTTGATCAACTACATTCTTTTTTCACTTGTCCAGCTGTTCCGTGGCTGAATTTCCTCTTGTAGAGAAGTTGTTCAAAAAAAGTTCTGTACCTACTTTGCAAACTCTCCAATTTACACTCTAGCCTTAACTGTTCAAAACTTTCCCCCGTCATTCTCATCTCACCCTATCCTTTAAAAAAAAACCCAAAATGATTAATCACCATCTATAGAACAGTTTCAGAATGAACATTTCTCTCTGGAACTTTAGTTTGTATACTTCCCCAGCACAGCAATGAACACACAGAGGGGATTTATACACCTGTGAACTTGCTTTCAGTTATGCTTATTCCAAGTTACTAACCAGCAGTCTTTAAAAATATATGGTTTCTGTTCACATTGAAATTACAAAGAGACTGTTATTCCGATAAATTATGCTAGCAAAAATAGTATTTTTAAAGGGTAGCTCTCATCCTACAATTCATGGGGGCTGTGAGCATAAATAATCCTAGAAGTGTTGCGTTACTAATCTTTAGTCTAGATTTTTTAAGTAATATTGTTCTGATTTGAGATGAAGAACAGCTGAATACACAGCCTAGCCTGTCAAACGAGTTTAAAAACATCATTCCTGAAAAAAATAAAATTGTTCAGAACCATCTGATCTGTACTAAGGGAACATCAAGATTTCAGAGCTAAAATGCACTTCGTTGGCCACTGGTTCAATTACAGCTCATTACTGATAAGTGGGCAGAGACACAAGGCCCATAAACTGTAGGCGCCAGATGTCTCAAGATAACTCCCACCAAAAGCTGACCTCCTGCAGAGGTTAAAGTGCAAGAGAAAAGAAAGAAACCCGAATTTTTGAGCAGAGAGGGCAATATCCTAGACATCCTTCAAGTATGTGGCTGTCCTGGGCGATCTTCTATTCAGATACTGGACTGGATGGGCAAAATCCGAATTCACCTACAGACCTTAACACGGTGGTTCTCGGCACCCCAGAATCACCTGGGCAGCTTTAAAAACTACCGATGCCAGGGCCCCACTATTAGAGATTCTGATTTCATTGGTCCGGGATGGGGGCCCGGGGATCAGAATTCTTAAAGAGTCGTCCAGTGATTCGGAAGCACTGCAGAGCTGAGAGCCTCTGGGACTGGTCCCCTCTCACAATTAACCTGCAATGATTTAGGAATCTCATGGGCCTCCGGCCCCACCTTTTGTCGCGGGATTAAGATAATTATGAGAGCAACGTGACGTCCAAGACCTCGGCTCTCTGCGCATCAGAAGAAGCCAGGGCCCGGGGCGTCTAAGCTCCTCCCTCACTCCCCAAAGGAAACCCAGCCGTCCCCGAAGTCACCTCGTGGGCGCGCAGCTTGCGGATCCTGGGCGTTGGCCGCGCAGGGGCCTAGTTTTCCTTGGAGAGACAGAGGGGGAGTGGGGGACGCGAGGGAGGCGGCTGTTGCCGGGGCGACTGGAAGCGCGCTTCCGGTGCGGAACACGTGGCGTGGCGCGGCGCGCCGGAAGTCCCCCCCTGTGTCGCGGACGTCACGTTCGCACCGCAGGCGGTGCAGTGCTGGAGGCCGGAAGCTGCCTGCTAATCGGCTACCCCGAGTGGAGCGCCGGGGCGGCAGGCGTGGGATGGCTGCGGGTGGCGGGGCCGGCGGAGAGGGAGCTGCACCGGGCGGGGCACTGGGACTGTGGCGGGCACCCGCGCCGGGGGTCGGACGGTGCTTCTGCACCGGCGAGATAAGGGTCGCTTCTGCACCGCCCGGGTTTCCAGCCTTTAACTTTTTGTCCTTTCCTCAGCTTTCTTCGTTTTCCTTCCCTTGTCTTTACTTAGCCTTTTCTTTCTTCCTTTCTGTTTTCTTTCTTAACTAAAACAGTTTTAGTTTCTTAATTTGTCCCAGCGTAAAACACCCAGTCTTTGAAAATAGATTAACCCAGATCTCAGTTTGAGTGCGAGTCCAGTGCTAAGTTTGTAACTTCCCCAAGCCTCGTGTGTCTCATCTATAAGATATGCATAACCTAATGCAGAGTGCCTGATGCATTGCAGCAGACAAAACATTAGTACTAATATGTTTGTAATTATAACCATCACAGCAATACCTGCCCTGTTAACATTACAAGAGTCATTAACAAGAACCAAGCATAAACAATTAGAAGTCTTACGTGACATATCATTTCTGGGGCAATTACCATATTTAATACTTTCTGGGAATTTATTCCAAGGAAAAACAGGTACGAACCAGATAGATGTTTATTACAGAATTATTTTAAAAAGTGAAAATTGGAAAAGACCTAAATGCCCAACAAGGAAATGGCTAAGTCAATTGGGTGGTATTAATGACGTGACATTACTGTATTATTCCTGGACTACAGAAGAATTAAAATGGTATAGAAGAATATTAACTTTAACAAATATTTACTGGATGCCGGCTATGTGCCAAGTATTCTATGTTAGCGCTGTCCATTGTAACCACTACATGTGGCCCTGAGAACCTGAATTGTAGTAGTCTGAACTGAGATACACTGTAAGGGTAAATTACACTCTAGATTTTGAAGAAGAATGAGAAAAAGAATGTAAAATACCTCAATTTCTTTATAGTGATAACATCTTAGAGAAGGACTATTGAGGTTAAAGACTAAAATTTGATCTTTATCTTTTTACTTTATTAGTGTGGCTACTAGAACATTTAAAATTATATATGTGGCATGCATTGCATTTCTATTGTACCGTGGTATTCTATTTACCGGATACACAGTAGTAAACAATACAGTTTTGGGGCTCATAAAATTAAATCTTTTGTGTAGAACATAGACAATAAGCAGATAAATAGAATTGTATGTTGTGGTGAGTTATATGAAGACAGTATAGCAGGGTAAGGGCCAGAAAGTATGTGTATATAGAGGGGGATTATTTTAGAAAAGATTATTCCTCCACCTCAGAAAATGGATGTGGGAGGAAATGAGATATCTATGGATAGAAGCAGGAGATGGTAGGAGGGTGAAGTCTTATGGGAAAAGTCAGGTGTGGATTGAGACAGATAAGTCAGATGGGGCCTGGTGCAATCTCTACCTCAAGGAAGAAGCCAGCATCTAGAGAGGCAGGAAAGAAAGATGGAGAGGGGTAAGATAGGGAGAAAGAGCTTAGGGGGTTCCTGGGAAAGGCAGAAGGATGCAGGCCTAGAGTGGATATAGTTCAGGTAGAGTGATTCCTGGTTCTATGAATGAAAAAATACAATATATATGGTATACTATGGCATTAGATAGAATATTAGTTGGCTGCTGTCACAGAGACCCAGAAGAGGAGTGGCTCAAACTGTTGAGAAGTGTATTTCTATCTCATGGCAGTCTGGGTGTAAGGAGTCCAGAGTATGGCAGCTCCACCTGTCTCATAGCTCCACCCTCCCTGGTTTCTTGCCTTGGCCCACATGGTCCAAGATGGTGCACCACTGCACCTTTCAGCCAGTGGGAAAGAGAAAGCCAAGGGCATGCCCTTTCCCTCTAAGGATTTCTCCACCTTGGCACTATTCACATTTGGGGTTGGATAATTCTGTGTTTTGGGGGTTGTCCTGTGCATTGTAGGAGTTTTAGTAGCATCTCTGGTCTCTACTCACAAGATGCCAGTACTGTCTCCCAGTTGTGACAGCCAAAAATGTCCTCAGACATTGCCAAATGTCTCCTGGGCTGGGGGAGGAGGGGGCAAAGTCACCCCCAGTTGAGAACCACTGCTTTAAGAGTACTACCCAGAGGCGGCCCACAGCACTTCTGATCACTTCCTACTAATGGCCTGAACTTCATTACTTAGCCCTCCTAAGGGTGCAGGAGCTTGGAATTGTCTTTTTCAGATGGCCAAGTGCCCAGCTAAAAGTTGACTAAAGAAGAAAAGAAACTAGCTGATTCTCCCATACCCTTGTTGCTGCAGGGAATGGAAATTCTGTAGCTGATTGAGGATGTAGTCCTGTTCTTTTCATCTTTAAGTCTGAGTTTTAGTCATTACTCACTTTAACTCACTTGCATAAAAATACTGGTGGTGGGGAACACTAAGCACCTAAGGAGCGACAATCCTATTTGAAAAGAATGGGGATTGTTACTCCAGGGGGTTAACCAGGGAGAGAAACTGAATTTTGAAATGGAGGCTAGAGGAGGTTGGATTTTCACTTGTCATTTGGCGCCACCTGGTGGAAATTTACAAATGGCAATTCCTCAGTATTTAATTTTTCTCAGGCATATGCTTCAAATTTTAAATGGATTATAGCAAAACTTTAAAGAATCCTGTCAGATGAGGAACTCTAAAGCATGACCTCTCACTTTCTGCACTATTGGCATTTGGGGCTGCATAATTCATTGTGGGGACTATTCTGTGCATTGTAGGATATTTAGAAGCATTCTTGGCCTCTGCCCACTGGATGTCCCTCCCTGCCCCCATTTGTGACAATCAAAAATGTTTCCAGCCATTGCCAAATGTCCCTAGGGTGAGGGTGTGGGGAATGGCTCCTGGTTGAGAACCACTCCTTGAAACAAGGCATCTAAAATCCCAGTGCCTGTTAAGGCATAGTAGTCCCCTATCAGTGTATCCTGGTGTGTCTGGAAAGGATGGGGAGGCAGTGCTGGGAGAAAACGGCACCAGATGCAGCAGGACGTGTCCTCTGGTTTACACTTTGGAGAATTTCGCTCCTGTTTATCTCAACCATAGGAGATGAGATTGAGGGAGAGAAGCCAAAAGGCGTGGCTACAGGATGTAGTTTCTTTAAAGGCCCTATGGTAAGGAAATATATAGAGGTTATTACCTAACACAGGAAGTAGCACCGACGAATCTCAAACTCTGTTACTGGGGCCCCAAAGTTCAGGTGCCAGGTGTGGAAATCCTGCCAGCTGTGGGAAGCCATAGCTAATCTCATGGGGCTTTTTGGATCCTCCCCTGTCCCCCAGCTGGGACCCATCTGCCACCTAAGTGTTGTGAAGAAACAGCTTGGGAACCAGTCCCCTTACCTGGATCAAGTAAATGGTGCTAAACCACCTGCAAACAGTAGTCCTGAATTCTTACTTTGAAGTTGGGTAAAGGAAAGAGCAGTTTCCCAGGAGCACCCCCTAGCAGGCCCTCGCTTCAGGTCCGGCTCAGGTCCTCTGCTATAATTTCTCTTTGATTTCACCTTCTCAAGCCCCTGCCTCACCAGCCCCAGACCCTTCGTTTCAGCAGATGACCACTTCCTATTGACACAATTGAGATGACCAGGCATGGATTTCATCACCTTGAAATATATTGCCATCTGCACTCACCATGCCTCTTGGTTTAAAGAGGCATGATGAATGCCTTTGCTTGTGCTTAGGCCAACCCAGTCAAGGGTTGTTCTCTGGATCCAATTCCATGTCCTCACAGGCACCTCACACCCTCAATTGTACACCTCTCGTATCATTGCCTCTCTCTTTCCTGGCTTCTTCCCCATCAGCATCAAACTTACTCAGGTTCTCTGATCTTTAAAATCATTTGGGCTGATTTTTCACTCTCCTCTCCTCACCTTTCTATTTTTCCACCTCTCTTTTTGGTTATACTTCTGTAAAAAGTGAGATACCTTTATTTCCTCACCTACTTTCCACTCATCCCACAGCTGTTTCTCTTCAGGCATGTCCATTCCGGTACAACTGTCTCACTGGCATCATGGCTGACTTTCCATCTACTATATTTTGGCCTCTCTGCAGTATTTAATACTATTGTCCATGCCCTTTTTCTTTAAAATTACAAGATTTTCTCTCCCCAGACTGCAAAGGTAACATGTGCTTAATGCAAAAAAGAAAAATACAATAATAAAAACACAAATCTTGGACAACTGAGGCACTTAAGTACAAAGGAAAACAACAAGAATGGCTTGCAATGCCATTACTTTAAAATAACCACTCTTTAGGATATAACAATTATATATATATATGCACTCAATACTGGAGCATTCAGATATATAAAGCAAATATTATTGGAGCTAAAGAAAGAGATAGGCTCCATTACAATAATAGCTGGAGATTTCAACACCCCACTTTTCAGCATTTGACAGATCTTCCAGACAGAAAATCAACAAGGAAATATCAAACTTAATCTGCACTATAGACCAAATATTTAATAGATATTTAGAGAATATTTTATCCAATAGCTGCAGAAGACACATTTTTTTCCCTCAACACATGGATTATTCTCAAGGATAGACCATATGTTAGGTCATAAAACAAGTCTTAAAGCATTCAAAAAAATTACAATGATATAAAGCATCTTCTCTGACCATAATGGAATAAAACTAGAAATCGATGAAGAATTTTGGAAACTATTCAAATACATGGAAATTAAACAATATGCTCCTGAATGACCAGTGAGTCAATGAAGAAATTAAGAAGGAAATTGAAAAATGTCTTGAAACAAATGAAAATAGAGGAAGAGGCAGTACTTCCAAACTCATTCTATAAGGCCAATATTACCCTGATACCAAAACCAGACAAAGACACATCTAACAACAACACAAAAAGAATACAAAAGCTACAGGCCAATATCCCTGATGAATATTGATGCAAAAATCCTCAACAAAATATTAGCAAACTGAATTCATCAAACACTAGAAAGATCATTCATCATGCTCAAGTGGGATTTATCCCTGGGATGCAACATAGGCAAATCAATCAATGTGATACATCATATCAACAGAATGAAGGACAAAAACCGTATGATTATTTAGATTGATGCTGAAGAAACATTTGATAAAATTCACCATCCTTTCATCCCAAAAAACCTCAAAAGACTCTACCAAAACATTAGAACTGATAAATTCAGTAAAGTAGCAGGATACAAAATCAATATACGAAAATCAGTAGCATTTCTTATGCTAACGGTGAACAAACTGAAAAAGAAATAAAGTGGTCTAATTTACAATAGCCACAAATAAAATTAAATATATAGGAATTAACCAAAAAAGTGAAATGTCTCTTTAATGAAAACTATAAAACACTGATGAAAGAAATTGAAGAGGACACCAAAAAATGGAAACCCATGTTCATGAATTGGAAGAATCAATATCATTAAGATGTTCATACTACCCAAAATGATCTACAGATTCAATGCAATCCCTTTCAAAATACCAATGACATTCTTCACAGAAATAGAGAAAACAAATCATAAAATCTATATGGAACCACGAAACACCCAGAATATCCAAAGCTATCATAAGAAGAAGAAAAAAAAAACTAGAGGAATCACATTACCTGACTTCAAATTATACTACAGAGCTATAGTAACCAAAACAGCTTGGTATTGGCATAAAAACAGACACATAGACCAATGAACAGAGAACCCAGAAAAAAATCTGCATACCTACAGTGAACTCATTTTCGACAAAGGGGGGAAGAACATACACTGGGGAAAAGATAATCTTTTCAATAAATGGTGCTGGGGAAACTGGATGTCCATATGCATAAGAATGAAACTAGACTCCTGTCTCTCTCACCATATACAAAAATCAAATAAAAATGAATTAAATAATTAAGTCTAAGACCTCACACTATGAAGCTACTACAAGAAAACATTTGGGAAACTCTCCAGGACCACATTCTGGGCAAATATTTCTTGAGTAATACCCCACAAACACAAGCAACCAAAGCAAAAATGGACAAGTGGGATCATATCAAATTAAAAAGCTTCTGCACAGCAAAGGAAACAATCAACAACGTGAAGAAACAGTCCACAGAATGGGAGGAAATATTTGCAAACAAATATTTTCCCCTCTGACAAGGGATTAATCAGCAGAATATATAAGGAGCTCAAACAACTCTACAGAAAAAAAACTCTAATAATCTGATTTTTTAAATGGGCAAAACATTTGAATAGACATTTCTCAAAAGAAAACATACAAATGGCAAACAGGCATATGAAAAGGTGCTCAACATCATTGATCATGAGAGAAATGCAAATCAAAACTATAATGAGATATCATCTCACCCCAGTTAAAATGGCTGATATCCAAAAGACAGGCGGTAACAAATGCTGGCAAGGATGTGGAGAAAAGGGAACCCTCATACACTGTTGTTGGGAATGTAAATTAGTATAACCACTATGGAGAACAGTTTGGAGGTTCTTCAAAAACTAAAAATAGAGCTACCATATGATCTAGCAATCCCACTGCTGGGCATATATCCAAAAGAAAGGATATCAACATATCGAAGAGATATCTGCACTCCCATGTTTGTTGCAGCTCTGTTCACAATAGGCAAGATTTGGAAGCAACCTAAGTGTCCATCAACAGATGAATGGATAAAGAAAATGTGGTACATATACACAACCGAGTACTCTTCGGCCATAAAAAAAAAATGAGATTGCAACAACATAGATAGAACTGGAAGTCATTATGTTAAGTGAAATAAGCCAGGAAAAGAAAGACAAACATTGCATATTCTTACTTATTTGTGGGATCTAAACATCAAAATAATTGAACCCATGGAGATAGAAAGTAGAAGGATGATTACAAGAGGCTAGGAAGCATAGTGGGGGGTGATGGGGAGATGGGGGTGGTTAATGGGCACAAAAAATAAAGTGAATGAATAAGGCCTAGTATTTGATAGCACAACAGGGTGACTATAATTCATAATAATTTAATTGTGCATTTTAAATTAAAAGAGGATAATTGGATTGTAACACAAAAGATAAATGCTTGAGAGGATGGATACCCTATCTTTCATTATGTGATAATTACATTGCATGCCTATATCAAAACATTTCATGTATCCCATAAATACATACACCTATTATATTCCCACAATAATTAAAAACAAAACATTTAAAAAATGAAATAACCACTCTTTATATTTAGCGTATGTCCTCCTAGTTTTGTTCATACTAATAAATTTATATACATACATACTACTTTGTCTCTCTTATACACACGTATAAGACCAAATGGTTTCTTATGGATACTATCGTAACTGTTTCCCAGAAAGCCAACTCTTTGATGGAGTTTAGGGTGCAGGATGTTCGGTAAAGAATGACCTTGGCAAAAAACAGATGCTGGTGGGCCTGCGAAAGTGCTTTGGGAGGCTGAGGCGGCCGTATCACCTGAGGTTGGGAGTTGGAGACCAGCCTGGCCAACATGGTGAAACCCCGTCTCTACTAAAAATGCAAAAATTAGCCGGGCGTGGTGGTGCGTGCCTGTAGTTCCAGCTACTCAGGAGGCTGAAGCAGGAGAATCGCTTGAACCCGGGAGGCAGAGGTTGCAGTGAGCCGAGATCGCGCCACTGCACTCCAGCCTGGGAGACAGAGCGAGAATCCGTCTCCCCGCCGCCAAAAAAAAAAAAAAAAAAAAAAAAAAAATAGTGAATGCTTATACACTACTTGTGGGACTGTAAATTAGGTCATCCACCGTGGAAAGCAGTTTGGAGATTTCTCAAAGAAGTGAGAGTTGAACTACTGTTCGACCCAGCAATCCCATTACTGGGTATATACTCAAAGGAAAAGAAATTCTACCAAAAAGACACATGCACCTGTATGTTCATTGCAGTGCTATTCACAATAGCAAAGAAATGGAATTAGCCCAAGTGCCCATCAATGGTGGATTGGATAAAGAAAATGTGGTACATATGCGCCATGGAATACTACACAGCCATAACAAATAATGAAATTATGTCCTTTGCAGAAACATGGATGCAGATGGAGGTGATTATCCTAAGTGAACTAATGCAGGAATGGAAAACCAAATATCACATGTTCTCACTTATAAGTGAGAGCTAAACATTGGACACACATGGACATAAAGATGGGAACAATAGACACCAGGGAATACAAGAGGAGGGAGACATGGAGGGAAGAAAGGATTGAAATACTACCTGTTAGGTACTATGCTCACTTCCTGGGTGATGGTTTCAATTGTACTGCAAACCTCAGCATCATGCAATACACATTTGTAACAAACCTGCGTGTGTACCCCCAAATCTAAAACAAAAGTTGAAAAACAAAACCAAAACACCCCCCCCCAAAAAAAAGAATGACCTCAGACCAACACCTATGAAAGGGAAAGGAAAGCACGAGATTGGATAGAACAGGGTTTTTCAACTGTGGCATAGAGACATTTCAGACTAGGTGTAACACTTTGTTGTGGGGCTGTCCTGTGCACTATGGGATGCATAGCAGTATCCCTGGGCTCTACCCACTAGATGCCAGTAGCACACATACACACCTCCCTCCCCTTCAGTTGTGATGACCAAAAGTGTTTTCAGACATTGCAAAATATGCTGGTGGTGGGGAAGGAGGGGATAGCAAATTGCCCTCAGTTGAAAACCACTGGGGTAGAGAGAAGGGCTGAGCTTGAATGTGTGCCTAACAACTGTGGTAAACCCCAGGGGATTTAGGGAGCCAGAATGGCCCTTCTGAGTTGTAGAAAGTTGGGCTGATATGGTGGGCACTTTTTTCTCCAGCATGGATCAGTCATTGGATGTGGGCTCCTGAAAAGGGGTGTGACATTGCGTAAGGAGGCTCTCTGTGACTGGAGCCGCAAGTTCCTCATTGAAGGGGAATCTGGAACATCCCAGTGTTCATGGCATGTGCTACTCTGCAGTTGTTCATTTACTTCTCACCATTTTCCATTTAATAATAAAATTCTTGAGAATTGAGACCACATATTATTTTGTTGTGTATCATTGAAATCCAGTATGCTACATGGGAATAAATATTTTTAAATAATGAAACGAAATGAGACAATAATTGGGTGGATATTTGTAAACTTAAATATGATAATAAATGGTTTCATTATGCATTTTATTGAGATATGAGAAACTTTCAAGAGATTTATCCATATTTATATTTAGTTATGAGTTCTTTTTTGAGAAGTAACAATTTACTCAGCTGACAGCACTAAACAGTACTGAGCTAATCTTTAACAATGTTTTGATTTCTGTAAATGAGATTATCAGTAATTTAAAAAGAGGATTAGGAAGTTTGTGTGGGATAGAACCAACTAATTGCTGAAATATACACAGAATTCAAGTATTGAAAAGTTTTACTTTAAAAAGATGTGATTATAAAGCATTGTTTCCTATGTATAGCCCTGTAAAATAATACCCATGTGCATCCGGCAGAGGGCACAATTGTACAAAGTATTGGAGAAATGCTTTTAAAAGGAAGTGCATTAATCTCTCAGTCATAGGCTGTAGTGACACATGTCAGTCACATGTAAATGACTCTATACATCTAAAATTCAATAGTGTATTGTTTTTAGATGATATTTCACTACTGCGTTTCCAGCTCTATTCTTTCACATTGTTTTTAAAGTTACTACATCTTCAACAAAATCCGAATTAGGTTAAAATTAATCTCTAAATAATTTTCATTTCAACTGGCTAAAATAATTTGAGGCCAACAATGTGTAAGGCTTTTTTAGAGCATAATTTTACGTATGTTATGTTTTCTGTCCTCACAAGATATTTTATGGGTCATTGACATAGAAGCACAACTACATATACTGTGCAGAATCACCCTTCTACATTAAGAAAAAAAATCAGGTCCTGTCCCTGTATACTGTCAGATTTTTCTTGGCATGGATCTTGTACATGATGAGCTTGCACGGTGAAATGGATGAATCCCTGTCCGAGGGATGGAAGGTCTGTCTTTGTCCCTTCCTGGTTGTGTCACTACTTCTCAGAGCCTGCCTATCTTCATCTGTTAGTAGAGGAACAATGATGCCCACGGGGCCCTCTTCACACATGGGTGTTGTGAGTTCATGGTTTAAGAGCCATGATATCCACTCATTAGATGCATGTGCCATAGGACAGGAGTAACTGAGTAACTGAAGCAACAGCAGGCGTCAAGAAGTGTCCACTGGACGGTGGTCAGATTCTCTAGTTTTCCCTCTGCTAAGAGTTTGACTGAATGAATCTCTGGGTTCTTGGGCAATTCAGGGAAGTGGGGGAGAGTCAAGTGAGGAGTTAAATTTCTGCTAATCTGGGGAGGAGGGCTTTGACTGGTATTACAACCTCATTTTCACCACAACCTCGTAAAGCAAGTCACTGTTCAAATACATTTCTTAATTTAGATATATTTCTAATTTCACTTTGGTGAATTTATTGTTTGATAGTAATCCAAAACTACACAAGGACAGAATAGCTGTATATGTGAAGGTGTTTATTGCAGTATTGTTTATTGATAATTGGTAAAATTGAAAGCAATTTAGGAACATGGACTATTAGGCAGCCATCAAAATGAAAATTATGAATATTATATAGGCACATGGAAAGTATGTGATGAATGATAAGTCAAGTCAAAGCAAAATAAATCATATATTATGCTAATAGCTATGTAAAAGTTGAGAATATATGTGGTTGGGGAACAATGGCAAGAAAGATGGAATGGTAATAACTTCTAACCTGTCCAGGAGTTAGTAGCAGTCTTTGTGTGTGTGTCTCTCTCTTTCCCTCCTAAATCACATTATTGCGGTTATAGTATATTTGTAGAATGAGACACTTCTAAAGAGATTTTTCGTGCTTTGTTTGAAATACAGTAATGCCCAATTTGTCCAGTCTGTTAGGAAAGAAGTGGCCTATTTAAATGACTTATGAATCTTCTTTTCCCCATTAACTGATGTTTACTCCTCTAAACACAAAAACAACAACAACAAAACCATTTTGACTAGAAATCTTTCTAAAATCTATTGTGTACTTTCCTGTCTTCTCCAACAGTTTCCTGAGCACATTTTATTCTTGTCTTTATATCTCAGGCTTACCATGATGAATGTCAATTTCTCTCCCACACTAGAATGCAATGAGCAATACAAATATAGGGTTATTTGCCTCTACATGGCATGATCAAATCTCTTTTGAGTTTTGATTCCTTGGTTCTTATTTTTACATGTTTTCTTTTTTTGTTGTTTGTTCTTTTTCTCACTTTTAGTCTATCAGGTGTCATTTTAATGATTGTCAGTGTTCCAGCCTTTGGCAACCTATCCTTCCTAACCTGCCAACAAATTTGCTGCTTCTAACATGCCTTGTTAGGAAAATCACACAAACGAATTGACTAGAATTATGTGCAGAGAGCTCCAAAAGGTGTTCCATCTTATGTAAGTGTTTGGACAGTGGAGACATGGTGATACCTGTTTTGGTTGTTCAGAGATATTTTGCTTACTTCTCAGCTCTTGGCTGTTTTCTGGATGCGTTGAGGTCTCAGGGAGATGGCCTGTGTACAACAGACATGTTGCTTCAGGGAAAATAGAATACTGACTCACAGAAACAAAGCATAGTAGTCATAAATCCAGTTAACACCAACAAATCAATGGAAACTGAAAGCAGAGTCAAGAAATCAATAGTTATAAAAAAAAAACCCACACTTGGATTTGCTCCATTCTGTTTCCATGACACTTCATCCATTCCATTCATAGACTTCATCCTGGGACAAATTTACCTCCAGTTGAGAAAGAAGCAATGGAATGAGGAAAAGAAGAAATGATAAAAGATAAATTAGAGAATCATAATTTATGGAATTCAAGGATCTTTTCCTTCAGCCAATCAATAAATAGCCCATATTTCAAATATATAAGACATATTTTGAATGTGTAAAGCAGGTTGCTAGGTGCTGTGGAGACTCAAAAGAAGGATGTATTTATGCTCCCTACCCTCACTCATTTTTAATTAAAAAAATTTTTTTGAGATAGAGTCTTGCTGTGTCACCCAGGCTGGAGTGTAGTGGCATGATTACGGCTCACTGCAGCCTCGAACTCCTAGGGTCAAGTGATCCTCCCACCTCAGCCTCCCAAGTAGCTGGGACCACAGGCATACACCACTACGCCCAGCTAATTTTTGCATTTTTGGTAGAGATGAGTTTTTGCCATGTTTCCCAGGCTGGTATCGAACTTCTGGGCTCAAGCAATCTGCCCACCTTGGCCTCTAAAAGTGTTGGGATTACAGTCATGAGCCACCATGCCTGCCTGGCCTATTTATTTATTTAGAGATAAGCTCTTACTCTTTTGCCCAGGCTGGAGGGCAGTGGCACAATTACAACTCACTGGAGCCTTTTTTTTTCCTTCCTACAAAAGAATTAAAAATAGGAGTAGAGTGGACCCTCTGTGCAATTAAAAATTAATTAATTTAATTTCACTAAATTGTACATTAACTCTGTGAATATAGGTGTTATATAAATTCAGGCATTTCTGCTACCCAGGGTGAGTGCTATTTTCTTTTAGTTCTGCTGTCTAAAATAAGACTCCAGTTCAACCTTAGCCACAGTGGATGTGTGGGTATTTTATTGAAGAGAGTTTATACTATAATTTGTTGAGCTTCACCCTGCTCTTGAAAGTATTTATGCACTTCCAGGGCTTGGGAAAATTTATTACACTTCCAAGCCTTCTCTTTCTTCCAAAAAACAAAAAAAATACCCAACAAAATTTGCAGTAACCACAAAACGAATAAGCAAACCCACCTCCTAATCTTCAGAATGGTGGTTGGAAGATAACTTGTAATGGGACATAATTTTTGGTTTCTATTGCTTAATTCTCAAGAACCTTACAGATTCCAAGGATCAATGTATAAAAAGTCATCTACACTTTGTAGGGGAGAAGGAGTGTCTTTCCTCACTCATTATAAGGTTCATGACTATAGGGGAGAAAATATAATTTCTTATTTTTACCCCTCTCTTAGTTGAGACACTCCTGAAAACGAAAGTCACGTTAACAAGAGAAAAACCAGCAGAAGTTTATTGACACGTGCTGTACCCATCACTTGGGAGAGGCCTCTGTTCAAAAGTATTTCTCTCTTAAGGCAGTGGCTTAGGGGACTTGCTTAAATAGTATTTCAACAAACAGCCTTAAATCCTATAGTGACAAGACAAAGAAGAGAGCATTTTCAGGCTTCCAAAAGGTGGGCAAATGTGGGAAGGTAAACTTATGGGAAGAGTCAAGTTTGTTCCTAGGTCCTCTGGCACTGTTATCTCTCAGCTGATGAGCAAGTGTAGGCAGGAAAAGTCAGGGAGGAGGACAGGAAGACCTTTGTCTTTGTAAATTGCTCTCCTGTCATCAGGCAGGCAGAGGGAGGGGCAGAGTGTCCTCTGGTGTTTTAACCTTCTTCAGGTCAATAGTCCTCAGTGTTTTAGACAGAAATATTTTGGGTTCCTTCATGGCTGAAACCCCAATAACAAATGACAGATTAAAAAGAGAAAAGCATAGCAAGTTTACTCAATATAAATTTTACATAACACAGGAAGCTTCAGAAATGAAAACCCAGAGACTAAGGGAAAACCATATTTTTGTGGACAGTCATGCAGAAGTGTGATTGGAGGACAAAATAATATGACATAGTGGTAGTAAATTTGGGGGAACTTAGCAAGGCCTGTTTGTTCAGATTCTTTTTGGCCTCTCTGTGTAACATTTCTTTCCTCTAGGTATAGGGCAGGACACCTGTCATATGAGGGTCTTCAGGGGAGAAAGGAAGGAGAGGGTCAGAGACTGACCTTCCTAGATTCTATGGCCTGTTTCAGGGGAGAATGGTGGGAGAAGATGAGAGAGACCTTCCTGCTTCTGCCATTTTCTCAATTGCCAAGCTACTGTATTTTGGGGTATTGTGTTCTGAGCCTGTCAGCTTAGATTAATGTTTGAGAAGTGACCATTTTGTAATAATCAATGCTAATCACTGGACAAATTATTGTACAGTGTAATTAGAAATGATCATCAACACTGGATAAATTATCTGAATGTTCATACTGTTTTATTGCTTGCCATGTGCAGGCATAGACTGTCTATGGAAGGAAAGGGAGTATATTTGGAGTGAATAACAGTGTTGTCT
This sequence comes from Homo sapiens, assembly GCF_000001405.40. Taxonomy (NCBI): domain Eukaryota; kingdom Metazoa; phylum Chordata; class Mammalia; order Primates; family Hominidae; genus Homo; species Homo sapiens. The sequence goes on from NC_000023.11 coordinate 14,044,203, forward strand.
ACATTAGGCTAGATTTGCTGGTCATTGTTATAGAAAGCCATTTAAGCAAATGTTATCACTTCCGTAGTTTGACGGCTACAGTAATGAAAACCTAAGGTGTCTTATTGTTATCTGAACATATTACATATTAGAAATGAATGTATCTATTGAATTCTGAATTATTCATGGTAGTAGTGACAAGGTTAATGTTTAGAAAAATTACTTAATCACACATATTGGAATAAGCCAAAATAAAGTGTTTAGAGTCTTGAAACCATTCCAAAATCACATTTTACCCAATAACTGAAAAAATATTCTTCCATCACACTTTGAAAGCACTGTGAATAATCATGAAATAACAGTACCCTTTCAAATTTTGGCTAATTTTTTGTTGGAAATGATGATGGGGGACAAGATGGTCCAAAGGTTAGGAACTAGAGAATACTTTCTCTTCTGGCTATATGATCCTATAAACATCTACAAATTTGGTGATCAGTAGCTCAGTGAATGTTAAGGGTAATGTACGCTCTCAATTTATTAGGTATCCATTGGTTTTCTATTAAACTAAATGTATGTAATCAATTTAATATGCATGATTGATAAGACCCATAGAAATAAAATACTAGTTGAATCCTTTACAGCAGTGGTTCTTAGCTTTGAATTCATATTGGAAACACTTGAACAGCTTTTAAAAATCCCAAACCCAGGTCACATTCCAGACCAATTAAACTAGAATCTCTTGGGGATGAGGCCCAGATATCCGTACTTTTAAAGCTCACTAGATAGTTCTAATATGTAGCCAACTTTGAGAAATACTACTTTATAGAACATCTCTGCTTACTCTTAGTTAAGTTTAAGTATTTCAGGGACTCTTTCTTTAACAATCATTAACAGTCTTTTTCTTAAACAGTCTTTAGGGACTGTTTCTGTTTCTTTTTCTTTAAATGGAAGCAAATCATTCCAAAATAATAGTTTATTTGTTTTATTTTATTCCTATCTGTTTTTTTTTGCTCTTGTTTCATTTTGTTTTATTTTTGCCAAGTTGATCAATATAGCATAATGGCATATGGAGTCAGGTCATTCTCAGTTTGAATGCAGATTGGGCTATTTACCAGTTGTCATAGATTGGCAATGTATTTAATCTCTAAGCAAGTTTCCCCCTGCCCCATCTATAGCAGTATTTCTCAACTGGAGGCAATTTTTTCCCACCAGGAGACATTTGTCAATGTTGGAGATGTTTTTGATTGTTACTGCTGGGGAGTTGTTTTTGACATCTACTGGGTAGAGGCCAGGGATGCTGCTCAACATCCTACAATGCACAGGACAGAGCCATAGCAAAGAATTATCTGGCTCCAAAAGTCACTAGTGCTGAGGTAAAGGAACCCTGATCTACAGAGTGAGGCTCTAGAGTCTGACTGCATTCAAAGTCTTATTTCTCTACTTCCTAACTGTGTAATCTTGAGCAATTTACTGAATGTATTCTTGCCTGAATCCCATGTGAAAATGCAGATATTATTAGCACCCACTTTGGAGTTGATGGGAGGTTTAAATGGGATAATGCATTTGGAGCATTAATACAGTGCAAATTATTACCACAATATGTGTCTTTCTGTTCTGGGGCATTTATGGCCTTTTGTCAGTATCCCTGAGATAATTTGTTTGATATATCTCTTGATAATCTGAGTTCATATTCCGTGGTTCAGTGGGAGAAGAGAAAAAGGGGTTGGAGGCTGGAGTTGTCTTTGAACATGTACATGCTTTCAATTTTAAGTGGGAATTCAGAGGAGATAGTTACACAGCACACTGTTAAATTCCTTCTCCCACTTTTCACTTTCCTCCCCCAGCTCACCACTAGCTTGACAATTGTATTGGGTTGGAGTATTCAAATAAAAAGCTTGTATTCAGCCAAATAAAAGTCAAAGAGATTCTTTTAAGTACAGGTTCTAAGGGAAAGTGCTTAACAGCAATGAGCACAGTTTATTTATTTATTATTTTATTATTATTTTTGAAAGCTCTAGGGTACACGTGCATGATGTGCAGATTTGTTACATAGGTAAACATGTGCCATGGTGGTTTGCTGTACCTATCAACCCATCACCTAGATATTAAGCCCAGCATGCATTAGCTCTTTTCCCTAATGCTCTCGGCCCCATGCCCCGACAGGCCCCAGTGTATTGTTCTCCTCCCTGTGTCCATGTGTCCTCATTGTTCAGCTCCCACTTATAAGTGAGAATATGTGGTGCTTGGTTTTCTGATTAACACGGTTTATTTGTAAACTTTATATTTATTATTAACAAGAAGCAGATAGCAACAGGAGTTTGAAATTCGGGGAAAAAAAAGCTCTGTGTTGGAAATAGAAATCTGGGACTTACTACTACAGAAGGAGTCAAAGTTATGGGAAAGAATGAGATTTCAAGGGAGACTGTAGGGAGAAGAGAGAAGAGGGCTCAGGATGTAATGTGAGAAATAAAGCTCAGCTAATAGTTAGTGCAAACCTACTGTGTGCTTGCCGGTCACCTTTCTAATCTATTATACTACATTTGGCTTTTAGGGAGAGTCACCTCCTATTCACAGTCCTCATCCCCAAGTGTTCTGAATCTGGCTTGAAACTAATAAATGAATCTTTACTGAAGACAATATGGAATGCTCACAAAATTAGGTAGAAAATTCCTATGTCGATTGCTGTCCATGAATCAGATTCATTTTTAATTTTTGTCATTATAATTATATAATCATATCACACAATTTGAATTTTTCTCTATGCATATGCTTTCCTGTACTCATAGTGTGCACAAAACTATGCATGTTTTTATAACAACTTTATTGAGGTATAACTCACATACCATATAGTTCACCAATTTAAAATACACAATTCAATAGTTTTTAGTATGGCTTCAAAATGTCTCTTCAAATGGCTATATCATAATTTGCTAGGTCTTTCTTCTATGTGGGGATATTTAAGTTGTTTCTAATTTTTTACCACTATAAGTAGATTTTTCTGCATGTAGATTTTAAAATATTTGGATTATTTTATTTTTAAAACTTTTTATTCTTTAATTGATACATTATAATTGTACATATTTGTGATGTACAATTTGATGCTTTGATATATGTACAGATTGTATAATGTTCAAAGCAGGGTAGCTAGCATATCTATCACCCCATGCATATATCATTTCTTTGTGGTGAGAACATTAAAAAATCTCTCTTCTAATTTGTAATATACAATACTTTGCCATTGACCATAGTCACCCTACTGTGTAATACAACACCAGAACTTATCCCTGTTGCCTAATTTTAACTTTGTACACACTGACCAACCTCTCCTCATCCTGCCCTTCCCCATTCCCTCCCCAGTTTCTGATATAAACACTGTTCTTCTCTCTACTTCTATGAGATCACTTTTTCTTAGATTCCACATAACAGTGAGATCATGTGGTATTTGTCATTCTGTGTCTGGCTCATTTCATGTATTAATATGATATCCTCCAGGTTTGTCCATTTTGTCTCAAATGACAGAATATCACTCTTTTTAATGGCTGAATACTATTCTATTGTGTAGATATATCACATTTTCCTTATCCATTCATCTGTTTTTGGACATTTAGGTTGATTCCAAGTCTTGGCTGTTATGGATAGTGCTGCAGTAAACATGGGAGTGCAGATATCTCTTTGATGTACTGATTTCATTTCCTTTGGATATATATCCAGTAGTGGGATTGCTGGATTATACAGTAGTTCTATTTCTAACTTTTTGAGGAGCCACCATACTGTTTTCCATAATGACTCTACTAATTTACATTCCCACCAGCACTGTGTAAGGGTTCCCTTTTCTCCATATCCTTGCCAAGAGTGGTTTTCTTTCATCTTTTTGAAAATAGCCATTCTAATTAGAGTGAGGTCACATTTCATTGTGGTTTTCATTTGCATTTCCCTGATGATTAGTGATGCTGAGCATTTTTTCATATACCTGTTGGTCATTTGTATGTTTTCTTTTGAGAAATGTCTGTTAAGGTCTTTTGCCCATTTAAAAATCAGATTATGTTTTTGTTTGCTGTTGTTTAAGTTCCTTATATATTGTGGACATTAGCCCCTTGTGAGATGTATAGTTTGCAAATATTTTCTCCCATTCTATAGGTTGTCTCTTCACTCTGTTGTTTCTGTTGCTGTGGAAAAGCTTCTTAGTTTGACAAACATACAAAAATCAGTAGCATTTCTGTATGCTGATAGTAAATGATTTGAAAAAGAAATCAAGAAAACAATTATATTTAGCATAGTTATAAAATGTACATAGGAATAAACTTAACTGAAGAGGTGAAAGATTTCTACATCAAAAGTATAAAACACTGAAAGAAATTGAAGATGACACAAATAAATGAAAAGATAGCTCATGTTTATGGATGGGAAAAATTGATATTGTTAAAATGGTCTTACCACCCAAAGCAATCTACAGATTTAATATAATCCCTATCAAAATACCAATGATCTTTTTCACAGAAATAGAACAAAATGATCCAAAAATTCATGGGAAACCACGAAAGACCCCCAAATAGCCAAAGCAATCTTAAGCAAAAAGAACAAAGCTGGAGGCATCACACTACCTGACTTCAAAATATACTACAAAGCTGTGGTAACCAAAACAGCATGGTACTGGCATAAAAATAAACACATGGACAAATGAAACACAACAGAAAGTCCAGAAATAAATCCATGCACTTATGACCAAACTGATTTTTGATAATGGTGACAAGAACACACACTGGGGAAAGAATAGTCTCTTCAAAAGATGGTACTAGAAAAGCTGGATATCCACATGCAGAAGGATGAGACTAGATCCCTACCTCTTTTACCATACACAAAAATTAACTCAAAATGGATTAAAGACTTACATGTAAAACCAGAAACTATGAAACGACTAGAAGAAAACGTTGGGAAACATTTGATGACAATGAGCTGGGCAAGGATTTTTAGTTAAGACCTCAAAAGCACAGGCAACAAAAGCAAAAATTAGATAAATGGATTATTTTTAAAGCCACATTCAAGATCTATTTTGAAGTCTTTCTTTGTCCATGAAGAATGCATAAAGGAATGTGCAACTGGAAAATTTTGTGTAATGGAGAAACTTGTAAAATGGATTAATAATTATCATTAAAGGATTAAACTGGGAGAAAGCTCCCCAAAAGAGAATTTCAAACAGGCAGTGAACACTAGTTTGGCTACCTAACCCATCTTTGAGTGGAGATGAATAGCTTCTCCCTGCCTTCACTTGAATAAAACTAAACTTAGGTGTATGCCAATATTCACTATTAAGATGGTACACTTACATTTATTATTACCTAAACATGGATTTGTATTGTATGAAAGCCAGATAATATAAGCAAAAGGAAGGAAAGAAAAATCTCTTTCTGGGTTTGAGACCAGCCTGCTCAACAAAGGGAGCGAGACCCTGTTTCAAAAAATATGTATAAATAAAAATAAAAGAAAAATCCCCTCCTGGGAATGAGAAAATCATTGCCATTTTCTTATTTTTTTTGTTTTATTATTTATTTATTTTAACTTTTATTTTAGGTTCAGGGAATATGTGCAGTTTGTTATGTAGGTAAGCTACGTGTCATGGGGGTTTGGTGTACAGATTATTTAGTCACCCAGGTAATCAGCATAGTAGTATTTTGATCCTCACCCTCCTCCCACCTTCCACCTATGGACAGTTTGAATAAATGCCACATGAGCTCTGAAACTGCTGGGGTTTCTCCAAGGAAATCCCCTTAGAGAAAAGTAACATCTTCTATTTCATTTGGTCTTCTAGTTAGTTTAGATGTATTTAAGAGCAAAATTCATACAAATACGTGGAAGAAAGTTTCAGTGGGCTCTTCCACTTACTTCAGAAAATTGATTTAAAATAGGATTGATGTTAATTCCCAAGGCATTAATTAGACAGCTTGTAGGGTCCATCTTCTGCTAATTTCAATAATTTCCCTAAATTTTGCTTTATCTCTTTCATATGCAGAGATGTTCTCCTAAACTAATTTGATCAACACAAAAGAGATTTTATTTTCCTGGAAAAAAATCCAGCCCTTTAAAAAAATCATTGAATGTCAAATTATGAATACAGGACTACTTCTACACATTTATAATTCACATTCAAACATTTATTGAGCACCTACTGCATATAAGGCAAGATTATGGCATGATGAACTCAATTACAAAATTGGCAGGGTGCTAGAGAGAAAGGCTGATCCTGAAGCAGGAAAGTTATAAACAGAAAAGGATCCGTTGCTTAGGAACTTTCAAACTGAAGATTTTCTAGACTCTAGCTTTATTTTTGTTTCCCTTTTTAGAAAGCAGAGATGAAACCCAAACCTGGAGGTGGGAAAGGGCTCTGCGGGCTTTTGCACCGTGCTGGAGAGGAGGTGCAGGAGAGAGAGAGAGGCAGAATTCTCTCGCCTTGCAGTTTTGCCCTGATATCTGCAGGGCTGCAACTGCACCTAGGCACGTATTTACAAATCTGTCTTCCCTTTAGAATCTCTTGTGGGTCTTTAGAAAAATGCAAATAGCTCGATCCCAAGTCCTAAGACTGTGACTCAGTTGGTGGGTGAGGAGCCTGGGAGTCTGTATTTTTGCAAAGCTTTCTTAGTCACTGCTTACAGAGGTTTGAGAATCTCTATAGTACAGTCATTCCACTTAAGTCAGTGGTGCCTGTCTTACTGCTGCACATCAGAATCATCTGGTGTGTGTTAAAAATGCTGTTGCCTGGATCCCAACCCTATACATTCCCATGTCATTGGTTTTCAGTGTGCCTAAGCATCTGGATTTTTCCCACCTTCCCAGGGGACAGCAATGTACAGCCACACTGAGACCATTGGCTTAAAGGCATTCAATCCTGATGAATCATCTCTCTTGCTATCAAAGCTTAAAATGAAGAAATGGTGGCAGTTTGAATAACTGAATCAGAGAATTCAGTACAATTCAAAGATCAGAAGAAAGGATTCAGTGAGAACTGTTACAGAGGGAGTGGACTGGGGCATCATCACCAAGGTAACACCATTAACAGCACTTTTTCTTTGAGACAGTCGGACTTTATCATTGAAAGGTTAGCCAGGATTGGGGAGTGTGGTGGGTGAATGGGAAACACCAACACTCTTTAAAAGACTTGCTGCTTCTTCAGGTTCATAAATTGGTCTGTGCCTTGATTATGAAATAAGGCCTTTGTTTCTGGAGGATAAGCAGTCTCAATGGGCCTCCAGGGCAGGTAGAAACCTTGGCAGAGTATGGTCTGAGGACTTCTTCATCTGAAGGCAGGACACTGTGCAGCCTAAGAGGCGGCCTTCACACAGACAGCAGAGATTATCGGCTGACTTGTTCATAGACTCCATACTTGTAATTGGACAGTGTATTTCTTTTCATTTAGAAATGGCACAGCAGATGGCAGTCCAACATAAAAAGAAGGAGAGGGATATGTCACCATCTTCAGCAGTGGCACATGGACAAGAGATAGCAGCGTCTGGGAACCACACGGCTACTGTGGAAGTGTCACTGTCCAATAGAACTTTCCAGGTTGGTAGAACTGCTCTACATCTGCACTGTCCAGTACAATGGCCACTAGACACAAGAGCACTCGAGCACTTGAAATGAGGTAATGAGAATGAATAACTGAAATTTTAATTTTATTCAATTTTAATTAAGTACAATTTAAATTTGAGTGGTCACATGAGGCTGGTGGCTTCTATATTGAACAAGCAGCTCTCAAGAACAAACCTTACAGGGTTAGTTTCTAGACACCTCCAAGCCTTGGTTCCCTCATCTGTATTTCTTGTGTGCTGGCACCAGAATTCCTGTTAGAGATGGAACTGTCCTTGTTTGAAAAAATATCTCAATAGGTAATTTGGCCATCAAAACCAAGCCTTCAGAGAAGGGTCTGGAGAAGAAATGCAGAACTCAAGAAGGACCAAGTCATTTTCTATAAGAAATTATATGGGAGAAATTATTCATTTGTTGTTGGCTCTGAGTGAGGAGGAGTAAGGGAATAAAGGGAAAGAAGAGCCAGTAAGAAAGTTTGGGGGCTACATGGAATGTTGGGGGTGGCAAAAGGACTCTTAGGAATAGGGAGAGCTAATATTAGTTTTCAGTTACTTGTATTACTGTTGTGAACCCATGCTGTTTTTCCAAACCTTGGGTCAAGTTTGCTGTAAACATAAATGTCTTGGTTGGGTGTGTGTGTGTGTGTGTGTGTGTGTGTGTGTGTGTGTGTGTGTATTAAGTAAAGGGAATAAGCCTAATGTTTAGACTACAATGGAATGGAAAAGGGAAAACATGGAGTGATTAGACAGTTAATAAGCTAAACAAATTCAGTAAAGCAGGAGCTAAGAGGCAGAGGAAACCATGATAAAGTAAGCCCTTAAGAAAGTTGTAGCTAACATTTGTTTTTCATAAAATGGGGGTTCACTTCAAACTCATATAAATCTCAAAAGCAAGGGTCAGTACAGCTAATACTTGTATGTAAACTGGAGACAGTAATACCTACTTGAAGGATCGTTGTGAAGATAAAATGAGATAATGCTTGTGAAGGGCTTATACATAGTAAGAGCTTAATAAAGCTTTAGTTTTATGGTTTTAAAATGAATATATGGCTGATCCTTGAACAACATGAGGGTTAGGGCACCAACCCCCACCTGCAGTCAAAATTTCATGTATAACTTTTGCCTCCCCCAAAACTTAACTACTAATAGCCTACTGTTGATTGGAAGCCTCACTGATAACATGAACTGTTGATTAACATATATTTTGTATGTTATACATATTACATACTGTATTCTTACAATAAAGTAAACTAGAGAAAAGAAAACTGTTAAAAATCATAAGGAAGAGAAAATATTTTTACTATTCATTAAGTGGAAGTGGATCATCACAAAGGTCTTCATCCTTGTCTTCACATTGAGTAAGCTGAGGAGGAAGAGGGAGAGGAGGGGTTGGTCTTGCTGTCTCAGGGGTGGCAGAGACAGAAGAAGATCCACAAATAAGTGGACCCTTGCAGTTCAAATCCATGTTGTTCAAGGGTCTATTGTAATACTCTTCCTTTTTTTTTTTTTGAAGATTAAGTAAAGTAACATGTGACGCTCCTGATTCACAGTGAGCATTCCCCAAATGCCATATTTTTTTCCTTCTTAGGAAGGGAATCTTCTTCTAGACCCTATTGGAGCTATATCATTTTACACTGTAAACCCAGACGGGCCCCAGAAAATTCTTGGGACATATGAGGTCTTTCCTTCTTCCCCTTCTCTGTATGGCATATGGGTATCACCTCTAGGAACAGTGAACTGACATGCAGCAGTACAGCACTTATATTAGCCTGCTGTTTATAATATCTAGGCTCGTCTTTCATCTTTATCCATAATCATGTCTCAGTTTTTTTTCTCTCTCTTATAACTCACATGGGCTTATTGCTCTACACTTATGAGCCCCACTTTTATAAATTTTAACCAATTTGGGGGTCTTGTTTACCCAATCATTTGTCCTTGTTTCTTCTGCCAGTGGCCTGTATTTCCATTTGTTGTCATTACTTCTGCTTTTCAAGTACCATGAATTGCCTATTCAGTACATTCTACCTTTGGCAAAAATACGTTATTTGCACCTTTTTTTTTTGCGTGTTTCTTATTTATTCTAGCCTATGTTTTGTTGTCAAGCCAGTACCTGAAGATCATTCTTGTACATAAGAATGAACCTATTCGTGAGAGTAGGATAGAAAAATTCCTAGAATTATAGGGCTTTGACTATAGCTTCTTAAAAAAGTTCAGAGTGTATGGGATACTCTAGTGGCCACAAGACAGATGTCTGATTTTCCTCATGGATAGCATGATTACTTAAAGTTTGAAGATTCAAATTAAAAGTGTTTTATTCATCCCTGATACTACCTTGCCTTAAATTCAGCTATTTTACCTTTGGGTGGTGGTGGTGGTGTTTGGTCCAAGCCACTCATCCATGTATGTGGCTAATTGAAAGTGTGCTGATTGAAATAAAGATAAACATGACTTCTGTCCCTCAAAATGTATGTTTCTTATTAAAAAGCTTAGAGTAAGCACCATGATATAATTTATCACATTTATTACTTGTATTTTCAGCCAGCACTTCTATCCAAGCAATGGAGAGCTGCAGTGGGATCTTTGCAGATTTGGTACTGAGTATTTAATGATTTGAGGCCTGGGAAATCTTGTATTTTCCAGTATGTGTAGCTTTTTAATACAGGGGCTCAGGTGTCCTGAGTAAAGACAATCACAGCTCCACTTCTGAACCCCCAATAGCAGAATGATAATGCAGGAAAATCTGTGTCCCACATTCAAATGACTAAAGAGAAACCTCATTTTGTAGTCATTTCATTTCAGCTGTTTACTCTCCATGGTGAATAATAAACACAAGCACAAACTGTGAAGGAATATATTTTTTTCCAGGAGATGGAATTGCCTAGAAAACTCTGAATTAAAAAAAAAACCTGAATATAAATCTTGTCAGAACTGATAACTAATGCTTGAAATCTTTACTGTAAGTTGTGAGCGTTGCCAAACAGTATATTAGGAAAAGCACCTCAGTTTGTTTCTGAATAGATAGGGTGTTTATCTGTCAGTATTATGTATGAAGAGGTCCCCCACAGACTTAACACATTCTGTCAAGCTCTCTTGTTTTACTGTGTTTGTAAGTCATAGAGCGCGCTTGAAATATCAAGTAATGGTGAGCTCTGATGTGTGGTTAGGAGTTGCTATTAATGTCAATTTCTTCCTACACTTTTACCTAGAGCTCCCATAAGGCAAACACTTGTGGGTAAAGGGAAGACATGCTAAGAAATGGGAAAATACCTGAAAGATGCATAGAGCTTTTAATTTTTTGAGGGAGGGGTTCTCTTTAGAACCTGAGTCATAGTTTTTGAATATCCTTAAGGTTGGTATATCAGCCAAAGTACATTCAGAAGGCAGAAATCACACAAAAGTTATTTGTCTCAGTGGAATAGTTTGTAAAGTTCTGAATTTTCACGGAGGTCACTTAATATTTTCTTGCCATCTCTATGGTGCTGCAAACCAGACTATCATCATAATCTTCTAAGAAAACTAAAGTTAGGTATTTTAGTATTTTCCACAATTCTGACACAAATGTAGTAAGTTTATCTGAAACATTATGTTTTTTATACTTCAAAAATTTTTAAATTTTGTTTATAATTGATGCATAATTGTACATGTTTATAGGGTAAGTGTGATATTTCAGTACATGCGTATATTGTATAATAGTTAAATTAGGGCAGTTAGCATGCCCATTACCACAAACCTTTATCATTTCTTTGTGGTGGTAACTTTTAAGATACTCTTTTCTAGCTATCTTGAAATATATAATATATTGTTATTAGCTGCTAATCACCATGCTATGTAGTAGAACAACAGAACTTATTCTTCCTTTCTAACTGAAACTTCGTACCTGTTGACCAACCTCTTCCATTCCCCCCTCCCTTCCCCAGCTTCTGGTAACCACTGTTCTACTCTTTACTCTTGTGGGCTCAATTTTTTTAGTTTCCTTGTATAAGTGAAACCATGCAGTATTTGTCTTTCTGTGTCTGGCTTATTTCACTTAACATTATGTCCTCCAAGTTTATCCATGTTGCCACAAATGACAGGATTTCATACTTTTTAAAATAGCCAAGTAGTAATCCATTATGTATATATATCATGTTTTCTTTATGCATTCAAGTTATGCCTGAACCTGAAAAACTATATTGTAGAAGAAAATTCTAACTACATTAAATTCTTGACATGATATTAGCAAAATAATTATTGGAAGACAAAAGAGAGTGACAAAAAGGAGGCAGAAATTGTATTTGACTTTTGAAAGAAGAGAACTGCACTGGGTAAAAATCCAAGTTTATATAGCTTTTCCCCTGAAGGGATGCTCCAGTCTAGGTTAAAACTCAAGCAGAAAGCTGATGTCACATTGGCTAGAGGTATCAGAGGATTGAGTTAGGAGAGGCAAAAGTGGCTAGAATTTGAATGTAAAATTCTAGAAAGGAGGAAGTCACAGAGGTGGCTGCATATAATCTCCCATTAAGTCCTATCTACGTATCTCATATATGCATAAAAATCTGCATACAATTTCTTCTTAAGTCCCAGGCTGATCCCTGAATTGAACTTGCCTTAAGGAGAATCCAAGGGTACCAGTGAAAGGAAGCTGAAAGGCTGAAAAATGTGAGCAGGGATTTAAGCCTCTGCCCAAACAAGGAAGATAAAGATTGGAATTTGAGTCCTGCCAAGTTATGTCAGCTTGGTATGTACTTTGGATTTTCTTTGAAACCACAGAAAGGCCATACTTAGGGTGTTAAAACTTTGTCATAGGACTAAGATTTACCCTAAAACTAAGGACAAATCAAAACAGATCTACCCTGACAAAGTATAAAATGAAGTCTCCATAAGTTCAAGATTATCAGCCAGCAATTTAACTACATGGTAAAACAAAAATCAATAATATTTTACAGAGAGTAAGAGAGACCAGATTCTATAAAACATACCATCCACAATGTCTAACATACAATAAAAATACAAGATATGCATGAAAACAGAAACATATAACCTAAGGTCAGGAAAGAAAGCAGTGAATATAAACAGACTAAATTCATATACAGGAACTTTGAAGGAGCTATTATGCTCACATCCAAGAACTTAAGTGAAAAAAAATCATAACAAGTAAACAGATGGGGAACCAAAGCAGAGAAATAAAAGCTATAAAAAAGAACGAGATGAAATTCTAAAAGTGTAAAATACAATAACAGAAATAAAAAATTCACCAGATGGGCTTAACAGCAGCTTGGAATTGGCAGAAGAAAGGATCAATATATTTTAACGAAAAATCAATAGAAATTATCCAAATTGAAGAATAGGGAGGAAAGAAGATTGAAACAAATGAACATGCCTCAGTGGCAGGTGGGACAATATCAAGTGATCTTACATATGTGTAATTGTGTCTGAGAAGGATTGGAGAGAAAGAAGAGAAGAAAAAAAATGGAAGAAATGATGGCTGAAAAGTTCCCAATGCTGAAGATAATCAATTTACAGAGCCAAGAAATTAAGTGAACACTAAGTAGAAAAGATGCAAATAAAACCACACCTAGGCACATCATAGTCAAACTGCTGATTATCAAAGATAAAGAGAAAATGTTAAAAGCAGCTGGTGGGTAGAGGGACACATCAGAAAACAATGATATAGATATTGGCCAGTTTCTCATCAGATATAATAAAGACCTAAAGACAATGGAATGACTATTTTATTTTATTTTATTTTATTTTAGTTTAGTTTAGTTTAGTTTAGTTTAGTTTATTGAGACGGAGTCTCACTCTGTCGCCCAGGCTGGAGTGCAGTGGCATGATCTCAGCTCACTGCAACCTCTGTCTCCTGGGGTCAAGCGATTCTTGTGCCTCGGCCTCCTGAGTAGCTGGGATTACAGGCGCCCACCACCACACCCAGCTAATTTTTGTATTTTTTGTAGAGATGGGTGTTTCACCATGTTGGCCAGGCTGGTCTTGAACTCCTGATCTCAAGTGATCTGCCCTCCTCGGCCTCCCAAAATGTTGGGATTACAGGTGTGAGCCACTGCGCCCGGCCGAATACATATTTTGAGATGAACAAAAGTTGAGAGAATTTGTTCCAAGCACAACTGAATTACAAGAAATGAAAAAGGAAGTTCTTTAGGCTGAAAGGAAATGGCATCAAATAGTATCTCAAATATAAGAGAAGGAATAAAAAGAACTAAAAAATGAAGTATTTGCATAAATATGAGACTTTCTCTTTTTGTTTTTAATCTTAATTCCCTTAAAATACAACTGACTTTTCAAAGCAAAATTAATATTTTATTTTGCGGTTTCTAACATACGTGTTTATACATAACAATGGTAACAAGGAAGGGGGTTAATAAAATTGCACTGCTACACGTTCTTACGTTTGATGTGAAGTGGTATAATGTTAAATCCACATAGTTTCTGATAAATTCAGGGTGTGTATTGTCATGTTTAGCATAATTACTAAAAGTAATACAAAGAGGTATAGATAAAAAGTCAATAGAGGAATTAAAATGGAATAGAACAATATTTGATTAATCAAATAGAAAGTAAGAAAGAAACAACAACAAAAACATACGAGACAAATTAAACAAATAGCATTCTAAAGTGTATCTAGAAGAATAAACGGAGAATGACCAAAAAAATTAAAAAGAATAACTTATTCTTCCTGACATAAAAATGACCTATAAAACTATAGTGATTAAAACATTATGGTACTAGTGAAGGAAAAGACAGATCAATGCAGATAGACCTGTGAACATAGAGGAATTTGGTATTTAATAAAGACAGTATTACAAGTTGGTGGTGGGGTGGGAGGATCTACAATTACATGTTCATTGGTAAAAGACCAATGCTTCCCCCAAAGACTGGAAAGAAGGCAGGGATATCTGCTCTTGCAATTTGTATTCAATATTGTACTGGATGTCCTAGAGAGCGCAGTAAGGCAAGAAAAATACAAAAAAGGCATATAAATATGATCTCTATTTGCAGATGATATGATCGTGCCTAGGTAATTTAATGGGAGAAAGCATAGTCTTTTTAACAGATGGCCTGGAACAACTGGATATCCATATGGAAAAAGATGAACCTCAATCTAAAATTGATCTACAGATTCCACACAATTCTAATTCAAATCCCAAAAGGCTTTTGGCAGTAATGAGCAAGCTGATTCAAAAATTTGCATGTTAATGCAAAAGACCTAGAATTACGAAAACCATCTTGAAACAGAAGAATGAAGTTGGAGGCCTTACTTCAAAACGTGCTTGTTGTGGGTCAGATTTCATGAGGAAAAGGTTCTGAGACTATGATGTTTGTAGACAGAAACTTTATTGGAAATTGCTCTCAGTAATAACACTTGTGAGGATTGAAAAAAACATGATTACACAGAGGAAGAAATGGAATGGTGAACGAGTTGCAGTGGATGCTTCAGTCCATGGCTCAGGGAACCCTGTAATTGAGATAATTGCCCTTCTTTGAAGCAAGCATGCGGGGGCAGGTGCTGACTTTTATACCCTCAATTCGACCACCCGTTGGCTGCTGGTTTCCATCAGGGAGAGGCTACAAGCTTGTGTGAGTCAACCTTCTTCAGCTGAGGGCCATCAGCTACCAGCACTTCCAGCAGCTGGGGAAATTAGTGCTTCAGTTCTTAAAGGGGATCTGGCTGGTGCTTCAGAGGATTCACTCTCATCCACCCTTTGTGCCACTTGGATGTCCTTGCATTTTACAACAAGTTTTGGGAACAGCTCCTCTACAAGGCTGGTTGGTCTCCTTTCCTGCAAAAACTTTTAAGATGAAGGTTAGTGAATCTTCACTATGGTCTTTATTTCTGCAGCTGTTCTTGAGGCCACAACGGACACTTATCGGCGCCTTCCTCTACTACGCACTCTAGAGTCTATTCACCCTTCGCTATCCCTAGGAGACTGGTAAACAAAATGTGGCATAGCAATACAATGTAATATTACTATATTCATATGATGGAAAATGGCTCAGCAATATAAATGAGTTAAATACATACACAGGCAACAACATGAATGGATCTCAGTAACATTATATTGTGTAATTCCACTTTTGTGAAGTTCAAGAACAGGCAAAATTAGTCCACAGTGATAGAAATCAGAATAGTGTTTGCCTATGAAGGGTAGGGATTGACTAGAAGGAATCATAAGGGAACCTTCTGGGGGAGTGGGAATCTTGTAGTTCTTGATTTGGGTGGAGTTTACTTATATGTATATCATAATTCATCCAGTAGTACACTAAGAAGCCAAAATGTTAACCATGTTGGAATGGAATGATCTTGTTTTCTTATTTGAGATATCTGTGTTTTCCAAGTTTTTCCCAGTGAATCTGCATTTCTTGGATAACTAGAATATATTTTTAAGACATAAATTGTGTTTCGTTGTTTGAGCTGGCAAGCTAATATTCTTTAATATTTTGGCTATTTACAAATTTATGTCCATACAAGGTCACATTTTCTCTGGATGTACTTAATGCTCTAACATTTGTATTAGCATATTGCCTACAGAGGATTTCAAAGTTCCAATGAATTATAGATTTCGTATGGCTGGAAAGTAACTTGAACAATAAGCTGACCCAAAAGATTGATGTCTGTAGCACTCAGGAGGGGTGGTTATTTATTTTCTTCTGGTATACATCTAGGGATAGAGCCAGGCTTTACCACTTCTTTAGCCAACTTCTTTCAATACTTTGTCATATTGATGGATGATTACTTAGAAGATCTCTTTGAGGCAGGTAAAAGCCAGGTAGAATACTATTATGTTGAGGACAAATTGAGGTTATTGACTTCTAAAATATTCTTCAACTCGCTTGATCCTATTGCTAGATCAGTAATATTTTTATAGTTTAAATATTCTATTTTCTAGAATGAAATTAAAGAGCTGTTTGCATGTGTGAAACGCTACTTTCTTTAATGTCAAATTCCTGTTATTATTTCTAAAAATTGTAAGCATGAAGCACTTCAGCTCCATAATGATGCTTTGCCTTTAGTTCAGTGTCCTTTACATATTAACTAGGGAGGAAATAACTTGTCAAGAAACTTGTATGAATTATCTCAAATTCTTATGAGGAACAGGTGTTCACAAATAGAGACTCACAACATTGCATCGTGTATCAGTCAACAATTAGGGCACCCTACCTTTTCCCTTTCCTTTATCCCTTTCTCTCATTCCTTTATCATTTACTTTCTGATCTCCAAGCCCTTTCTTTTCCTCTAATTTATTTTGCAAGCCCCCCATGCTCTAGCACCTGTGATATGGTTTGGCTGTTTTCCCACCCAAATCTCATCTTGAATTGTAATCCCCATAATCCCCATGTGTCAAGGAAGAGACCAGACCAGGTGGGCGTAATTGAATCACAGGGGTGGTTTCCCCACGTTGTTCTTGTGATAGTGAGTGAGTTCTCACGAGATCTGATGGTTTTATAAGGGGCTCTTCCCCCACTTTGCTTGCCACTTCTCCGCCTGTCGCCTCGTGAAGAAGGTGTCTTGCTTTCCCTTCATCTTCTGCCATGATTGTAAGATTCCTGAGGCCTCCCCTGCCATGCTAAACTGAGTCAACTAAACTGCTTTCCTTTATAAATTACCCGGTTCCAGGCAGTTCTTTATAGCAGTATGGAAACGGACTAATACAACCTGAGAGATAATTCCAAAGGAAATTTGGAGATGTTCAGGAATGGTGACTGGATTCAGAACTCTTTATTATACCAGATCAGAAGAGAATTAATATATACATTGGAGGCCTTTAATGTTGACACAATAGGAGCAAATAACTTATTTTCCAAACCAAGACTACTTTTTAAAATTGTATGTATTTATGGGGCACTATATATATATATATACATACATACATATATAGTGAAATGATTAAATCAAGCTAATTATTGGATTCATCACCTCGTATCCTTATGACTTTTTTGTGTTGAGAACATTTATAATCTATTTTTAGCAATTTTAAATATACAGTACATTATTAATTATAGTCATTTTGCTGTACAATAGATCTCCAGAACTTATTTCTCCCATCTGACTAAAACTGTATCCTTTGACCAACATCTAATTCCTCATCCCCAGCCTCTGAACCAGAACACCTGTGAGAGTGAAAATGATACTATTAGTAATGTAGCTGACACAATAGCCATAAACAGTACTATCCCAGGCAACCTAAACTAGAACAAGTTTATGTAAGCTACTTTTAGCCAACTGTTGAGGGATTGCATGTGTGTTTGCCTATGCACCAGAATGGGGTGAGGGAACAGCATCTAAAAAGAGGAAGATTCCAATTAAAGCAGGCTTTGTCTTTGTGGATTTCAGTAAAGAGCAAAAGTAGTCCACGTTTTTGTTGAGGTCTATAGCTGTCATGAATATTGTTACAAATACAGATTTAATTTTATTTTTTTGTGGTTTGTGATGCTCTGAATATTGGTGGGGATATGCTTTGATGGACAGCTCTTTTTTGGGGGAGTGGTATATCTTCTCTTTCTCATGTATCACTCAACAGTTAGGGCTCCCTCTCCTTTCCCTTTCCTTTATCCCTTTCTCTCCATCCTTTTCCTGCATGTAATTGTGTGTCTGTTTATGAGAGACAATCTGTTTGCCTATTCATGAGAAAACATCCTTTTGATTCATTTTTTGGCCTGCTCAGCACTTGCCGGCATTACTGTTTTGCTGTACACTAATAACAATTGATAGCTGTCGAACGACTCTGACATGATTCGGATTTTATGAGTATTTTTGTACATAAACTGCTCCTTGGTTATGCCTATAATTGGTACAGTGGCTGCAGAATCATTTTTAGATTTAATTGGTTGTTCTTGACTTACTTTTAAATAGTTTCTTGTGTGCAAAACAGCTACTGAATATAGTCTGATGAGAATACTGTTCATCAGTTTGAAAGCCCAGTCACATTCTTGAGTCTGCACTGAGAAGGAGGAAGTTTGTTAAGGAAAAATATGTAGCCTATAAAGTGGATTCTCAGTGTTCAGTTGTGCCCAGGAACAAATAAGGGCAATATAAGTACAATGACTTTTGGCTTAATCCAATCGCTTGTTAGTTTGATTCTATTTAATTTGATCAAAAACCCATGAAACCAAACCATTTGTAATAAGGGTGACACAGCTCCTCCTCTTTTATTTTGATAGATGTTAATTACTGCAGGCAGGAGCTATGGAGTAATTCAATTACTGGCTGTAATAACTTTGTCATTTAATTAATAAGGCATGCCCCATATCTGAGTGAGAGGGAAGAGCGTGAAGGCTTTGGAGACTGATTACAACAAAATAATGTAATTCAGATACATGCGATTGAAATTCTATGAATTATCACCAAGGGTAAATGCCTGCTATAGCCTATGGGGAATGCAAATGATGGGCCATTCCCAATTGCTTGGTGAACAAACTATTCCTTAGTGAAACAAGGTAGGATGCATTTGGGACAATTATTAGGAGTAAGCTTGCCACCACTAAAAATGAAGATGTAGTGATAATAATAGTATAATACTAATGAAACAAACACATGTAGTGCTTATTATATACCTGGCAACTTTCTAACACTTTATAGACATTCACTCTTTTAATCTTCACAGCATCCTTCTTCATCCTTCCTGCTATGGAAAGGTGTTGTCTCAGCTTAGATTCCCCTAGAAGACTGTTGAGACAAGAATTTGAATGCAAGCAGTTTATCTGGGAGGCAAAGGAAAGTCTAGTAGAGTGGAATGGAAAGGCAGAGCCAACCTTTGGGTATGGGTGCCTGTGAATTCATAAACCAGTTCCTGAGATTGTTCCTAATTGAAATATGCAACTTACCTCTCTTCCTCCCAGTGGCATGGAAAGGTAGACATCATTATCCCCATTGCTCAGATGAGAGTGCCAAGCGGCACGCACAGTAACAGGATTTGAATCCAATTCAGATCTGACTTGAAAGCCAATGTACTTTTCTCTACTTCCTCAGATCACACATTCTAGTGTGTATATATTTCTGATTCTGTAAGTCTAAGCTGGGTCCAGGCATCTGCTTTTGGTGATTCTCATACTGGTTGTACAGTGGATGTCACTTTGAGTAACTCCTGTTTTGGCAGTGCATTAAATTTGATGTGGCCTCTGATTAAAATGGGCCATTATCCTTAAGTGGAAAAGAGCAAGAAACATTCCAGTGTATACAGTATGGATATAAAAAGAAAATAAAAAGGATTCATATTTGCTTGGGCATGCAGAGAAAATCTTTGGAGGAAAAACAAGAAACATGAGAAAGACATTGGGTAGGTATGGGCATGCTGAGAGAAGACGTTTTGCTGTATGCCCTTTTGTAACTTTGAATTTTGAACCTTGGAAATTTAGCATGTATTCAAAAATTAAAAAGTATCTACATAATACCTATACAGATGTAAATGGTTAAACATTTTTTTTTTGCCTTGGACTATCTGTCTACCGTACCCCATGACCCTTCTGTTTCAAGGTGCTACTGCCAAGAAGCCAGATTTGGGGCATATCATGTGGACATTGTGGACAAATATCCCATAGAAATTAATGGGAATTAGTTGGAGTCAAAATAATACTATCATATTAAATTTCTTTACCTAATGGATTAAATTGGCCTTTTGATTGTCTTGCCCTTGAATCCTATTTCTATGGGATTATATGTTCTAAGTTTGCTAAAATATAGACTTATTAAATGAACATAACTAAAACTTTTGTAAGTAGTCATCATTTAGGTAAAATATACCTATGACTCAATTTAAAAAGCATTTTGTTCAGCATTTTCACCTTCATGTGGGAACAGCTGCTAACTTTTGGTGTTGAAAAGGGAAAAGTCAGGCTTTGACTTCAAAGGAGAAAAATGACATTGTCGATGATGACAGGAGTGAAGGGTGTTAAGACATAATTCCATAATTCAAGCAAACTCTTGCGAATCAAAGACATTCTTTGATGATCCAATTGCCTCCTTAAGAGAGGCCTTTCCCCACCTTCTGTTCTCTCTAGGATAGCTAGTATTATCCATCTGAATAAAACGTGGCTTTTTAAGAGAATGACAGAGTGCACTGTGCCTTTGCATTCAGTGTATTGTTTTTGATGGTGTTTCTTTCACTTACTCCATTAGAGCAAAATAAATGATTCTGCTCCTTGGTGTCACATATGGTCATGTCTAAGTGAGGACTTTATGCTTATCTTAATATTTTGGCTTAAAGGCAGCAAATGAAGTCTTCAGCTTCTTTAAATCCTAGCTAGGGAGCACTCTGACTGTCTGAATAACACTGAAAGAAGAACCTTAATGACTGGCAATTCCTTATCTGAAGCGCCTTGCTAACCCAAGATGAGTCACACCACTCCCTCAATGCAAACATTCAGCTCTGTAAATTACGACTGCTCTCTTACGTTTGCGCTATTCATTCCAAGCGAATCATCGATTGCTGTGCTGCACACGGAGGAAGACACGGGCTGCCTCATGGGATGAAACGTTCAGCGCCATGCCTGGTACACGACAGCGCTGAATAAATGATACGATTATCTAAAAGCAGCGAAAGAAAAGTCTGTCTGAAGTCAGGTTCCCCGGCAGCAGACGCTGACAGGAGAATCTAAGAGCCCGTGAGTTTCTCAGGAAGTGAGGGCAGGAGAACAGGCCAGGGAAGTCCCTGCCTCAGCCTGATCCTTGGGGAGCTCTGGAGGATCAATGAAGGCTCAGAGCCTCTAGGCCAGGGAGCTAGGCCTCCATATTCCTACGGTCACTGCTGGCTGCAGTTGGCTTTTGGAGGAAGTGAGCTCCCAGGCATTTCTGCTCCCTGGACGAGAGGATGAAGTGGCTACAGAAGTCGAGGGACAGTGCTGGGACCCGGCAATGGAAGCACGGGTCCTAGAAAGGGAATCTGAAAGGGGCAGGCCGTGTGACGACAGTATCTACTTCTAGGTCAAGGAAGGGCCGACTTCAGGGGCCTGCAGCCACCGCAGCAGCACAGGGCCCTGCCTTTCGAAGAACCCCGCACTTGGGATTCAAGCCTCTGCAGTTGCCATCTTGAAGCCTGCAGCGTTATCTCTTGCAATGTGTTTTGTAAGCGAAGGTGGGGGGAGACGACGGAGCATGGGGGTGGGCAGGGGCAGCCCTACCTCCCAGTCCCTGGTGTCCGCGCCTACCTGCCCTGCCCATCGGCCACCCTCTGCTTGGGGCACTAGCACGTGGGCGTGCAGAGGGCTGGGTTGAGTGCAGGCCCCGCGATGTCTCGCGGGTGAGGCGTGGCTGCCGTCATCACGGACCTTGGCCCGTCAGGAGGGGTGGGACGCCCACCCATCAGTAGCCCTGGGCCTGAGGGGGTCCTGGCCTCTGGCTTTTCATGCCTTGAGGGGGTTGCTCTTCAGCAGTGGGTGGCTATGACGGTCGACTGGGAAGGGGAGATGGATCCCCGCCAGAAGGACACTTGAGACACTGCCAACCTAGACGCCCCCCATCCCTACCCACGCCCTGGAGCCTGAGAGGGGCTGTAACTCACCTTATTCATTACCCTGTGCCTGAACCTGGCGTGAAATAGCAAATAAAAGTTACCACCACGGATTGAGAGAAACAGTGAAGAAGGGAAAAAAAAGTTTCATATTATAATAACGTTAAGTGCACTTTTTCCTGTCTCACCCCCGCCGCCCGCCCCCCCCCCCCCGCCCACACCAGCAAGGAGCCTCATTTTTATTTTGCACTGAGCTCTGCAAATTGTATAGCCAGCCCTGGGTCAAGATGAGATATATAGATATGTGTATATATATATATATATATATATTTTTTTTTTTTTTTTCTTGGAGTCTTGCTCTGTTGCCCAGGTTGGAGTGCAGTGGTGCGATCTCCGCTCACTGCAACCTCTGCCTCTTGGGTTCAAGCGACTGTCCTGCCTCAGCCTCCTGAGTAGCTGGGATTACAGGCATGCGCTACTACTGCCTGCTAATTTTTGTATTTTTAGTAGAGATGGGGTCTTACCATGTTGGCCAGGCTGTTCTCGAACTCCTGACCTCAAGTGATCCGCCTGCCTCAGCCCCTCAAAGTGCTGGGATTACAGCCGTGAGCCACCGCGCCCGGCCAAGATGAGATAATTTTAAATAGAGAGATTGCTATAGCAGGTCAGAGCATGAGGAAACATTTTAATGCTCACATCAGGAAAAGTAATAATGATAATAAAATTTTAAGAAGAATTACCATTTTTAAGCTCTTCCCTGCCACTCACTGTACACATTGCCTTATTTATCTCTTTTAAGCTTAGCAAAGACCCTGCAAGCCATAGATGACAAAACTGACACTCAGAAAGTCGTGCCATTTGTGCCATAAAGAATGCAATCATGTCTTTTGCTGCAACATGGATGGAACTAGAGGCCATTATCTTAAGTAAAACAACTCGGAAATAGAAAGTCAAATACTGCATCTTCTGTCTTATAAGTGGGAGCTAAATAATGTGTACACAGGACATAGAGTGTGGAATAATAGACATTGGAGACTGAACCGTGAGAAGAATGGGAGGGAGGTGAGAGATGAGAAATTACTTAATGGGTACAATGTATATTATTTGGGTGATGGTTACACTAAAAGCCTAGACTTCACCATTAGGCAATATATCCTTGTAACAAAATTGCACTTGTACCCCTTATATTTATACAAAAAAACAGAAAGTTGTGACATTTGCTCAAATTCATAAACCTGGTAAGTAGAGACTGAAACCAGGCTCTGATTGACTACATGCTGAGTTCTTAACTTCTAAGCCAGCGCTGTCCAATAGAAATACGATGTGAACTACATCTGTAATTTTAAATTTTCTAGTAGCCACATTAAAAACTAAAGACAAACAGGTGAACTTAATTTTAATAATATATTTTACTTAACCCAATATATTTAAAATATTATTTCAAAATATAATCAATATAAACATTTTCAAGATCTCTTACATTTTTTTCATACCGAATCCTCAAAACTCAGTGTGTATTTTACACTCAATGCACATCTTGATTTGGATGCTAAATTTTTATTGAACATACTTAGCTCATATTTAGATTTCATTAAAATTACAGTTGAAAAAGGAGATTCACATGTTTGAGGCACACTTATAATTTTTCTGGTAACTGAATTGAGCATTTATTTTTATATTTAAATTTAAATTTAAATGGAATAAAATTAAAAATTCAGTTCCTCAGATGTACTAGGCATATTTTAAGTGCTCAACAGCCATGTGTGGCTAGTCACCACTGACCTGGGCAGCACAGCTCTAAGCTATAAAGAGGCAGTGAGAGGCAGTCATGGGAAGCTCTCCAGCAAAGGTCTTGAGACAAATTTGTGAAGAGTCAAGGGACATGAAGACAGGCAAGAGGGAGGGGTGGATAGTGCAGAAAGTGACATCCACATCTTCTCAGGTACAGAGCCAAAGCATGCTACAATAATTTCTTTCCGATAAATATTGTGTACCAACTATGTGTTAGGCATTGTGCTAAGTGTTGGAGATACAGGACCGGTCCTTGCCCTTGGTTTGTTTGTGGTGTATGTGTTGAGGGCAGGGGTGAAAGATGGATTGTAAACATGAGTATTAGATTCCTGTGTGTACACTAGCAAAATGCTACAAACCTAGCGGCTTAAAACAATGCAAATCCAATCTTGCATAATTTTAGAGACTACGAATCTTAAATCAAGTTGTTCGTGGGGCCATGCTTTCTCTAAAGGCTCTAGAAAAGAATCCTTCCTGGTCTCTTTCTAGCTTCTGGGCCCCAGGCCTTCCTGGGTTTGTGGTAGCATAACTCTGATCTCCATCTCTGCCTCTGTTTTCACGTGACCATATTACCTCTCTGTGTCTGTGACCATATTTCCCTGTTCTTCAAAGATCAAATAAGATTGGACACATTCAGGGTGGAATGACAACATATCAAGTTTTCCTCTTCTTAGAAGCATACTAGTCATATTGGATTGAGGAGCCATCCTACTCCAGTATAACCTCACCTAGTTACCTCTATAAAGACTCTATTTCCAAATAGGATCACATTCACAGGAATCAGAGATTAAGACTTCAACATATCTTTCTAGGGGACACAATTCAACCCATAGCAACATGTATACCTGTAAAAAAAATAGATGAATAATTTCAGAAAGTGCTTTGAAAATAAAGCAAGGCAATGGTATTAACAGTGACAGGTCTGAAGTAGGCTGGTGCTGAATCTCACAGGGGGAGTAATAAACTAAAGGAGTAAAGGAGAGACACACGAATTCTGTCTGCCAGTTGGGCCAGATGTGCCTGAAGGACTATGGGTTCACTTCTTCATTGATCTTCCTTGTCCTGCACAGGAATTCCAGCCAGGGGAGTTGGCATCTCTGAGGAGTTAGGTGTTCCCTGTGGACTCTGGGAACCTACCACTATTACTGTGTTGTTCTTTCTCCAGCTCCTTGTTGACACCTGTGAATTAAGAATCATCACAAGCAAAGATGAACTTGTCAGCCAATATTTTATCTCCACTGAATGCACTACAAGCTCAGAATAGCTCTGAGGGTGGCCGAGACAACTTGGCCCCAGACCCAGTTTTGCAAGACTTGGTCATGTGAGCATAGACCTGAATTGTAGGTAAGTGTCAATACCATGTAATCATAGTGTCGCCCCTCAGGCATTTTTCCTTTTTTCTCTTTTATTTGATCTTGATTTTATTCACATCTACACTCTCTACTTTGGTTCGAGTCCCAAGGAACCAAATCTGGAATCATAAAACACATCCATGGAAAGGAAAACGGGGTACAATATAGGCAAAATTAGGCTCTGACCTTTATTCTTGAATAAATTCTGTTGTGAATTGCAATTAAAATCACTCTCCATAGAAACAAATGCACAAAGAGAATTGAAAAAAATTAGAATTTAAAAAAACTCACTCCTCCAAAAACGAAACCAAATTTCAAAACTCAAATTAACCATCCAACCAATCAAATACAAAGCAAAATTCAGAATAATCTTTTCTGCTGTCCTCATCTCTCAAGTTAGAGCCCTGATTTTTGCCACATACAAACATCAGTTTCAGGTGTGCTAAGACTTAACTACGAAAAGTAAAACAGTTCCTGAAAAACAGAAAAAAATATTTTCATAATCTTGACTTGGAGCCCTCTGCCCTCCTTTAAAGCATGTCACTGAGGGTAGAAACATTAAATTAAAATACAGAGAGATTTTACTTCATTAAAAAAACACAATAAACCTAATAGGTGGCTAAAAATACCATAAGTTAAAAGAAAAATAGTAGCCCACAGAAGAAGCTGCAACTTATATGACAGAACAAAACCAGAGGATTTAATATCTATAATATGTAGCAAGAGTCTTACAAATAAATAAAACAAATGCTGAATACAAAAATAAGCAAAGGATGGACATAAAGAAGCAATTCTTTTTGTTTATGGTTTTTTTTTTTTTTTTTTCGAGACGGAATCTTGCTCTGTCACCCAGGCTGGAGTGCAATGGTGCAGTCTCGGCTCACTGCAACCTCCACCTCCTGGGTTCAAGCGTTTCTCCTGCCACAGCCTCCCGAGTAGCTGGGACTACAGGTGTGCGCCACCATGCCTGGCTAATTTTTTTGTATTTTTAGTAGAGACAGGGTTTCACTATGTTGGCCAGGCTGGTCTTGAACTCCTGACGTCGTGATCCGCCCACCTTGGCCTCCCAAAGTGTTGGGATTACAGGCATGAGCCACCACGCCCAGTCAAAGAAGCAATTCTTAAAAGCAGTTCAATGTCAAATACATATGAGTGTATGCTCAAGTTTGTTAATGAAAGAAATGTGAACTTAAGTAACTTAACATAAACTTAAATAAGTTTGCATTTCTTTCATTATTAACAAACGTTGACTTATCAGTTATTAAAGACTAAAAAGATCAACAATACCCGGGATTGGTGATGGTATGAGGAAAAGACACCCTCCCACACATTAGTGGTGGGAATCTAGAACCATATCAAATTTGGGGTGGACAATTCAGCGACATTCATCAGTGTGACTAATAGACATAACCTTTTACCCAAGCAATTTCACTTGTAGAAATTTATCCTGACAACATTATCAAGCAAATGGATAATGATATTGGAAGTCTTATCATAACACTGTAAGAGTGGAAAAAATGGAAACAACTTAAGCGCCCAACACTAGGGGATTGGATAACTGAATGGGGATATATCTGTTCAATAGCATATCATGCAGATGAAATAAATATATAGACATGAAAACATGCTTCTGATATATTAAGTTTAAAAACTGGCTTTTGGCATATTGGCTATAGTGAGATACTTATTTTCTTAAAAAAAAAAAAAAAAGAACCTGAAGATACTTAGTCAATGGTGATTCCTTCTGGGGAGTGGAATTAAGGAAGATGCTGTCTTTTCTTTCAAGGCAATGGAAGGCAGTGTTTAAGAGACAAACTTCTGGAGTCAGACTGTGGAGTTTCAAATTTTGTCTCTGCTGTTTACTAGCTTCCTATCTTTAGATCTTTTTCATAATTGTTTTTCTGCTCTATTTTCTCATATTCCAAATTGGGCATAGACACAGTGTCTAGATCCCAGGGCCTTTATGAGGATTCATGTGTATATGTATTGTTATATTTCAGCACACTGTTACCAAATAGCCAGGACTTAATACATTTTAGTTATCATTATGACATTTTTCTATATGCCTTTAATTTTTACAACAAACATGAATTACCTTAATAGTAAAAAAAATGCATGTACAAAGTGGCCACAAAACCTAAAAATACAGGCAAATATACATACATAATGGATTGTCGATATTATATCACAATATAATAACATTTATGATTCCTGACTTTATGACTACCTGTATATTTATTTTCTAGTTATTCAACAACTGAGGTGAAATTTACATAACATAAAATTAACCATTTTAAAGTGAACATTTCAGTGGCACTTAATACATTCACAAGGTTGTACAACCGTTACCTGTATCTAATTCCAAAATAGTTTCATCACTCCAGAACAAAAGTCTGTACCTGTTAAGTAGTTGCTCACTATT
Organism: Homo sapiens; assembly: GCF_000001405.40. NCBI lineage: Eukaryota > Metazoa > Chordata > Mammalia > Primates > Hominidae > Homo > Homo sapiens. The sequence continues at coordinate 14,071,762 of NC_000023.11, forward strand.
CCCTTCTTCCCGCTGCTCTTGGTAGCCACTTGTTGATGGACATTTGGGCTTTTTCTAGCTTTGGGCTATTGTGAATGGAGCTTCTATGAACATGCATGTACATGTGCTTGTTTGACTGCCTTTTTTCAGTTCTCTTGGGTATATGCCTAGGAATTGCTGGGTCACACGATAACTCTGTTTAACTTTTTGAGGAACCAACAAACTGTTTTCCACAGTTTACATTTTACATTTCCACCAGCAATGTTTACATGTTCCAATTTCTCCATATCTTCTCCAACACTTATTCTTTTCCATATTTTGTGAATGTGAAGTGAAGTGGGATCTTGTGGTTTGGGTTTGCATTTCCCTAATGACTATGATGTTGAACTTCTTTTCATGTGCTTTTTGGTCACTTGTATATATTCTTCAAAGAAATGTCTGTTCAAGTCCTTTGCCCATTTTTCAGTTGGGTCGTTTGCCTTTTTATTGTTGAGTTGAAAGAGTTCTTTATGTATTCTAGGTATATATTTACTTTTGAAAACAAAGAGTCTTATTCTTTGAAGATTCAACTCAGGTCCTCCAAAAAGCCTGATGTTTCCAGGTAGAATTTTATTTCTTCACAATCAGAGAACATGCAACAAAGACTGTGTTTGTGGCTTGCAAAGTGTAAAATATTTACCGTCTAGTTCTTTACAGAAAATATTTGCTGAACTATAAACTCCTTGAGGAGAGGGATAAGTTGTCTGAGGGCAGAGCCTTAAATGTTCAAAATGATGGCCCTTAGGTACTGAAAAATCTAGTGTTTTGCGTTTAATGCAAAGTGAAATAATATATTTTGGAAAAAATTCTTTTCAAGGTGATTATGACTAAAAAGTTCTGAACTTTCAAATTTATTTGGAAACTATATGAAACAGCTCATTTTCTCATAAAGTAGACTAAGCAAGACATTCTTATAATTTTGTTCACCAAATGTTGTACACGACCTCTTAGGAAAGGATTTGAAAAAAATAATTTACATGCTGAGAAACTGAAGTCTGAAATGCAGTATAAGACTGAGAACATCGTTATCATTTGGTCTGTTGCTATTCTCATTTGCTGCTGTGGAAACAAGATTACTGGTAAAAAGTGTCTCTCAATTTATGGCTCAGGGACTGAGCTTCTTGGGCCAGAGGCAGCAATTACCTTGCTGATATCAAAGGCCTATACATGTCTTGGCTCTTACACTGGAGAGGTTTCAGAGTGGCAGAAGAAATGTGCTTAAAAATAATGCATCTATTTTAGAGATCCAGAAACGTGGACGTTTCCACATTGCTATTCTCACCTTAGTCTAGGCTTCTGTTATGCATCAGAAATAGCACAACAAAAGGGGCACCTTGCCCTTTTCTCAGCTCTTTTACTTTTATTTCTCTGGGCCACAGCTTGAGCATTTCTCAGGCGTTGACAATCTGTTTTAATTTATGAGCTGATTGCAGCATAGTGGAGGGAAATTAAAAGTTGTGACTGCATTACCCTTTGGTTTTCTGTGTGAGTGACTGAGGTCTGGATTTGATTTTAATTAAAAGCAGACAGGAACTACTGAGGTGAAAGTAAAAGAGAAATAAGAATCTGTCTTTATAATCAGTGAAGCATATTTGTGAGGGCCTGCACTAGTGGGAAGTAGGGAAGGAGATGTTGCATGACACAATCAGAAAACTTTCTGTAAAGGGACAGATAGTAAATATTTTCAGCTTTGTAGGCCATAAAGTCTCTGTTTTAATTATTCAACTCTGCCATTGCATTTTGAAAACCATTACAGACAATAAGTAAATGAAAGAGCATGGCTGTGCTCCAGTAAAACTTCATTTGCAAAAATAGGCTGTGGGCCATATTTGGCTTGGGGGTCATAGTTTGTCAGTCCAGGTCTACACAATTAATCTGAGGTTTGGTCAGGACAGGGTTGCTGCTGTTTCCTTTCCTGCTGACACACTTTTGAGGATTTCTGTGTTTATAACCTACCCAAGGAAAGTGACCAGGGAAGAAAAACATACTGTTCACACAGAGCACATTTTCTGTTGACTCTGCTAATGCATTTGGCCAAGGACAAGGGTAAAGTTATAGCTAACATGGGACTGATGATTCATGGAGTTCTAGCCACTTTTTTTTTTTTTTTGGTAGCAGATTTAACTGGAGGAATTAAAAATTGACTGTTATCTATAGGTAAATAGTTTTTCCCAAGATGATGTGTGTCCTTTACACTTACTCTCAGCTTTTCTTGTTTGTTTGTTTGTTTGTTTGTTTTAGTTCACGTCTGTTTCTTTTCTCTTAGTAAACTTGATGCCAATTATCTGTGCATGGTTTCTGTCACATATTATTCATTAATATGCTGGGAATGTCTTCCCTAACACAAATACCCCCAAGATGCCCTTAATTTCTTCTGAGAAGTAAGAACTTGGAGTAATTAGTGGAGTGGTCTTTTAGCATATATTTTAACACAGATGTTCAAATGTATACTTAAGTGACAATAGCTGAAATAGTGTTGAGCTATGGTAAGGAAGGGGAGATAGATAAATGGGATGGCTCAAATATGCCTCTTGTATGTACCCCCATCTTAGATCTCATTTTTACCTGTATTTAGACCCCTATATTTACATAAGAGAAAATAATGGTCATTTGGGAAAGGGTAGATTATATAATAAATGGTGGTGGGAAAACTGAATTTGGAAAATTAAAAAAAGCAATTCAGAGAAAACCAGTTTAGGACCTCACCTCACACCATGCATCAAATGAATGCCAGATAATAGGAAGAATTAAATGTAAGATACAGAATTATAATAAAATTGAGAAAATTTGGTTAACTATTCAAATAATCTTTGATAAAAAATTATTTTCCATCTATGAAAACAGGAAGAAGCCAAGATGGAAACAACTGATAGATTTATAAATGTACATCAATCTATAGTTCATGTCTATAGTCAATCTATAATCAATGTATGAAGTTCAAAATTATCTCTACAACAGAAAATATCAAACTCAAAATGTTGACAGGTTAAGAAAGTATTTGCTGGCTGGGTGCTCATGCCTGTAATTCCAGCACTTTGGGAGGCCGAGGCAGGAGGATTGCTTGAACCTAGGAGTTCAAGACCAGCCTAGGCAACATAGCAAGACCCCATATCTACAGATACTTAAATGCTTAGCCAGGCATGGTGGCGCATGCCTGTGGCCCCATCTACTCAGGAGGCTGAGGTGGGAGGACCGCTTAAGCCTGTGTGGTCGAGGCTGCAGTGAGCCGTGATCATGCCACTGCACTCCAGCCTGGGCAACAGAGTAAGACCCTGTCTCAAAAAAAAAAAAAAAAGGCATTTGCTAAGGATAAGAAGGAATAATAGGCCCAGTATATTAAAAAAAAAAACTCATGTAAACTTTAACAAAGAAACAATATTTTAGTAACACATGGGAAAATGGAATATGACAGATAAGTCACAAATGAGGAAGTGAACATGATCAATAAATGTGAAAAGTTGATCAACCTCACTAGTAATCAGAGAAATGAATGGTAAAGCATGATATTAATTTTCATCTATCAAATTATCAAAAGTTAAAATATGGTAATAGAACTGGCATGATTACAGTGAGACAGACACTTCTGGACAGTGCTGTTGAGCATTGTACATCATTTCAATAAATCAGTTTAGCCACATGCATCCAGTTCCTCATACATTCCCTGGCCTAGTTGTTCACTTCTAAAAATTTATTAGGAATCTATTTAAAGGAACTGATTGGAAATTCAGACACAGATTTATTTTTCAAAATGCCCAACATAATAATTTTTAAAATTGGGGAACAAAACAGAACACAGGTTGGCAAACTATGGTCTGCAGGACAAATAGGCTCTGCCACCTGTTTTTGTGCAGTCTGTGGGCCAAGAATGGTTTTTTACACTTTTAAATGGTTGAAAAAATTAAAAAAAATATTATATTATGACATGAAAATTATATGAAAGTGTGATTGGAACATAACCACATCCATTTGTTTACATAGTGTCTAGGGCTACTTTTTTTTTTTTTTTTTTTTTGAGATGGAGTCTCGCTCTGTCGCCCAGGCTGGAGAGCAGTGGCACAATCTCGGCTCACTGCAACCTCCACTTCCTGGGTTCAAGCAATTCTCCTGCCTCAGCCTCCTGAGTAGCTGGCACTACAGGCACCCGCCACCACGCCTGGCTAATTTTTTTGTATTTTTAGTAGAGATGGGGTTTCACCATGTTAGCCAGGATGATGTCGATTTCCTGACCTGGTGATCCACCCGCCTCGGCCTCCCAAAATGCTGGGATTACAGGCGTGAGCCACTGCGCCCGGTGTCTATGGCTACTTTCACACTTGAACAACAGACTTGACTTGTAGGACAGAGATCATAGGGCCCATCATGCCTCATATATTTGCTACCTGGTCCTTTTCAGAAATGTTTTGCCAACTGCTGGTATAATAAATAATGGTATGCTTATATGATGTGATATTTGTAGCCATGAGAATGATATTTGCGATTAATTTATGGTAACACGGGAAAATACTCATAACATCATATCAAGTGGAAAAAATCTGGAACAGAACCATATATACTCGAGTTTCCCAAGGATTATTCTGTTGGATAATGGAATTTCATACATTGACAAAAATCTGAGTTTAAAAAGTTATGCAGCATAGCTTTTACTATGCTATTTTGCAGAGTGAATCTTCAAGAGGGAGAATATGGTACACCATGTCCTCAAATTTTTTGTCGCCAGAACCCAATGTTCCATGAAATGTAATTTTGTAAATGCCAGTTTATACAGAATGGCCTCCATTATTCTACAGGATGCTTGATGTACACATGCATGCACACACACAGGGTGTAATAGAAAATGAGTTAAAATGTTGACTGGGTCGACTTCTCAGGGATAGGATTATAGATAATTTTGGGAGGATTGTCTGTTTCTGTATTTTTTGGAATAAGCAGGAATTAATCTTGCAAGTAGAAAAACATTAATAGAAAATATAAAGTGATGCCTGTTAAAGGAAGAAGATTGTGGAATTAAAGAATCTTTGGGTAAATTAGAAATATTTCAAATGTATAGTATACACCTGCACAGTAAAACTTGAAGCCATTTCTATTTTTCTGTTTATCCATCATCCATTTATGTTTTCTCCCTTGTCCCTTCCTCTCCCCCCCACTCCCTCCCCATATCTATCTATCTATCTATCTATCTATCTATCTATCTATCTATCTATCTATCTATCTATCAAATTTCTGTATCTAGGTACATGTAATTTAAACAGCTATCTAAGATAACTTAGGAGAGGTTTTTATATTCTAATAAAGAAGCTAATCATTATTTTGCCATCAAGTAAATAAGAATCATCATTTCCTCCCAGTTACGCAGAAACTGGACTAGTTTTATTTTTTTAGTCAAACTTTTTATTTTGGAATAATTTTGTATTTACAGAAAAGTTTCAAAGATAGTGCAGAGAATTCCTGCACAAACTTCACCCAGGTTTCTGTAATGTTAAAATCTTATATGGCTCTAGTGCCTTGTCAAGACAAAAAAATTAACAGCACTATGTTACTGTTAACTAACAGTAACATAAGAGTTTTTATGGGTTTCCACCAGTTACCCCACTGATATCCTTTTTCTGTTCCAGCATCCAATCCAAGGAATCACATTACAATTTAGTGAACTGGTTTATTTTGATTTAGTGAAAACTTCTTAGAGTGGACTCAATCTCAATTTTGTGAATTATAAAGCACCAAATATAGGTGAAGTATTTGGCTATTCTTTATTAAATTATTAAATTCCTGTTAGTGGGCAGGGGGTTTCCAAGGGACTCCCCTACTTATGTTTTCATGCTATCTATCCATGATGTCTGGCCTGAATAAAGAACTTTAAAACTTGCAAAACATTTTTACTAATATTATCTCTGTCACCCCAATGACTCCAAGAAGGAGGCAAGGCACATATAATCTTGATTTTTCCCATTTCACTGATTAAAAAATTGAAACCTGGAGACATGTGCAAGCTGTGCAGTCACACAGGGTCTTGTGCTTAGAAAAGCCTTGTGTTTAGTTTAATGTTCTCTTTCAACCTTTTTGAAATTCTTAATTATTTATGAGCAACGGGCCCTGCATTTTGATTTTGCACTGGGTCTCACAAATTATGAAGCTGGTTCTGCCTGGAGCATTTGCCTTGCTTACACAAGGCTACATAGAATTTGTGCAGTTGGGTGGATTTTAGTGCTTCCTGACTTGGAGTTTACTCTAATTTCTGGTACACTGCAACATATTTCCATCAATCTTGAAACCTGTAACTTGTATCCAAGCTTGTAATCTGTTGACTTAATTTTCAAAAACTTGACTTTCCTGGCTCTGTACCAATACCTCAGCATTTTTGCATGTAATTTTTGCCTTGACAACTTTGGTTTCTGTTTTAAAAAAATCTAAAAACTTGCTTACCTGTGGGTTAGACAAACTGCTCTGCTAACTTACGTTCATAATAATATCCTAGCTGTGGCTATTTCCTCAGCAGCTATGGATATCATATTTATTAAATAGATTTAAAATAAAAACTACTCTATTTTGTTTCTGAGTTTGGCTAATTAGCTCATGCTGCTGTTAGGAATGAACTGTGAATTATAACCCCCTTCCTGAAGGGGTGATATTAATTTTTCTGCAGACATGGAAACATTTGGCTAAACAGTATGATTTTAAAATCTGGGAGAACTGCTTGGTGGCCAAATAGTCAAAGTAATGCTTAGTGGCCCAGATAGCAAATCCACATTATTCGTGCTGGCCCATGAAGCCCTTGATAAAATTTTTTCCACAGTTCTTTGAGAGAGATGAGGGCTTCTGCCAAGTGAGGACTTCACCCTTGGCTTTATATCACTAACAGAAATAGTGGTTTTTTTCTGGGAGCAAAGGTCTGGGCTGACCATTCTGCTTTAATTTCAGTCTCATAAAGATCTGATTATATTGGCATTGGTTGTCCAGTAGTTGGACATAGTCATGTTTGCATTTAGTTTACAGATTCAATCACAAGAATTTAGGAGAGAGAGAGAAAGAGAGAGACCCCCAAATCCCCGAGATGGGATGTTGGAATGGGTTCAACATATTTTACATGTGGAAAGGGCATGAATTTTGATGGGCAAGAGGGTGGGATGCTATGAGTTGAATTGTGTCTTCTCTAAAGATATGTTAAAATCTAACATTCAGAATCTGTGAATGTGACCTTATTTGGAAACACGGTCTTCACAGGTGTAATTAAGTTAGGAAGAAGTCATATTGGATTAGGGTGGGCCCTACTCCAGTAACTGGTGTCCTTATAAGATGAAGGAAATTTGGACACAGACACCGGAGAGAGCCATGTGAAGACGCAGGCAGAGATTGGAATGGCACATCTATAAACCAACGAACACCAAGCGTTGCTGGCAAGCCTCAGAAGCTAGAATAGGTGAGGCGGGACCCTGTCCTAGAGCCTTCCGAGGGAGCGTGGCTCTGCTGATGTCTTGATTTCAGACTTCAGTCTCAGGAACTGAGATAATACATTTCTGATGTTTTAAGCAATCTGGTTTGCAGTACTTTGTTATGGCAGCCCTAGGAAACTAATACATATTGTAAATGAGGAAAAAAAAAAGATTAAGTGAAAGTCCAAACAGCCCGAATCATCCTATAAGTATGAATGTAAAAGACAGTGCATCCTTTAAAGTTTTTTCTTCCTAATTATGATTATTGTAAAAATTGGGAAAATAAAAAGCAGTATAATTCCTTTACACATATGAAAAGTACTTTGATCCCTTTGCATATAGCATATTAGTATACACTTCCTATTTTGTTTTCTGTTCTATCTCTAAAAGCATATCAAATTATATATGCAATTTTGAAAGATTTCTCTTGAACTTAATATGCTAGCATGAGCGTTTGCAATACTGTGAAATGTTCTTTGAAATATCTTTTATATAGACTGAAATTATTCTTTGTATGGATATATCATATTCCTCTGGAAGGATGTACCATAGCTTATTTAACTACTTCTATGTTTTTAGACATTTAGGTGAAATGTCTTTAGTCTTTTTTAAAATGAATTTTTGACCAGGTTGCTGATTTTTCCCCTAATAATAGATCCCCAAAATGGTTTTATATTAGAAGTAAACACACACATGCACACACGCATATAACATACTTAATAGCTTCAAAACCAACAGAGAAGGAACTTTTCAACAAATGATTATATGAAAGCTTGCCACAGCCAGTCTAGGGCTGGTTAGTTAGCAATGCTCCCAGGTACTTCTGGGAAATTTCCCTCATTCTAGTTGCACAGAACTATGACCAGAACAGTACTTAGACCAGGCTGATCTGGCAGACTGCAGACATTGGGCATGATGAATGGGGTTTGTGTTCATGCCTGAGTGTTCTGTATTATTCTTTGCTCAGTAACCAAATGTAAATCATATGACTCCAAGATAGATGAGGGGTATCCTGGCTGGGATGAGGCACTTACTGGTACATATCTAGACTGGCCCTCTTGCTGAACTGGTCTTGTCTATGCGTGTAGGAACAAGGCACAAGACATGTCTAAAACATCAGTTTCTAACTTGTAAGAAATGGATAACAAATTTAATTCACAATATTACTTCAAGCTATAAAATATCTACATTATATCAGATAGTAAGAGTAAGGAACTTAACATTTTGTTGAAGGACATGAAACAATACCTAAATAAATGAAGAAACACACCATGTACTGTTGGGAAGACTTAGAATACTGACATTCATTAATTATTAAATAATGACATTATTATATAAATGTCATTATTTGCCAAGCATATGTAAACGCAAAATAATTCCTATCAGAATCCAAATGAAGACATTTTTAGAATGAGAAAAATTATAGGCAGAAGAAATGATAGTTGCCAAAAAAATTTATGTTTCAGAAGAATAATTGGGGTAAGGATCTTGTGTTATCAGATAAAACTTATAATAATTCTATGGTAATGAAAACAAAATGTCAATGGCATAAGAAATAATAACCAGGACAATGGGACATAGAACCTCAGCACATATCCAATAATATAGAAGTTAATCTTGGAAAATCTGGCACTATAATTCAATAGGAAAATAAATAATTATGTTGGTATAATTTTGCTATCCATTTGGAAGGAAACTAATATAAATGCCTACCTTATACCATTTATAAAAATATATACCTGGTGAATTAATATAGCTCAATGTGAAATCAAATCTTTATGAATATTAGAAGAAAATTTAGAAAAATATTTGTTTCTGTAAACTTGTGGGTGAGTAGAGATTAGGAATCAAGTTGGGAAACTTAGAGGGAATCAAGAAAACGATCAATAGATGTACAAACTTAAAAATGTTTCTTAATGCAAGAATGTATAATAAAACAACGAGAAGACAAATGAACTGGGCCAAATATGTGCAGTCATATGACAGGTAAAACGTTAATACCTTCAATTTACAAGGAACCTGCACAAATACATTGGAAAAATGACACAATAAAAAAGAATGTTCATATTTATAGAAAAATGCAAATGGTTAATAAATGAAAGGTGGCTTAATCTCCTTAATATTCAAGGGAATGTGGATTTGAGAAACAACCTTAACTTGTCCAATTGCAAAACCTAAAAGATTGGTAACATTCAGTATTAGTAACAATTTGCGGAAACAGACATTTGTGTATTGCTGATGGGAAGGTGAATGAAAAAACCTTTATGGAAAGTTATCTTTTAATATTTGTCAAAATTTTAAAAATGGATATGTCTTTGATCTAGCAACCCAGCTTTGGGAATGTATCCTATTAAATTAAACATACCATAACGTAAGGTATATGTATATCCAGGCAGCTTTTTCTTGTAGCTGTAAACTTGGAGACAACTTGAATGTTTCACAATAGAAAAATGGCCGTTTTCATTGTGCAAATTCTTAGTGTGAATTATTACTAGAAAAATTATGTATATTGACCTGGAGAGATGGAGTGATATATTACCAAGTAAGGGGAGAAAACTGTCTTCAGGGGAAGATGTAGAGTATAAGTTTTGTAGAAAAAAATAGGCCCTCTTTCCCACATACATGTGTTTGTATGCCAGCATGGTGAGAGATGTAGCAGAATATGCCTTAAATTATTATTGGATTCCTCGGAGGTTTGACTAAATTAGAGGGTAAATTATCTGTGTCAGGAATTTAGCACTGTGTCTATTACAGTCAACATTTTAAACAAAATATGTCATAATTGTGCTTTAAATACCAATTTATAAACATTTATTATAAAATAATATAAAATAGCATTAAATTTTTAAAAAGAGAAAAAACCTGATTATATCAATTTTTGAGTACTTCCCTATGTCTTTCTCTGTATATATACACATGCATTTGCATCACATATGTATATATATATCTTTATTTACTTAACTGTGCATTTTTCATGGTATTTCAAAATCTCTTGTATTATATATTTCTTTAGTATGATAGTTTTTAATGGCCAAATGGTATTTAAATTGAAATATTGTGACTTTTTTCAACTATTCTTCTGTTAGGCATACGTTATTTTTAGTTTTCTTCTACTTTGATTATTGATGCATAAACACCTTTATGCTTACTATTTGTTTTCTGCTGATTAATTTAAAAATATACTCCTTAGTGTATAATTACTGTTCAAAATATATAGGAATGTTTATTGGTCTTGTTACACACTGCCTTAGCTATAACATTTTGCATCAGCTATTTGAATTGAGATTCACTGTAATCCTTTTCTACCTGTGGGCAAACTTTCTAAAGGCAGATCCGAAAATAATTTGCAAAGTGCTGCTTTTCACTCTGTTTTACTGATAACCCATCATAACGACACATGTTACCACTTGTTTATCACAACTAGAAAATTTAAATATACCAAAGTGCCTGTATAGCGGGAAGGATCTTTTAAGATGAGTTTGACAGAATTATTGAAAATAATAACAGTAATTTACGTTTATCTGGTACTCTTCCTCAACAGGATGATTCCATTTTCTTTTTTAGTATAATGGACTGATACATGTTTTCTTATGCTGTTTTGCTACTACCTTTTCTGTACACATCATTTAAGGAACAGTTCTCACTTGCCTGAGTTACAATAGCTTATCTCTCAGTGGAAATTTGAGAAAACAACTAGAGCTTCTGTCATCGACATTCTCATTAATCCCATTTTCTATGTTTCTGATGTATCCCTCTATAGTAGGCTCTCTTTGGTATTTAGGGGGAGATTCCACAAACACCTGCAAGTTTTCAGATTCCCCTCACATCTCTTCTCTATTGACACCCCTGGGATTGAGGATTCAGGTACTGTACTCTGATGTTTTTGTCTGTTATAGATACTCAATTTCACCCATGATGTTTTTGTCTGTTATAGATACTTAATTTTACCCGTGGGTCATGAATCCGCATTGCTTGGCTGTTTTCTATTGCCTTTGGGGCTTATTGAGTAAGTGTTGACCTTGTTCTTATCTCAAGATAGAATTCCTACCATGGATATCTAATAGTACTACAGATATTTTCACTCCCACTTTTTAAGCAATCGTAGCCCACCCAGTCAAAACATTTTGTATTTTTAAGCTTCGTTGGTCATGAACTACCAAACAAGTTGGTCAGGAGCTTTACTGATCATTTTCATTTAATTATGCCATATTTTTAGGAAGAAGTGGCCATAGGCTTTTATGTTTTACTTCTCAAACAACATCAAAATATCATCAGTGTATTACCTGCCACACTCCCTCCCCCTTTTCTGATAGAGAACATAAGACACTTGTGGTGGTAAAGACATCTGTTTTACACTCAAATAACAGATGGTACCGTTTGAACTCAACAGAAGTAGAGGAGAAATGGAATGTAAACTTACTCGCACAATTAGAAACTATTTAACTGATGTTTTGCATATTTGGATTTTGCAGATTGCTTCGTAAGTGATATACCTTAAATTGAAATGCTCTAAGACATTTATCATTTCAATTTCTGCTAATTTATTTTTCTACACTAAAGGCAAGTTTCTGTTCTTTAATCATTAGCTATCTTCCTTCCCCTCACCATACAACCTCTTCAGTAATTGGCAATGGAATTGGTATTATGGAAGCAAGTTAAACAGATGTAGCTCCTACCTCTGTGACTTACATTCTAAAAGTAGCATTTCACAGGACTACCACAGTTGAACAAAAATAAAAAACACAAGGAACAATGTCATAAAAAATGTTTTACCAGCTGTTCCTACCACACCTCTGTTTTCTTTTTTCTTTTTAGTGAACTATAATTATATGCAGTAAAATGTTCTAGTCTTATGTGTACAATTTGGTAAGTTTTGACAATAAGTACACCTACATAACCAACACTCCAGTCAAGATATAGAATCTTCCATCACTCCAGAAAGTTTCTTTGTAACCCTTCTAAATTAATTCTCCTCTCTGCCAGGCAAACACTATTCTGATTTCTATCACCATAGATTAATTTTGTCTGTTCTAGAACTTCATATTCATGGAATCATTGGGCATATACTCCTTGGTGTCTGATTTCTTTCACTCAGTATAATAAGATTCACCCATGTTGTTGCATGCATTAATAGTTCATCTTTTTTGCTGAGTAGTATTTCATAGTGTAGATATAGATATACCATAATTTGTTTTCCATTCTCCTATTGATGGGCAACTGGTGTGTTTGTGGTTTTTGGCTATTATGAATAAAGCCGCAATAAACACTCTTAATTGAGAGTTTCTGAGGGCATATGTTTTTGTTTGTTCAGTGCCTGGGCATTGCTGGATCACATGGCATTTTTATGTTCAATTTTATTAAGAAACTGCCATATGGATCTATCATATTACATTCCATGAGTAATGTATGAGAGTTCCCGTTGTTCTGAATCCTTGCCAATGTTTGTTTGGTATTGTTAGTTTTTGAATTTTAAATTTAAATTTTATGCTAAAAAGTTAAATTTAAAATTTAGTGAATATGTAGTGACTATGTCATGTGTCTCACTGGTTTTCATTTGCATTTATGTGATGACTAACAATGTTTGAGCATCTTTTCATGCATTTATTGGCTGTTCATATGAATTATTTTTGATATGTCTATTTGAATCTTTTATTCATTTTTTATTGAATTGTTTGTTTTTCTTGTAATTGATTTGCAGGAGTTCTTTACACATTCTGGATACAAGTTGGATATATGTATTGTTAATTTTTTCTCTAAGACTGTCTGATATTTTCATTTTCTTAATGGTATCTTTTGATGAGTAGAAGTTTCAAATTTGCATGAAGTTTCCATTTATTATTTTTTTCTTTTTTTTTCTGAAAAATAATAAATAAATAAACAAATAAATAAATTTCTGCTTCCTCACATCTTTTTATTTATTTATTTATTTATTTATTTTTATTATACTTTATGTTTTAGGGTACATGTGCACATTGTGCAGGTTAGTTACATATGTATACATGTGCCATGCTGGTGCGCTGCACCCACTAACTCGTCATCTAGCATTAGGTATATCTCCCAATGCTATCCCTCCCCCCTCCCCCCACCCCACCACAGTCCCCAGAGTGTGATATTCCCCTTCCTGTGTCCATGTGCTCTCATTGTTCAATTCCCACCTATGAGTGAGAATATGCGGTGTTTGGTTTTTTGTTCTTGTGATAGTTTACTGAGAATGATGATTTCCAATTTCATCCATGTCCCTACAAAGGACATGAACTCATCATTTTTTATGGCTGCATAGTATTCCATGGTGTATATGTGCCACAGTTTCTTAATCCAGTCTATCATTGTTGGACATTTGGGTTGGTTCCAAGTCTTTGCTATTGTGAATAATGCCGCAATAAACATACGTGTGCATGTGTCTTTATAGCAGCATGATTTATAGTCCTTTGGGTATATACCCAGTAATGGGATGGCTGGGTCAAATGGTATTTCTAGTTCTAGATCCCTGAGGAATCGCCACACTGACTTCCACAATGGTTGAACTAGTTTACAGTCCCACCAACAGTGTAAAAGTGTTCCTATTTCTCCACATCCTCTCCAGCACCTGTTGTTTCCTGACTTTTTAATGATTGCCATTCTAACTGGTGTGAGATGGTATCTCATTGTGGTTTTGATTTGCATTTCTCTGATGGCCAGTGATGATGAGCATTTTTTCATGTGTTTTTTGGCTGCATAAATGTCTTCTTTTGAGAAGTGTCTGTTCATGTCCTTTGCCCACTTTTTGATGGGGTTGTTTGTTAAAGAAGCAATGGGGAAAGGATTCCCTATTTAATAAATGGTGCTGGGAAAACTGGCTAGCCATATGTAGAAAGCTGAAACTGGATCCCTTCCTTACACCTTATACAAAAATCAATTCAAGATGGATTAAAGACTTAAACGTTAGACCTAAAACCATAAAAACCCTAGAAGAAAACCTAGGCATTACCATTCAGGACATAGGCATGGGCAAGGACTTCATGTCCAAAACACCAAAAGCAGTGGCAACAGAAGACAAAATTGACAAATGGGATCTAATTAAACTAAAGAGCTTCTGCACAGCAAAAGAAACTACCATCAGAGTGAACAGGCAACCTACAAAATGGGAGAAAATTTTCACAACCTACTCATCTGACAAAGGGCTAATATCCAGAATCTATAATGAACTCAAACAAATTTACAAGAAAAAACAAACAACCCCATTAAAAAGTGGGCGAAGGATATTTTTTTCTTTTAAGGGTAGGGCTTTTTGCATTCAGTTTAAATACTCTTTGCCTTTTTTCTAGTAGCTTTATTGTTTAGCCTTTAATTTCAGGTCTCCAATCCATCTTGAGATAGTTTCTGTATGGTGCACAAAGTTCATCATTTTTTATATGGTTATTGTCTCAGTCCATTCAGGCTGCTAGAACAAAATAGCATAGACTGAGTGGCTTATAAACAACAGAGATTTATTTCCCATAGTTTTAGAGACAGGGAAGTCCAAGATCAAGGCACCGGCAGACTAAATGTCTGGTGAGACATCCGCTTCCTCACAGATGGCTCCTTCTTGCTGTAACATCACATGGCTAAAAGGGTGAGGTATCTCTCTAGGGTCTTTTATGAAGGTGCTAATCCCATTTATGAGAATTCCACCTTCACGACCTAATCACCTTCCAAAAGGTCTATCATTTAATACCATTATCTTGGGGGTTGGGATTTTAGCATATTAATTTTGAGAGGACACAAACATTAAGATCATAACAGACACCCACTTGTTCCAGTGCCATTTGTTGAAAGTACTTTCTGCACTCAGTTGTTCTGGAACCTTTGTCAAGAATTATTTGATCATGGTGTGTGGCTCTTTCTTCTCTCTATGCTATTTTGGTGATATATCTGTAGATTATATGCCAATGCCACATTGTGTTGATTGCTGTAACTTTATAGTAAGTCTTGGAGTCAGGAATATAAGTTCTCTAGCTTGGTTTTTCTTTTTCAGGAATTTTGGTTCTTTGTATTTCTGTATAAAGTTTAAAATTAGCTTGCAATTTCTATAAAAAATGGGCTGGGTTTTAAGTTATGATTTCTTTGAATCTGTAGGTCAATTCAGAAAGGATTGACAACAATACTGAGTTTTTCAATCAATGCACGTGTTGTAGCTTTCCATTTACTCAAGTGTTCCTTAATTTTTCTCAGAATGTTTTACCATTTTCATGCTATAGGTGCTTTATACCTTTTATTACATTTATTCCTAGGTACTTCAAGTTTCTGATGCTATTGTAAATCTACCACACTTCTTTAGAATGTATTTTCTCCATTTCTTGAGGTGAGTTTAGAATGTTTGGAGCCCTTTGGCTCCAAGTTTGAATTCCTGTCCTGTCACTTGTTAGCTGTGTAAATTAGCCAAGTCACTTAAACTCTATAAGCCTTAATTTCTCTGTCGGTAGATTGGGGATAATCATATTGATCTTGTCTAGTTGGTATGAATATTATCCAACAGAACACAATGTTACCAGAACTTGAATAACAATGTGTGGATAACAGTCTCCCTTAAAAAAATTAAAGTAATTTTATTTTGGGATAGATAATACATATAAGCCATAAAATATTTGAAAATATTAAAGGGCATATGATAAAAAGTAAGTCTCCTTCCTATTTCTGACCCTCATTTCTCCAGTTCTCCTCCTCAGAGGCCACCATTGTTACCATTGTTTGGTATATATGCAAAGCTATGCTATCTAAATGAAAATATATATTGATATACATTCCTTTTAGAAGTACAAGTGTTAGCATACTGTTAGTATTGTTTAGCACCTTGGAATTTATAAATGTTAACTGTATATCTTGGAGGAGATTATATGGACTTATTTAAAAGAAAATTCCCATGGGTATTTTCTAACACTATTTTTTAAGATTATAATGTTATCTAGATGATGGGATTCATAAGTCTCAGCCTTTTCTTCCCCTGCTCAATAAAGTGTCAACCTGGTCTCTGCCCTTTTAAAACAATTCTGATTCTCCAATGTGCGTACCTTGTCTCCCAACCCTTACCAGAGTGAATCATGGAGAAAAATGTTCTCAGGGTGGGAGAAACTGTGTGTTCAGCATTCACTTCAGGAGTCTAGAATAGTGGTGGTGAGGGATGAAACTAGCTGAAAAACTTTAGGAGAAAGGGCTAAATGCAGAGGAAATGGGAGAAGAGGTGATTGTGAAAGGTTTTGGAGATGAACTCATGAATAGAAGGGAGAAATGTCTTCCGAGGTGGTAAAGTGAGAACTTCACCAGTTTTGAGATATTAGTGAATAGGAGAAGCCAAGAAATTTAAAAATAAGTGTAGAGAAGTTCTTTGTGGATATCTTTTAAGTTTTTCAAGAGCCTTGGGCAAAGACTGGAATGAATATTTGCACTGGGATTCTTTGAGTGTGGTATGCTCTGAGGCTGAATCACATAGGATGCAGCTTTCACAGGATTACACTTAAGCATATACAAATAAAAGTAGATGTAGACCAACACAAGTAGATATAGACCAATACAATTTAAATTAATAGTTTTAAATAAACTGGGTGGATCAAGTTTTGCTGTAATCAATTTACTGATGTTGTATATAATAGCTGAAAGACATATTGGAATGACAGGTTTTACTTGATTTGATTCTTTATATTTAAAGCATAACAGATCATCACTTAGGTCATTATAGTTGTTGTCATTATTTTTCCTATTTAATAATAAACTTAATTCATTGTTTTGATGTGATAATCAATTTGGGTTGAACCTCAAAATACAATAGTGAAAAATTGAAAAGAATTGGTGTTGGCTGGGCACTGTGGCTCATGCCTGTAATCCCAGCACTTTGGGAGCTGAGGTGGGCAGATCACTTGAGGCCAGGAAATTGGAGACCAGCCTGGCCAACCTGGAGAAACCTCATCTCTACTAAAAATACAAAAAATTAGCTGGGCATGCTGGCGTATGCCTGTAGTCCCAGCTACTTGGGAGGCCGAGGCAGGAGAATCGCTTGAACCCGGGAGGTGGAAGTTGCAGTGAGCCAAGGTTGCACCATTGCACTCCAGCCTGGGCAAGAGACCAAGACTCTGTCTTGAGAAAAAAAAAAAAGAATTGGTTTAACAAAAAAGTCTTTATTTTTTTTATTTCATTTAATACTAAATGTTGTAAATTGGTATGAACAAAAAGAAAACTCGAGCAACATATCATTCCTAAGCATGAATCTGTGAACACTGACAGCTTTGACTCTATTACTGTTGAGTGATATTTCAACTCTACCACCATTTTTCTCTTTTAAATTGCTTCAAAATTTTTTGTTTCTACAGTGCCCTGTGAGGCTGTTTATCCTTTATTGAGAAAGTCCAATGAATTCTTCTGTTTTCATATTAACTCTTGACTATTAATGTCATACTTTATTCGATTACACTATGAAAATTTTATTATGTTAAACAAAGTCTTAGTTTCTAAAAAACAAGCACTCTAGAAACAAATGTCCGATTCTATGAACATGTCTTTCAAGCACAAATTATTACCACAATATAAAGTTTTGCCTTTCTCCTTAGTACAAGAATTAAGGATGACTTCAAAAGGCAGATGTGGGCTGATTGCTGTCATTGGAACATTAAGGGCACGCCAACCCAGAGGAAGCCAGATGTGCTTATCAACACACTGCAAGCTAAACACTGTTAACTCTGGGAAATTGCTTGGAGGCCAAAGTGATGGTGAAAAAACAAAAGATCTGAAAATAAGAGATAGTTTCTGGTTTAAAGAGGACACTCTGATCTAAAATGTGGCATACTAAAATTTTATACATTATTATTTTAAATAAAACACAAAACTAAATTTTTCCAGACTTTGCAGACCCTTTATAACGTGTCCAAGGAGGTCCTAAGATAACAGTTTGAGAATCTCAGACACAATGTTTTTAAAGCATCTAGTTTTCTGCTTGGTACTTAGTAGGCATGTATCAATTAATGCTGTTATAGTTTGAATATAGGTGTTTTCTTAATCATTTGTTGAATGTCTACTTATGCCTAGTAATGGGAGGGGGTTACAGAATATTCAAGAAGACACATTAGCCACTGAATTTGGGTCCAGTAAAATACAAAGGTAATAGTTTTAGGACCATGGATTCATTTATTTATTTATTCACGTGTTTACTATACACTAGCCACTGTGCTAAGTGTTGGACATAAAACAACTAAGTAAACATGAAAATACAATTATGAATTATGATACATCCAATGAAAGAAATGATCAGAATATAACAGTAGAGAAAATCACTTAGATTTGTGTTAGGGAAGGTCTTTGTGAGGAGGGAGTATTTTACCCAGCACAAAACAGTATTTTGCAAATTAAAAGAAGTGTTCAGGGAAACCCGAAGTAAGATTGTTCGCAGTTAAGTGGGGTTAAGCTGGAAAGCTTCAGAGGAGCTAATTTCTGAAATAGACCTTTGAGTGATAGGGGTGGTTTTGTGGAAGATAGGGGGAGAGAAGGAATAAGTGTGTAGTTCAGTAAGCTTAGGAAATGGTAGCTAAAAGGCAGAAAGAGTTGATTAGCATATAAATATTAGGGAAGCCAGCTGGCATGTTGGCTCATGCCTATAATTCCAGCACTTTGAGAGGCCAAGACGAGAGGATCGCTTGAGGCCAGGAGTTTGAGACTAGCCTCAGTGACATAGCGAGATCCCATCTCTGCAAAAAATTTGTAAAAATCCATAGGGAATGGGCAAAAGATGGAGATAGCTTACTAGGCAAAGGTTATGATAAAGTATCTGATAGTGCTTGGTTCACAGAGGGGGTTCATTCAGATGGATGAAAAAAATTTCCAAACCAATATAAAGGCTTAATGATAGGCCCTGATATTTTTTCTTTCTCCCTAAAAGTTTTATTGTTAGCAATGCTTTAAAAAATTTACTCAAGTCTCACAGTCATATATTGATGTTATGTGTTCTGTAGGACTTATTTATAGATGAGATATTCTTTTACAAGATCATTTTCGAACATCGGTATGGAAATAAATTCCTTTGGGTGGAGACCAAGATATGCCTCATGGGATGCCAACTTCTGAATATATTACCACGATGGTCACATTTTCAAGAGAAAAATGATTCTTTATGCATATCATTTTTACTTCAGGCTACTATTTTGTGGATCATATGTCTCATTTGTGAAAATGAGAATAATTATACATAGCAATTAAAATATGTTGACCTCTTGAAAATATCAACTCAAGTAGTATTTATAATCTTTCCCAAACCATAAACATCATTCATTATTCAGTCATAAAACTAAATGTAATTGAAATGGTGAAATAGCCCATGTGTCTCATAAAATCAGTTTTTATAAGCCTGTTATCTTAGGGACAAATGCAATGACCCAATAAACTCAATGTGTAGGATTTTCTTGAGGTGCATATTTTATTTGCATCACTTTATCTTTTAAGTTCTTCTACTAACCTGTTCAGCTGCTATTGAATAAAGAGAGTATATATGACATCTAGAGTTCTACATCTCACAGGCACTAGGAGTACAATTATTCATTCAAGAGCATTTTGCTCCCCTGATGGGTCTAATATATTTTCCCCTCCAGATGTAGTTAATATTCTTATAAGCTGCAACTATGTGCCCCAAAATATGAATTGCTGATATTGGTAACTGCATTCAGGATGATCTAAAAGGTATGATATGAATAGTTAATTAATTACAATGCAGTGACCTCTTTATCGGTGAAAAACCACAATGTGGTTTAGTGATGAAAAACTTTAGTGATGAAAAACCACAACATGGAGACATCAAATTTCAACAAGATGTCTGGTGAACTTGGAACTCTCCATAGTACCATAGCATTAAAGCCAAAGCTAATATGCCTGAGAGTTTGGGGTAGTGCTGATTGGGATAGGCACGTGACTAAAGAAACTGCAGGTTTGCTTCAGTCAAACTCTGCAAAGCCACATCTTCAACCCAATCACGCTTACTTGAAAAGGAGACAGAGCCAGAAAAAAAATGTGACCTAAAAATTGGGTATGATTTCAATGGATATCTAAAAAGCTACTCTTAAGAGCTTCTATTTCTCAAAATTGTACAATTGTCACATCCATTTCCTTTCTCATATGAGTGAAGTGTTATAGAATTTATTTTTCCAAACAGAAGAATTTGGGAATGAAGGCAGTATACCCCATACATTAGCTAATTTATTATAAAAGTCTTCCAGTGGGGTCTTTATCGAGGTCGGTGGTTTTCTTTTTGACCTGGAAGTGAGGGTTTGAACAGAACTGTTAGCATCAGAAGATTTATCATCCTTAAAAAGTTGACTCTTCCCAAGACCTTTGGATGACTATATCATTTATCACTTATTCTAAAATGAAGTGACGATACTTTTAAAATGCTTAGCCTGGCTTTGGAGAGCTTGGGTAAGTTCTGCTTTTCAAGTGGAAAAACAGCTTCCTTGAAATAACTGCCTGGATTCCTTTACCTCATTGAATAAAGTGCTTTTAGAGTTTTTGCCTTCCAAATTCTTGCTCCATCCATTTTAGAGTTTTGAAATGTAGAACTCACTCTTATGGCATGCTTACTGTTCATGAAACCACTCGATAAAAATGCTAAAGTCAATCTTTTTTAAAAAATGTGACTTTAGAAGTTACGGGTAACTTGATGTAATTGAACTGTAGGGGACATGAAAGAATCAGATAGCAGCGATTCTACCTGCTGAGTGTCTTGGCCAAGCAACCTTTTCTTGATAAAGGAAGTATTTTATCTAAGCCCTTCAATGTGATGCCATTTGTAGTGGAATGCAGGGGAAATTCATGGGGCAAAAATACTTCTAAATAATTTAATGGATTCCTCCAGGCAACACAAAGTCTAGAAAATATTCCTTTTCTCAGCTAAAGTCATGAACATTACTATCACCCCCCCCCGCGCCCCGTCCAAACTGAACAGCATTTAAAAGGAGGAATACACCAGTTTTCTGAGTCAGGGGTAAGAAACAGATAGTTTCTTTTACTTTTTATGTATTACTCAAAATTTATTCATTAGCAAAATTTAGTCATTAGCAAGGAGTTTAACACCTTGTCCTTTTCCTTGTTCTAGGTAGACTTAGCTAGGCTCATTCCAACCCAAAACATAATCGGGGTTCCATAAACATAGAAAAGGAAGAAAGGGATATTGAGTCAATGAACAGCAGATTCTGCTGCAGTATTCCATACACCAGCATGTGGAGCCTCACGCTGTAGTACGGAAATGGTGAAAAGCTCAATATTATGGGAGAGGAGTGTCCTTGTTCTTTGGATATGAATGCAAGGAGATAAAATAGAGCAGTAGGTTGGAGCCAGGATTGCAAATAACCGCATGTGGCATGCTGCCTGTCTCCTGTCTGCTTAAAGCCCATAGAACTCTTTAAGCAGAGGAGAGACATTCTTTCGTAGGAAGGACGAATTGGAGTGGGGAGAAATAAAGGGCAGGGTCATTGTAATCTAGGTAAAGAGATCATTCAATCTTCAATTAAGCCAATTAACTTTCCAGTTGGTGCTTAAAGCTGTTTGGGAGTTTTGTGATAGCGAAATATCTTCTATCTCCAAAGACAAAAATATCATTCTTATATCTCACCTTCTCTTAGTAAAATGGGATGGTTTTGGCAATTTACAGGCTTTGTTTTTTTAGGACAATGCACGTTTTCCTAAAAGTGACCATGATTTTTAGTTTAGCTTTGAATAAAATTTTGTAAGTTTATAACAGATGACCTCATCTCATGATCTCATGAGGCTTGACTAGGATTTATTCATTTATCCATCCATCTATTCATTCATGAAACATTTTTTTGAGCAGTGGTCAGACACTGTGCAAGACAACGTGAGTGAGGCATGCAGCCTTCCCTCAAGGGGCACACAATAGACAGGAACATGTAAACACAACATTGCAAAGTCATGTTATAAATGAAGTTGTGGCAGCCAGAGGGAGGCATTCTTTTGAAAATATTGCAGGAAACAATAGAACTTACATGCAGTAAGTCTACTCCCCATAATTATAGAATGGCTTAAATGAAGAGTCATAATATGTCAAAGATCCAAAAATGTCTTCGTATATGAAACACAAATGTAAAATAAACTCACCCTTAGGCTAGAGGTTTGCAAATCACAGCTCATCAACCAAAACTGATCCATCACCTGTTTTTGCAGACAAACTTTTATTGAAACACAGCCATGCTCATTTGTTTACATATTGTCTATGGCTGCTTTTTCACTACAACAGAGTTGAGTAGTGACAGAGACCATATGGCACTTGAAGGCTAAAATATTTACTATCCAGCCTTTTAGAGAAAATGTTTGTTGATGTCATCTCTAGACAGACACGACCCCATCCTCTTCTAGGCTCTTGTGACCCTCCATGCCTCTATGTTAAAAATAGGTGTCCTTGTCTGTGTCCTTCGCCAGAGTTTGCCTTATTTCTTCAGTGTTTAGGCCAGTGTGTGGCTGGAGTTTTGGCTTGAAGGGCTAGTGACTGCTTTTCACAGAGTACACTTGGCACAGAGTGGAAAAGGAGAAAAAGTCTCTTGTGTGAACCAGCCTAAAGGTTTTCTACTAGTGATGATGTCACTTGTTTCCTATGACCCTCCAGCCAGCTTTCTCCACATCCGGACCATTTGGTGGATTCAGAGGTACTGTGAGAAATATAAACTTTAATTTATATGAATATTTTTGCTTGGTTATTCTTTAAGGTTTAGATACCTGGCCCATTTTTTTCTCTAGCCCTTGATGCTATCTGATATGGTTGAGCACACCTGATCCTCCTTGGAAGGGTGGCACCAAGGCCGAGGAATTTTAAATTGTAGCGTGAAGGGATTTTGACCTGAAAACACCTAGGAGAACAGAGTGGAAGTCACCTTTATACTTCTCAGAATGTAGTAGGTAATTTTTTATTCGCCTGCTCAGCATACAGTTGGGGAGCCATGTGGTCCAGACAGGGTGACCCATGCCTTGATTCTGAGTGGTCACATGGCCCAGGCCTGAACTAGGAGAGTCTTATGCAGGACTCTGGGGATTGCTCAGGAAAAATGCTTTCTTCTCCACTATGCTTATGAAAGTGGTAGAAAGATCTGAAACTGCCAGAGGCCATCTTTGCCACCATGTCAGGAAAGACCACTTACAGGGAAGCAGAGCCTAGTGATCTCACCTTCCAATATCTGGTCACATGGATTGAGCAGCATAGCCATTTATACCTCTAGCATGCCTGAGAAGTACAGAGAAAAGATAAATGGGAAAAGAAAAAAGGGACAGAGAGAGACCGGGTAGAAGAAAGATTCCTATTCACTGTTATACCCAGGTGAATTTATTTGGGGGAATAAAATAATAATAATATCCACCTTGCAGGATTAGAGGAAATAGTTAAGTCCCTAAGGTAGAAGCTGTACACCTATTGTTATTTGATAGTTTGCCACCTGAAGAGGTAAAGAGACCTAAGCTATTTAAGGTTTTAAATCATCCCTGAAGCATCCCATTCTTCTAGAGTTGATTTTTCTCCTTCTGTAAAATGAGGGGTTCACACTCGATCATATCTTAAGGCGTCGTCCAGTTCTGGTCTTCACAGAATGCTTCTTCCCTTGGTACACTCCAGTGTACGCATGAATAATTGAGGTGCAGTGACAGCAGATGTCCGCCAGAGATCACTGCAGAACGTGGTTGATTCCTTCCTGCATCCGCCTTCATTTGGAACGTCAGCAGTTAACACGAGAGACTGTTTAGCAACTGTACCTATCACAACATTAGGCTTGCAAGTTGGAAAACCATGCACAGGCACCACTGCATGTCCCTGGACAGGTCACGTGCTACATCTTTGCGTTCCTTGTAACTCGGAAGTAACGGTACCTTTTACTTTCTTGCTTCCCAGTAATCTACCATGTAAAATAAATTTTATTCATTACAGATTTTTCCTTCTAAGTACAATTTCCCTAGGCATTTTCCGTCTTTGAGGAGCGGTATCGTGGTTAATTATGGAAAACTAAAAATCTTGAGCCTCTAAGGAAAAAATAAACACAAGCATTTCAGCAGAAGCTTGACCTGTTTCTCTTTCCTTGTCTGGTCTGCTATGCTCTGGGACCTGTCCTCTCAAAGCCACCACTGCTAAGGAGATACCTTGCTTTGCTGAGGACCCTAGGGTTCTGCTCAGAGACTGTTGTAGAAACGCCAGTGGTCCACTATAGCTTGTAATTTCACTGGCCATGTGAGTTCTCACCTTAGGCATAAGGATCTGGGAAAGGTGGTGATCGGGATAGGCACATGACTAAAGAAACAGCAGGTTTGCTTCAGTCAAACTCTGCAAAGCCACATCTTCAACCCAATCACTCTTACTTGAAAAGGAGACAGAGCCAGAAAAAAAATGTGACCTAAAAATTGGGTATGATTTCAATGGATATCTAAAAAGCTACTCTTAAGAGCTTCTATTTCTCAAAATTGTACAATTGTCACATCCATTTCCTTTCTCATATGAGTGAAGTGTTATAGAATTTATTTTTCCAAACAGAAGAATTTGGGAATGAAGGCAGTATACCCCATACATTGGCTAATTTATTATAAAAGTCTTCCAGTGGGGTCTTTATCAAGGCCGTGGTTTTCTTTTTGACCTGGAAGTGAGGGTTTGAACAGAACTATTGGCGTCAGAAGATTTATATACGCGTCTTGAGTATCTTTATACCTATGGTGCTCTTCTCCCCAGTGAAAACTAATTTTACTCTTAGGTAGAAATATTTAATAAAAATAGAAACATTTAATACAAATGTTTAATAAAAATCTTCCATTATGATAAAATTTCTAGTGCATGTTTCAAAGTTCACGGTGATTAGGATTTTTAATCGTTAGTCACAGGTAAGGGAATTTACTTTCTGCACAAAACAGCTGAATTCAACTTGATTTACAGATAGGTTTAGTTTTTTCTTATAGTTATACAGTTTGATTTTATATTAAAAAGTACATATTTTGAAATGTGTCTTTGTTAACACATATAAATCTGGTTCCCTTTTTTTGGAGGGGGGCAGGATACATGTGCAGAACGTGCAGGTTTGTTACATAGGTATACACGTGCCACGGTGGTTTGCTGCACCCGTCAACCCATCATCTACATTAGGTATTTCTCCTAATGCTATCCCTCCCCTAGCCCCCCACCCCCCGACAGGCCCCGGTGTGTGATGTTCCCCTCCCTGTGTCCATGTGTTCTCATTGTTCAACTCCCAGGAATCTCCCACTTACTGAAAAGAAACAGAGACCTTGAGGAGATAGTTCATTTTCAAAGTGAACGCTAAGGCAGAAAAATGAGCCTAAAGTCCTGCGAAAAGGTGCGGGGTGCTGAAGAATATTCTAACATCTGAGTTAATAAGACTTAATAAGGGATCAGTTTGAAAGTGAGCTATCTCCTCAAGGTCTCTCTTTCTCTTCAGTAAGTGGAAGATTCCTCAAGGATTCATAGCTGTTATGATGCCAAGCTGTTAAAGTTTTTCCTTAAAATCCAGACATTCAGCTCCAGGCTTTGCAAGTGACAACCCTTAGTGAGGTGAGAGAGTGCCATTCTACTGAGTCGCTTGGTGCCCTTCCTTTTAGGTGCTACAGGTGTACTCCCTCTGCCTTGAGGGATCTGCAGGCATTACCCCTAGCTAGCAGTCCTTTCCCACACACCAATGTGTGTAGAACAACTGCAACAGTCTATCCTTTTGTTTGCTTAAATTTCAATACTATAACTTAGGGTCTTATGATTAACTACTAAAGTAAGTTTTAAAAACCACTAAAAGATATTAAACTTTTGAAAGACATATTTTATTGTAACTTGTTTGAGCCCATGGTACCTGGATTCTACCTAGATTGATGGATGATGACGAACTGCAGGGAACAAATGAAGGGGCCCTACTGTTAACTCTGTATTCACAATAGGCTTGCCACTTCCCCCAGAACTTCCAGGAGCTTCGCTCTGTTTTCTGAAGTGATACTAACTGCCATATCCTGTTTTTTCCTCATGGAAAAAAGTTAACAAGGGCCCGCACATTTTTTTTTTTTTTTTGAGACAGAGTCTTGCTCTGTCACCCAGGCTGGAGTGCAGTGGCGTGATCTCGGCTCACTGCAACCTCTGCCTCCCAGGTTCAAGCGATTCTTCTGCCTCAGCCTCTTCAGTATCTGGAACTACAGGGGCATGCCACCATGCCTGGCTAATTTTTTTTTTTTTTGTATTTTTAGTAGAGACGGGGTTTCGCCGTATTGGCAACACTGGTCTCGAACTCCTGACCTCGTGATCCACCTGTCTTGGCCTCCCAAAGTGCAGGGATTATAGGCATGAGCCACCGTGCCTGGCCTGCACTCTTTAACATGCTAAAGAGGTACTTCATGGTTTATTGCATTAGTTATCTATTGCTGTGTAACAAATGATCCTGAAACTTAGCAGCTGAAAACAACAGACATTTGTTCTTTCACATGGTTCTGAATATTAGGAATCCAGTTGTGGCTTAGCTGGGTGGATCTGGCTTAGAGTCTCTCACAAGATTGCAGTTAAGCTATTGGCCAGGGCTGCTTTCTTCTCAAGGTTTGACTGGGGCTGTAGAATCTGCTTCTATGCTTACTCATGTAGTTCCTTGCTGACTGTTGATTATGTGGACCTCTACTTAGGGCTGTTCAAAACATGGCAGCTTGCTTTTCTGAGTGAGTGTTGTAAAAGAGAGGAAAGTGAGAAAGTGGCCAAGATAGATGCCATAGTTGTTATAACCTAATCTCGAGAGTGCCACACCATCAATTCTGTTGTATGCTGTTGGTCACACAGACTGACCCTGGTACAATTGGGAGGGGACTACACAAGGGTGTGAATACCAGGAGGTAGGGATCATTGATTGCCATCTTGGAGGCTGGTTATTACACAGTTTCTTGTCTGGCCAGTCCTCTTTTCCAGGACCCCACACTCTCTGGCCTTTTTGTTTCTTTAATGTGCCATGCTCACCCTAGCCACAGTGCCTTAATACATATGGTGCCATCTGCCCATGAAACTCCATTCCCTTCCTCACCTGCTTAGTTGCTGCTCCCCATCAGCTCTCAGCTCAACCATCTATTTCCCGGAGAAACCTTCTCTGACTCTTTCTCCATATTCTTCCTTTGCTTTTAACATTGTTGTAATTTTACATTGGCTGTTTATTTCATTAGTGTTTTTCTCTACTTACTCTCTGGGTTGTAAACTCCAAGTTTACATTAGTTTTTGCCTATGAATATATTCCTGGCTCAGTGGCTGATGCAAGATAGACGTGATGAATGGATAAATGAAGAAATGAAGAAAGTCAAGGTCAGCATATGGAGAAGGTATGTGAGAGGGAGTCCAGGTGTGTAAAGATAATGAGTGTGTGAGCTGAAATTATATGAGGGGAGGAAGTGGCTATTTTTCCTTCCTCCAACGTTCTCTATTCCTCTCCTTTTATCTATACTCCCCACCTGCTCTTCCTTTTCTCCTCCATGTCTCTTTCTTTTGCTTGTCTATCCCAGTTTGTCCTGTCTCTCATCTTCTCACTGATAGTAATTGGAGAAGGGGAATCACATGTTGGAACAAGAGAATGAGATATGAAGTGAGCTGCACAATAGCAGTAAATGTTTTTTATAACATAGTCCTGGGCAAGTACAGGAAGCTGAGGCAAAAGTCTTCAGCTGTTGCAGAAGTGAGGTAATTGGGACAGAGCATCCCGGTGTGTTCATTCAATCATATACTCATTTTACTCACATTCAGCAAGAAGATTTTACCTATTGGAGAATGGGCTGGGTGTTGGGGATATAAAGACTTCAGGTTGCAGGATTCCTGTCGTCAAGGAGCTCACTGACATCAAGGCGCTCACTGTCTAGCACCTGGGTACTCAAAGTGTGATCATCAATGCAGCATCAATGTCATCTGGGAGGTTGTTGGAACTGTAGGCTTGTAGGCCCCACCCAGATGTACTGAATCAGGATTTTTTTTTTTTTGAGACAGGGTCTCGCCCTGTCACCCAGTCTTGAGTGCAGTGGCATGATCACAGCTCACTGCAGCCTCAAAAACCTGGGCTCAAGCAGTCCTCCTGCCTCAGCCTCCTGAGTATCTGGGACTAAAGGGTGCATGCCACCATGCCTGGCTAATTATTATTCTTTTTTGTAGAGATGGAGTTTTGCTATGTTTCCCAGGCTGGTCTCAAACTTCTGGGCTTAAGTGATCTTCCTCCTTCGGCCTCCCAAAGTGTTGCAATTGCAGGCATGAGCCACTGTGCCTGGCCCAGGATTTTCATTTCAACCAGAAGCCCAGGTGATCTTTGTGTTCATTAAAGTTTAGGAAGTAGCTGGCTAGAAAACATAGGCAAGTGAAAAGCTGAGGACAACAGGTAAAGAAGTGTCAGGTCAGTCATAAACACGGGGTGCTGGAGGATCACATTGTAACACCATCTGACCCTTGTCTGCCGATGGCAGTTGATGGTGGCAGGGAGGGCAGGAAATTGCAAGGGAACAAGAATTTGAAAAGGGAAGGGTTCCATAGGGAGGAGTGGCATGCAGAGAAAGTAGAATATACAAAGGCCTGTTGGTGCTCAGAAGCATGGCCCTCTCAATTAGGTGCAAGTTATTCAACCTGGATAGAACTAGAATCTGAGGTGAGAAGTGACAAGAGATGAGGTTCAACACATGGATGGAAATAGATCACAAGGAGTTCACCATGTCCTCCTAACAAGGCCCAGCATTATTTTCACTTTATTTTTTTTCTTCCAACTTTTATTTTAGGCTTAGGGGGTACATGTGCAGGTTTGTTACATGGGTAAATTGTGTGTCACTGGGGTTTGTATACCAAATGATTTCATCACCCCGGTAGTGAGTATAGTACCTGATAGGTCCTTACCCTCCTCCCACTCTCTACCTTCAAGTAAGCTGTGATGTATATTGTTCCTATCTTTGTGTCTGTATGTCTTTAATGTTTAGCTCCCACTTATAAGTGAGAACATGATATATTTGTTTTTCTGTTCCCGTGTTAATTCACTTAGGATAAGGGCTTCCAGCAGCATCCATGTTGCTGCAAAGGACATAGTTTTGACATTATTTAAAGCACTGGAGGGTCATTGATTATTCTAGTTTGTATTGATGGAAGGTCATTCTTAAAGGAACAGGAGCAGAGCTAATGATACTATAATAATATTTATTGAGGACGTATTATATACCAGGTGCTGTGCCAAACATGTAAAATGCTTTGTGTAACCCTCCAACAAACCTATGAGGAAGATACTATGATAACTTCTAGGGGTTCAAAGGATGGTATTGCTACCCATTATGCACATGGAGGGCACAGGGAAAAAGTTCCTTTGATGCTGCAGAAAAAAGCAGACTAAAGTTGCTTTGTACTTGGAGTTTGAGCGTCCACATCACTCTTGTATCTCAGGGTTAACAGCCTTTGGAGAAGTGGAGCGATGAGAGCCAACACTTTTGTTGTCTTTTGTTTACTGTTTTCTGATAAAATTCTGTTTTGTTTGAAGAACATTCCCTTTTGCTTCCATGGCGTGGGTTAGGCATCATCAGCCAGCTTAGCACAGAGACCCCAGGCAATTGCAGGTGCTCTGTGGGTTACATTTAAAGCGAATTCCCTGAATAAACAGTTCAGTAAAAAACACCACGTGCCCAATCTCACAACCCATAAAGTCAAACCTGACTTTTGTGTCCTGTGGACAGCCATTTTTACCAGGGTTAGCAGTAGCCAGAATTAGGAGGCAGGGCACATTTGTCTTAGGGCTCCCGTCTGCCTCCCTTTCTTGGAAAATGATCAGGTTTAGTTGGATTTCTTTTCCTCATCAAAACATACCTGGCCTGTGTCCATTTTTTCAGGTTCCTCCCCTTCCTCAAGAAAATGTTCATGATGTATTAACTGGATTTTAATCCTTTAGAATGAGTTAGCCTGTTAGCAATATCATATCTCCCCAACAACAGATGCCTTGTCTTAGAGTGGCGCTAATGTGAAACATGGAAAACAAGATCAGAGAAGATTTTCTTCTTTGGGACGCCTTGTCTCCCTTTCCCATGACCCCTCTGGCCTGTTACATCAACGAAGATGGAAAAGGAAAGAGACAAAGTCTCTTTGCCTAACTGTTTTCAATTGTTATTTCTCATGGTTTTGCTTGTTTTTTGGCCAACACTGACTCTCCTTCTGGGTCATCTGTGTGACATACATCCCAATGGTTGGGCTCTCTACATGGGGCACCAATGGGTTCTTTCATGGGCACTGTACAGTTCCCTGATGTGCAGTTCACTGATGTGAACTTCACTGCACAGTTCTCTGATGTGGCAATCTGAACCCAGCACATTCTCTTGCATTTTTCCTTTTAGATACAGCAACTTGCTGCTGGCTTCCCTCTTGCCTTCTGGGGTTGGCCATATTCACTTGACCACCAAAATGGAGGGCAGCAAGGGGGCTAGCTAGCCCCTTGCCTGCTTCCTGGCATCTCCCTCCTGTTTTCTCTCCCCTGCTTGGGTAAACCAAAGATAGAAAAGCACATCTGCCTGAGCACATGTCCAGCCAATATTCAGATGCCAGTCTCTTCTCCTTGCATTCTTCTTGTACGCACATGCAACCAGTGGTCCTCTTTGTGCCTGTCTCTCATTTAGATTCAGAATTGGTGAGGATCTCCATGGAGGAAGTGAGGAAAAAGCTATTGTGTGCTCTGACTCAGTTACCACCTGCCCTCCCATCCCCCACCCTTCCGCAATCTTCTCCCATTGTAAGGGACAGTGGGAGAGGAATTGAAGACAGAGGGCAGCAAAAGCAGTTCAGCTCCATTTTAGGAAGCTCTGTGGGGAGGTGTCTGGTTCTAAGTATTTGTGGCTCTCTTTAGAATAGGGAGTAGTTAGCATTTTGGCTCCAGTGTTGATTTCTGGCCACAGAAAAACTCTTATTCAAGTTCCAACTATATAAGCATCACACAAAAGCTAGAAATAATAAACAATTGATGATTTGAGTAAAAAAAATTAAAGGTCTGTCTGTCAAAATCTGACTTTAACAATGACAAACTGGAAAAATGTTTGTAATGTGTATGCCAGACAAAGATTGTGATTCTTAGCATATAAAGAGCTGTTGTAAATCAATAAGAAAAAGAGGAACATTTCAATGGAAAAATATGAACAAAGGATAGTAACAGCAGGTAAGTAATAGGAAAAATATATAATATAAAATTGAAAATGAAAAAATACTTCATTCCTACCAATTACCAAAGAGATGAAAAATCCAATAACTTTGAAATGGATTTTTGCTTAGCAAACAAGAAAGTATGTAGTGTGGCCAAAGGTTAAGAAACAGATACTTTTGTATACTGTCAATTGATACATAAATTGATATAACCCTTTCAGAGAATAATTTGGCAAAAATATCAAAAGCTTTAAAATTTTGCATCCTTTTGGGGTCTGCAATTCTATTTTTATTACGAAAGAGGAAGCAAATGAATTTGAACATATATGAAGAAATAGCTACAAGGGTGTTCACTGTAGTACCTTTTTTGTGAAAACTTGGGAACCATTGAAATATCCAGCAAAAGATGATTGATTCGATAAATAATAAAATACTATGCAACTACTAAATATAATGCTATATGAAAATACATAATGACATGGGAAAGTATTCAAAAGTAGCTTATAAAACAGTATTATGACTTAATCATATTTTGTAAAAGAACTTTATATATGCATATGCATTGAAGAAAGAAGGAAACAATTTACTCCAAAATTTTTTTTTTTTGGTTTGTTTGTTTGTTTTTTCTTTTATTATTATACTTTAAGTTTTAGGGTACATGTGCACAACGTGCAGGTTAGTTACATATGTATACATGTGCCATGCTGGTGCGCTGCACCCACTAACTCATCATCTAGCATTAGGTATATCTCCCAGTGCTATCCCTCCCCCCTCCCCCCACCCCACAACAGTCCCCAGAGTGTGATGTTCCCCTTCCTGTGTCCATGTGATCTCATTGTTCAACTCCCACCTATGAGGGAGAATATGCGGTGTTTGGTTTTTTGTTCTTGCGATAGTTTACTGAGAATGATGATTTCCAATTTCATCCATGTCCCTACAAAGGACATGAACTCATCATTTTTATGGCTGCATAGTATTCCATGGTGTATATGTGCCACATTTCTTAATCCAGTCTATCATTGTTGGACATTTGGGTTGGTTCCAAGTCTTTGCTATTGTGAATAGTGCCGCAATAAACATACGTGTGCATGTGTCTTTATAGCAGCATGATTTATAGTCCTTTGGGTATATACCCAGTAATGGGACGGCTGGGTCAAATGGTATTTCTAGTTCTAGATCCCTGAGGCATCACCACACTGACTTCCACAATGGTTGAACTAGTTTACCGTCCCACCAACAGTGTAAAAGTGTTCCTATTTCTCCACATCCTCTCCAGCACCTGTTGTTTCCTGACTTTTTAATGATTGCCATTCTAACTGGTATGAGATGGTATCTCATTGTGGTTTTGATTTGCATTTCTCTGATGGCCAGTGATGATGAGCATTTTTTCATGTGTTTTTTGGCTGCATAAATGTCTTCTTTTGAGAAGTGTCTGTTCATGTCCTTTGCCCACTTTTTGATGGGGTTGTTTGTTTTTTTCTTGTAAATTTGTTTGAGTTCATTGTAGATTCTGGATATTAGCCCTTTGTCAGATGAGTAGGTTGCAAAAATTTTCTCCCATTTTGTAGGTTGCCTGTTCACTCTGATGGTAGTTTCTTTTGCTGTACAGAAGCTCTTTAGTTTAATTAGATCCCATTTGTCAATTTTGTCTTTTGTTGCCATTGCTTTTGGTGTTTTAGACATGAAGTCCTTGCCTATGCCTATGTCCTGAATGGTATTGCCTAGGTTTTCTTCTAGGGTTTTTATGGTTTTAGGTCTAATGTTTAAGTCTTTAATCCATCTTGAATTGATTTTTGTATAAGGTGTAAGGAAGGGATCCAGTTTCAGCTTTCTACATATGGCTAGCCAGTTTTCCCAGCACCATTTATTAAATAGGGAATCCTTTCCCCATTGCTTGTTTTTCTCAGGTTTGTCAAAGATCAGATAGTTGTAGATATGCGGCATTATTTCTGAGGGCTCTGTTCAGTTCCGTTGATCTATATCTCTGTTTTGGTACCAGTACCATGCTGTTTTGGTTAGTGTAGCCTTGTAGTATAGTTTGAAGTCAGGTAGTGTGATGCCTCCAGCTTTGTTCTTTTGGCTTAGGATTGACTTGGCGATGTGGGCTCTTTTTTGGTTCCATATGAACTTTAAAGTAGTTTTTTCCAATTCTGTGAAGAAAGGCATTGGTAGCTTGATGGAGATGGCATTGAATCTGTAAATTACCTTGGGCAGTATGGCCATTTTCACGATATTGATGCTTCCTACCCATGAGCATGGAATGTTCTTCCATTTGTTTGTGTCCTCTTTTATTTCATTGAGCAGTGGTTTGTAGTTCTCCTTGAAGAGGTCCTTCACATCCCTTGTAAGTTGAATTCCTAGGTATTTTATTCTCTTTGAAGCAATTGTGAATGGGAGTTCACTCATGATTTGGCTCTCTGTTTGTCTGTTGTTGGTGTATAAGAATGCTTGTGATTTTTGTACATTGATTTTGTATCCTGAGACTTTGCTGAGGTTGCTTATCAGCTTAAGGAGATTTTGGGCTGAGACAAGGGGGTTTTCTAGATGTACAATCATGTCGTCTGCAAACAGGGACAATTTGACTTCCTCTTTTCCTAATTGAATACCCTTTATTTCCTTCTCCTGCCTAATTGCCCTGGCCAGAACTTCCAACACTATGTTGAATAGGAGTGGTGAGAGAGGGCATCCCTGTCTTGTGCCAGTTTTCAAAGGGAATGCTTCCAGTTTTTGCCCATTCAGTATGATATTGGCTGTGGGTTTGTCATAGATAGCTCTTATTATTTTGAAATACGTCCCATCAATACCTAATTTATTGAGAGTTTTTAGCATGAAGGGTTGTTGAATTTTGTCAAAGACCTTTTCTGCATCTATTGAGATAATCATGTGGTTTTTGTCTTTGGCTCTGTTTATATGCTGGATTACATTTATTGATTTGCGTATATTGAACCAGCCTTGCATCCCAGGGATGAAGCCCACTTGATCATGGTGGATAAGCTTTTTGATGTGCTGCTGGATTCGTTTTGCCAGTATTTTATTGAGGATTTTTGCATCAATGTTCATCAAGGATATTGGCCTAAAATTCTCTTTTTTTGTTGTGTCTCTGCCAGGCTTTGGTATCAGAATGATGCTGGCCTCATAAAATGAGTTAGGGAGGATTCCCTCTTTTTCTATTGATTGGAATAGTTTCAGAAGGAATGGTACCAGTTCCTCCTTGTACCTCTGGTAGAATTCGGCTGTGAATCCATCTGGTCCTGGACTCTTTTTGGTTGGTAAGCTATTGATTATTGCCACAATTTCAGATCCTGTTATTGGTCTATTCAGAGATTCAACTTCTTCCTGGTTTAGTCTTGGGAGAGTGTGTGTGTTGAGGAATTTATCCATTTCTTCTAGATTTTCTAGTTTATTTGAGTAGAGTTGTTTGTAGTATTCTCTGATGGTAGTTTGTATTTCTGTGGGATCAGTGGTGATATACCCTTTATCATTTTTTATTGCGTCTATTTGATTCTTCTCTCTTTTTTTCTTTATTAGTCTTGCTAGTGGTCTATCTATTTTGTTGATCCTTTCAAAAAACCAGCTCCTGGATTCATTAA
This sequence comes from Homo sapiens, assembly GCF_000001405.40. Lineage (NCBI taxonomy): Eukaryota > Metazoa > Chordata > Mammalia > Primates > Hominidae > Homo > Homo sapiens. The sequence continues at coordinate 14,106,915 of NC_000023.11, forward strand.
TTTTTTGAAGGGTTTTTTGTGTCTCTATTTCCTTCAGTTCTGCTCTGATTTTAGTTATTTCTTGCCTTCTGCTAGCTTTTGAATGTGTTTGCTCTTGCTTTTCTAGTTCTTTTAATTGTGATGTTAGGGTGTCCATTTTGGATCTTTCCTGCTTTCTCTTGTGGGCGTTTAGTGCTATAAATTTCCCTCTACACACTGCTTTGAATGCGTCCCAGAGATTCTGGTATGTTGTGTCTTTGTTCTCGTTGGTTTCAAATAACATCTTTATTTCTGCCTTCATTTCGTTATGTACCCAGTAGTCATTCAGGAGCAGGTTGTTCAGTTTCCATGTAGTTGAGCGGTTGTGAGTGAGATTCTTAATCCTGAGTTATAGTTTGATTGCACTGTGGTCTGAGAGATAGTTTGTTATAATTTCTGTTCTTTTACATTTGCTGAGGAGAGCTTTACTTCCAAGTATGTGGTCAATTTTGGAATAGGTGTGGTGTGGTGCTGAAAAAAATGTATATTCTGTTGATTTGGGGTGGAGAGTTCTGTAGATGTCTATTAGGTCTGCTTGGTGCAGAGCTGAGTTCAATTCCTGGGTATCCTTGTTGACTTTCTGTCTCATTGATCTGTCTAATGTTGACAGTGGGGTGTTAAAGTCTCCCATTATTAATGTGTGGGAGTCTAAGTCTCTTTGTAGGTCACTCAGGACTTGCTTTATGAATCTGGGTGCTCCTGTATTGGGTGCATATATATTTAGGATAGTTAGCTCTTCTTGTTGAATTGATCCCTTTACCATTATGTAATGGCCTTCTTTGTCTCTTTTGATCTTTCTTGGTTTAAAGTCTGTTTTATCAGAGACTAGGATTGCAACCCCTGCCTTTTTTTGTTTTCCATTTGCTTGGTAGATCTTCCTCCATCCTTTTATTTTGAGCCTATGTGTGTCTCTGCACGTGAGATGGGTTTCCTGAATACAGCACACTGATGGGTCTTGACTCTTTATCCAATTTGCCAGTCTGTGTCTTTTAATTGGAGAATTTAGTCCATTTACATTTAAAGTTAATATTGTTATGTGTGAGTTTGATCCTGTCATTATGATGTTAGCTGGTTATTTTGTTCGCTAGTTGATGCAGTTTCTTCCTAGTCTCGATGGTCTTTACATTTTGGCATGATTTTGCAGCGGCTGGTACCGGTTGTTCCTTTCCATGTTTAGTGCTTCCTTCAGGAGCTCTTTTAGGGCAGGCCTGGTGGTGACAAAATCTCTCAGCATTTGCTTGTCTGTAAAGTATTTTATTTCTCCTTCACTTATGAAGCTTAGTTTGGCTGGATATGAAATTCTGGGTTGAAAATTCTTTTCTTTAAGAATGTTGAATATTGGCCCCCACTCTCTTCTGGCTTGTAGGGTTTCTGCCGAGAGATCCGCTGTTAGTCTGATGGGCCTCCCTTTGAGGGTAACCCGACCTTTCTCTCTGGCTGCCCTTAACATTTTTTCCTTCATTTCAACTTTGTTGAATCTGACAACTATGTGTCTTGGAGTTGCTCTTCTCGAGGAGTATCTTTGTGGTGTTCTCTGTATTTCCTGAATCTGAACGTTGGCCTGCCTTGCTAGGTTGGGGAAGTTCTCCTGGATAATATCCTGCAGAGTGTTTTCCAACTTGGTTCCATTCTCCCTGTCACTTTCAGGTACACCAATCAGATGTAGATTTGGTCTTTTCACATAGTCCCATATTTCTTGGAGGCTTTGCTCCTTTCTTTTTATTCTTTTTTCTCTAAACTTCCCTTCTCGCTTCATTTCATTCATTTCATCTTCCATCGCTGATACCCTTTCTTCCAGTTGATCGCATCGGCTCCTGAGGCTTCTGCATTCTTCATGTAGTTCTCGAGCCTTGGTTTTCAGCTCCATCAGCTCCTTTAAGCACTTCTCTGTATTGGTTATTCTAGTTATACATTCTTCTAAATTTTTTTCAAAGTTTTCAACTTCTTTGCCTTTGGTTTGAATGTCCTCCCGTAGCTCGGAGTAATTTGATCGTCTGAAGCCTTCTTCTCTCAGCTCGTCAAAGTCATTCTCCGTCCAGCTTTGTTCCACTGCTGGTGAGGAACTGCGTTCCTTTGGAGGAGGAGAAGCGTTCTGCTTTTTAGAGTTTCCAGTTTTTCTGTTCTGTTTTTTCCCCATCTTTGTGGTTTTATCTACTTTTGGTCTTTGATGATGGTGATGTACAGATGGTTTTTTGGTGTGGATGTCCTTTCTGTTTGTTAGTTTTCCTTCTAACAGACAGGACCCTCAGCTGCAGGTCTGTTGGAGTACCCTGCCGTGTGAGGTGTCAGTCTGCCCCTGCTGGGGGGTGCCTCCCAGTTAGGCTGCTCAGGGATCAGGGGTCAGGGACCCACTTGAGGAGGCAGTCTGCCTGTTCTCAGATCTCCAGCTGCATACTGCGAGAACCACTGCTCTCTTCAAAGCTGTCAGACAGGGACATTTAAGTCTGCAGAGGTTACTGCTGTCTTTTTGTTTGTCTGTGCCCTGCCCCCAGAGGTGGAGCCTACAGAGGCAGGCAGGCCTCCTTTAGCTGTGGTGGGCTCCACCCAGTTCGAGCTTCCCAGCTGCTTTGTTTACCTAAGCAAGCCTGGGCAATGGCGGGCGCCCCTCCCCCAGCCTCGCTGCTGCCTTGCAGTTTGATGTCAGACTGCTGTGCTAGCAATCAGCGAGTCTCCATGGGCGTAGGACCCTCCGAGCCAGGTGCGGGATATAATCTCGTGGTGCGCTGTTTTTTAAGCCCGTCGGAAAAGCGCAGTATTCAGGTGGGAGTGACCCGATTTTCCAGGTGCCGTCCGTCACCCCTTTCTTTGACTAGGAAAGGGAACTCCCTGACCCCTTGCGCTTCCCGAGTGAGGCAATGCCTCACCCTGCTTCGGCTCGCGCACGGTGCACGCACCCACTGACCTGCGCCCACTGTCTGGCACTCCCTAGTGAGATGAATCCGGTACCTCAGATGGAAATGCAGAAATCACCCGTCTTCTGCGTCGCTCACGCTGGGAGCTGTAGACTGGAGCTGTTCCTATTCGGCCATCTTGGCTCCTCCCCGACTCCAAAATGTTAACTGAGGTATTGAGGGGTGAGGAATGAAGGGAGAGAGAAGGAGGGTGATAATTTTTCTTCTTTCTCTTCTGTATTCTCTATACTTTCTACAATGCATATGTACCTCATTTGTTTCAAGAAAGTAAGCACTAAGATTTATAGAAATATTATGGTAAAAGGAATTATTGGTAGAAAAAAATGACATGAAACTATGGATGACTTTAGTATACAAATGCATGCTATAGCATCCAGCACGCTAAGAGAGTTGGGTCCATAATCACAACTTGAGCCACCACTAAAGCAATCTGGGCCACTTTTTATCAACTCCTTTGACTTTGCTTGATGGCTTATACCAAAACTCTGTTCAGTTTTTGTATATCTAAGACTAGGAAGAGCCAAAATAAAATGGATGCAGAGCACAAGTCTGATCTGGTTTCTCCAAGAACAAAATTTAGGGTACATGCAGTAAAATAAACAGCAGAGCATGCTGGCAATGATCTATAAATACTATTTTTTAAAATTTCACTTTTGCTAAGTGAATGGTTGTGTTAGTCCATTTGTACTGCTATAACAAAATAACTGAGACTGGGTAATTTACAAAGAACTGATATTTATTTCCTCACAGTTCTGGAGGCTGGGAAGTCCAAGATGAAGGCACTGACTGGTTCACTTGTCTGGTGAGGGCTGCTCTCTGCTTCCAAAATGGCGCCTTGTCACTGTATCCTCTGGAAGGGAGAAATGCTGTGTCCTCTCATGATCCTCACATAGAAGGGCAAGCCAACCAAACATTGCCTCTTTTATAAGGGCTTTAATTCCATTCATGAGGAAGGAGCCCTCAGTGCATAATCACCTCTTTAGAGACCCCACCTCTTAATACCATCACATTGGCAACGCCTGGATTTTGGAGGGAACACATTCAAACCATAGCAGTGTAGCTATCCTCTTTGGCAAGCAGTCAGCATGCAGAGATTCCATGTTATCAATGTAGTTGGATTCAGATGCTTTGAAATAAGCAGAGACAGGGGTAACTTCAACTTTCTGTTGTGAAACTTGAATATTTGCTTGAAAAGAAACCTATTTGGATTCTGCACGGTGGTAGGCACACCCACCCAGTGGTCACCTATAGGCCGGGGTAACGCTTTTCTTAAAATCTCTTCTGGGTTGGCTTCCAATACATGGTCCATCAGGGAGAATATTGATGTTGTATCTTTTATTAAAGTCCAACTTTTCTCCTTTCCCTCCCTTGTCACCTCCTCAGCCTCATCATCCCTTCATTTCCTTTTTTCTCTCCCCACTTCTTTTCTGCCCTCTATCATTTTTCATCTTCCACAAGCCTTGATGCTTGCTCTCCTAGTCAGCATGTGGCGCCCTGAGCCTTTAAACATAGAAGGGAGATTTTAATTACATGAGAAGACAAAAGGATATCGTGCAAAGATTAACTGCCTGGGCAGTGCAGATTAAGTAAGGAAACAAGCACATTAATTACAAAGATGAGACTGTTTTCTTTCATTTTGTTTTAACAGCCTGATAAGGGCTCACTGGGAAGTGACCAGCATCTGATGCGACAGAAAACCACTGCTTTCTGCCCAGGGGAAATGATTTTTGAGATTCTCTGTTCCTTTTCTTTTGAAGCTTTACCTTACCCTGGTGAGTTTGTAGGAGAGGCCCGAGACTGACAATATTCTTGAGGTTGCCTGATGCTTCTTTTCTGGCATTTTCCACTGATGAGACACACTCACTCTTCAAGGAGCTTTTATACAACTCTAACTTGGAAAAGTCAGAAAAAGCTACTCCTTTTCCTTGATCCAGCTAGTAATACCCTTGAAGGAAGCAGCTGAATGTTCTATGCTCATTAATTGCCACCAATTGAGCTATACCCTGAGGAGACTAAAACCTTTCTATGTATCTTTTAGAGTTCTATAAGGATAAAGGGAATACCTCCTATGCTAAACTACATATTTTTTACATTTGTTACTCAGTCAAGCAGATGTTAAAATAAAGTGAAAGTAGCTCCACGCTGTGACTCTTAGTTATCATGCACTGGGATTTATAAATGAAAACAAAGATTCGTATTTAATTGCTTCAAAAAGATCAAATATGCCCATGTGGTTTGGTGACAGATATTTACTGCTGAGGTCATAGACATCAAGTCATAAGCATGAATTTTCCCTTCCATAAGTGAGCTGATGAAGAATCCTTCAGAACTGTTTCTATCTCGCCATACGGCTTTGGCTGTCTCTGTTTAGCCAAAGGAGTACATTTAAGAAAAAGTATCAACAAGGAACTACCAGGCCACATCTTTTGCATGCAGAGTTGTCTAGTTCATCAGTAGGTTTTCTGTTGCTTTTTCTGATGATCCTGAGAGAAACAGATCATAAATATATTTGAAGAAGAGCTTTATAAAAAGACAAGAGGTGGCTCATTCTAGGTAAGAAGAATTGTTAGTGGCCAGTGCACGTGCTTATGCCATCTAAAAACCAGAAGTTAACTACTTGATTAAAAAAAAAGGTTTATTGGAGTATAATTTGCATACCATAAAATTCACCCATCTGAATGGGCGAATCCTGCTTTAAAGGGTAAGATAAAACATTGAAAACCTTAAAAATTGTTCAGTTTGATGAAATGTGCCTTACCTAGATAAAATCTGTTTCATTTTAGTCATCAATTATAAGATTTGCTGGACCTATTTTCACATGATATACCTCTCCATGCTTCAGTTTTATTCTTCTGTAAAAGTGGGAGAGTATCTACCTAATAGGGCTAGTGTAAATGTAAAGTTGAGAGGATGTGTCTAAAGCATAGAGCTGGGTACATGATATAAATTCAGTAAATTACTCCCCCCACCCCCTAGATGTCAGTGTTCTGTTTGTTGCTTAGCCAGAAAAAAGTTAACTCATTTTGTAAAACTGATTTTCAAAGAAAGTGGTCGTGGAGATTTCAGGGAAAACCGTACACTTCTGAAACACTTTGGACAATTAGTATAGTCTTTTCCCTATACCTTTGTTGAGGAAGGAAGGGTGGGGGCAGTGAGCTGCAGTGTGTGTCTAGAAACCATTACCACTGCATAAGGACTGGGGTCATTCTTCTGCCCCATCTGGGAGGCCCCATACATGGGCCCAGAGGAGCTTGGCTCTGCCTTTGTAGAGTGATCTTGGGGCCTGTGACCAAATGGTCAGATAACCTCATGAGAGATCTAGAGTTCATCAAGCTGAGTTTTCAATTTCTGCAAAGGAGTATGGTCCTAGGAGATGAGAATTACATGAACAGAATCAAGTTCGAAGGTTTTCTGAGTTAGAGGGAAAGTGTATGCATTTATCTCATGAGCCAAAGATGTGCAAAATTAAATCAAGTGAGGTAAATTACCTCAGTGGGGGTGACAAAATCTAATCTGGCTTGAAAATTTGACTTATATCAGAAGAATAGGATGTGCCAGTCCATTTGAAAGTTTTGAAGTTGCTGTTAGAATAAATATGGCCTGGTTAGTCCCATCAGCATCACAGTAAAAAAATCAGTAATGTCCTGGCCAATCCCAAAAATTACATGGGAAGTGAATCTCCAAATTGTGTGGAGTGACATAAACTTCTTTAGTGGATTAGTAGCCTCTAACTCCAGGAGAATTTAGGATTGAGGATAGAAGTGTTTCAGATAATCGGAATAGTAATATTATCATATTTTTGTCTTAAAGCATTATTACATATTTAGAATTTAAAGTATTTTTAATGTTTAAAAAAATTTAATCTCTCTAGAGTGTTGGGTCAGCCTTTTAATTCCAATTTTAAACTATGTCATTGAGTAATTAATTTAGATTTGTGATATTAAATTGAAATCTTAATAAGTTTATAAGCTGATTTAGAATATTTAATGTGCTTAAGTATTCTGTTTATAAGCTTAATTTATTAGATTTGTAAGCATGACTTAAGTACTTGAAAGGTTTGCAAAACCAGACAATTGTAGTTTTCAAAAAGAGGAAGAAATTTAATCTATAAATTTATAAATTTAGTTTAAAATGCTTAAAAGCATTCATTTAAGTTTTACATGGAACCAACACTCTTCAAGGGCTTTTAAAAGGTTATTCCTAAGTTTTAGTACCTTATACATAGAACACAATTTTAAGCCTTTAAAAACTTAAATAATTAGATTTTTGAATTTGTAACTTTAATAAATCGAATGTTGATTTTCAAAACAGACACACACACACACACAGAATATTCTTCTCTATACACAGAAACCACTATTAAGGACATGCATACAAACATACATATACAATGTCTACATAAATAGGTGACTGGGCGAAGATAGGGTTGAGAGAAGGAGTGATTTTTCTTTTATTCCGTGCTGTGGGACAGTGAGGAGGTGGAGAGAAAGTCTTCCCCGTGCCCCACCCCACCCCAGCCCTGGAATAAATTAAAGATACCTGCAAATTTTTTGAAACTAGTTTCAGGAGGTGGGGTTTGTGTCTCTTCCCTTGGGTCTGGGCAGGTTCTGTGACTGTCTGACCAACATTTAGTAAGGCTGATTGTGCAGCTACTCAGGGCCCAGAAATGCCACTGCTGGATGTACATCCCAGGGGAACTCACTTATGTGTGTACAAGGAGACACGCTGGAGAATGCTCAGTTACAGAACCAACCGACAGTGCCATCCACAGCAGAATGGAGAAATAATTCCTGGTATATGTTTGCACTGGAATGCTCTGCATAGTGGAAAAGGAATGACCTGGAGTTACATATATCAACATGGACACCCCTCACAGACACAAAATTAAGAGAAAATAGTAAAATGTAGAATAATGTGTGTCAACCTTTTTTTCATTATCACCTCCCAAAGAGCCTTTCTAGACTTTTTCCTAATCCTCCCCATGAAATTTTAATAGCTAAGATATATTGCATACCTGTTTATGTACTCTATGTATATCTGTGCTTTATACATTGGAAGAGTAAGATCCCCCCAACAAGAACCAATTTTCACCCCCTTGGGGGCAATATTGTCTTGGCTGAGTTTGCATGATGTAGAAAAATACACAAACTATGATACTATTTATGTAGCATTTAGAGACATGCAAAGCAATAACATTTTGCTTATAGATACATATATGGTAAAGACATAAAGAAATGCATGGGAATGCTGACTACCAATTTCAGTAGAGTGGTGACTCTATGGGGGCAGAGGAGAGAGACAAATGAAATTGGAGAAGGGCGCACTGGGGACTTCAGGTGTGTTGATGGGTACATGGGTATTATTTATGCTTCAGGTAGAGATTCCAGAGGGTGGGGCTGCAGACCTCCTGTTTCATACATACTGCTTCTTACTAGCTTTCCTCTGAAAATTTCCTCTGAGCTCACAAGAAAGAAAATTTCCTTTCAAGAAAAAAGAAATTGAGTGGACTTTAGTCACAACATAATGTGATAAATACAATCAATAGTCACCGGTGTATTTTTAGAAATTTGACTGGATATGGCATAATATTAACTAACATGAGGTAGTTTATCACAAATGGAAACTGACCTTTCTCCCAAAATAAATCAGCAGATGTATGTGGACTGTTGCAATCACTGGTGCGTTTGGGGAGGGCCAGGAATCAGCTGGCATATATAATCTTATTAGAAACTTGTATAAGATAGCAATTTACCTCATAATAAAGCAAATCCCACAGGTTTGGAGCGTGTACTACAGAGCCTGTAATTTCTTAATAAGGTGAATGGAGTAGCTTTCATAAAATATGCATTTGTATGTTTTATTTTTCCTTTACCACATGAGACTAAAAATACACATGCAACATTACCCTTGGAATGAACACTTTACAGATTCATAGTTCAGGATTTTTGCATGTAGTGGTGATTTAAAATGAACTCATTTGAAATATACTGGTTGCCTCCATGACCCTCATGGCTATATCATTATTTAATCTGAGGATGAGCTCCATGTAATTCATAAAAACATAAAAGTTTTGGCTCATTTTGCTATATTAGGTATTTTAGGCTATGACTCACCAAAATACTTTTTACATATTCTGTATAAGTATACTTATACATTTTATTGTATATAATAGAAATATATAAACACCCATTTCTGTGGCATTTATCTTCATAATAAGACCAAGCAGAAACAGTTTTGGTTTGTGCATATCAAATATATCAGATTTTACATATTTTATTCTATTGTGCAATAAAGAAATGCATCATAACACGGCAATATAATTTTATTTGTAAGTTACAGACTTCACTGTGTAACCACATATGAGTCTCCCTTTCCCATAACAATTTTTAGGAAAGAGACTGAGTTTGACTACATGTAGCTGTCATAACTTATTTGCAGATGAATCTTTAATCATAGCTCTGTAATTCTGCAAAGGATAAGAAAGAGAGCTAGGGCAGTTTATAAGGGAAACGTGTAACAGGTTATGTCCCAAGACTAGGTGTGCCTTTCTTGATGCCAGAGATTGAGGTGAGGTTTGCAGTCACTCTTCTTTGCAAGTTTCTGGGTGATGGAGAACACAAGCAAAGTACCACAAGGCAAATTGTGTCATCATTACTCATGGCAGGACAAAATTCTGTTAATGTACAATGTGGAGTTCTCTGGAATGGAGAATACATATTAGAAGCCCAATGTGGAGCCTCATGCTTCCATCTTGAACCCAGGCCCTTGTATTTCCCTATTGAAAGGGTAGGGTCTACAGGGCAGTCTTTATGTCCACGAACCCAGACTACTTCAGAGCATGCAGGCCTGCCCCATTCACAGAGTGGCTGGTTGAGAAGGAAGGAATGGAGGGTTGCTTCTTCGCAGAGAAGTCCTGTCTAGGAGGGCCCATCCCATGGGTGAGAGATATAAAGATGGAGATCTCTTTTCTGAAATGCCATCTGAGCTCATAAAGGACAAAGACAGAAAGTACTTGACTGGATTCTGGCCTTTGGGATAACATAATACCCTATTGATTAAGAAAAATATCACTCTATGAATGTCCTAGACTTTAATTGGGGTTTTCATGCCTTTTGTTAGAAGTAGTCTTTGGGGAGAGGGAGAGATTGAAGATATTCTCACTAACTCTTGGCCATTAGGCAAAAAGGCTGGAAGTCGCTTCTTGTACATTAGCACAAAGCGAGGCGGTTTTGCCGGGGGTGGGGTGTGGGGGTGTGGGGGGGGGTGGGTACTGATGCCGAGGAATGACATAAACCTTTTTCTTCCATCCCACCTTGGATTTGGTAGCCCCAATCAGAAGGGCATCCACTGATTTGGGGTCTCTGAAATATGTCATTCATTAAATATAGTGGCAAAGTTTAGAAGTTAACATTTATCGAGTGTCTACTCAATTCCAGTAATTCTATATAAGTATCTAATTTCATCATTATAATTTAATGCTTACATGAATGAAGTGCAGTTATATCTCACACTGAGGTTTGGGTCTAAAGTTAGCTAGGAAGACTGGTAAAAATTCTCCTTGAAAATCACTTAGGAAAAGTGCCACACTAGGGGAGGTTTCCTTTCTCTTACTAAGCACAGCATAGCCATATTTCTCTTCAGCCCTGAACCTGAATTCTAATTTTTGCTTTTCCGTTGAACATGGGATAAAAGAATTGTCTGTTTAGGGGCTGTATTGTATATAAAAATATGTATCTTTAAAAACTAGGTTTATATTTAGCCAGTGAGATGCTTACACTATAAGAAGCAGTAAAAATAAGGGCCAAATGAGGATGCAGCCATACATTGATCTCTCTTATCTCATACTCACACCTGGACATGCACTTACTGAGTGAAAAGGGGGCAAAATGCTATTTCCTTCTTTCTCATTTTTTTTTGGCCAAATTCATATAATTGAATTTGTTTAATTGTGCCTAAGATATGACTGTATTATAACAGTATTATTTAGGGTAAGCTACGTCATGCTGCAGTAACAAATGAATCCTGAAGTCTCAGCGACTTAACCCAACAAAGGCATGTTTCCCATTCACAGAAAGTCTGATAAGAACTGGTGACTTCTCAAGGCAGCCATCCTCCATGTGGAGACCAAGTAACCAAGACTGTTTCGATCCTGTGCCACTGCCAGCTTGTCTTGTCGCCTCTATGATCAATTCTCCAGAGACAAAGAGAACCAAAAGGTCACACATTCGTTCTCAAATGCTTTGGCTCAGAAGTGACATACATTACATGCTTATGGTCCGTTGGACAGAAATAGGTACATAGTCTCTCCAACTTTAAAGGACTAAGAAAAATCAGAGAACACATGGATATTCAGAGGGCAGTAAACGTCTCGACCACAAATAGCTCATTTATTTAATAAGGACTAACTGTGCATATCACTGTTCCAAGCACTTTATAGGCATTATTTCATTTAACCAATGAGATAAGTAGTATTTTTATCTTCATTTTAAGGTGTAAAAGTGAGGGTTGGAGTAGCTAATTAGTCCAAAATCACCCAGTGAAAAAATGGCAGAGCCAGAATGTGATCCTACTACCTTCATCTACTGCCAAAACCACTAATCCAGGTGTTTGTTATTGAGTCACACTTTAGCCCTCTCACAAAACTTTATACCTGTTGGTGGGGTATAACATGTAATAAGAATAGTGATTCATCTTAAGCCATAGGATATGATTTGGTGTATGATTTAGGCAAGCTATCTGGTCCTGAGAGAGTTTTTTTCAGGTCTTTGTTTTGCATGTATATAAACATCTATTCTGTCTCTCTTTTAAAAAAGGCATTCTCATCTGTTATTTCCTATTTCCCTCCCGAAATGTCTTAATTGTTCCTCTCACTCTTAACTCACAACTTTTTACTTATCTAGGCATGAAAAATCTGTCCATGTTTTTTAGAAAGCTGATGGATATCCTCAGGTGGAGGCCATATTCACTCAGAAAAGGACACAGGAAATGTAAGCCCGGGGGAAGGAGAGATAGGGAGTGAGTAACAATGGTGGTTGTATCACATTTTTCGATGGAAACCAGGACTTATCCTACATATGGAAATAGCTAAATTATGAATTAGATTGTAGGGCGCCCTATAGGAAGGGAAAGTTTGCTGAGTAGAAGGGTTTGATATTGAAAGCCCAATGAAGATCATGCCCAGAGCAGCCCCTTTTTCCTAAATTGGATATTCCAGGAGTAGGTTTAATGACAAAGGGGAGTGTGGTCTGATGCTGTAAGGGAGTGGGAACATTTATTTCATTTATTTCAAATGGTAAGATGTTGTTCAAGACTTTGGGGTCCCAGAGAATGTAGATTCAGGGCCCTGGTGGGAAGAAAGTGGTCAGATATTGGAAGCAACAGCCAGAAGGATACTCTGCTGCATCATATTTGGATTGTGGAATAGAACTCAGAGAATTCTCTATGAACACGCCCCCTCCCCGCTCCATGCTAGGAAATAATAGATTTCTTTGGGGTGTGAGCTGTCTTTCTCTACTAAGAGTTTCTTGGTAGCCTAATCACCTGGGACCTAGCTGGGGTACATAGGGCCATAAGCTCAGGGTAAGGCACATATAATACTCTGGGCAGTGTAGCTGTTACATTAAATGTTACATTAAATAACCCCCCAAATCTTAGTGGCTTAACATAATAAAATGTTGATGGGAATGCACTCAATAAATGAGGGAACCGAGCTTCTACCTTTTAGTGGCTCCACTGTTCCCTAGGGTCTCAGAGTCCTCTGCCATATCCTCTGCATCCAGCTGGAACGTGAAGGAAAAAAGAGAAAGAGTGTGGAGGATTCCTGTAGGATATTTCTATGGGCCAGGGCTAAAAGTGGTACACCTCCATTCGACACAATCTATGGACCAGAACTAGAGCATTTGGCCACACCTGACTGCAAGAGAAAGCAGGGAAATGTCGTCTAGCTCTGTGTCCAAGAAGAAGAGGGGATGGGTTTGGTGAACACCTTGCCAATCTCTGCCACAACGAAATATGAGTAGAAAGCTAACATCTTCATAGAGGGCTGAGTTTATGCCCTTGGTGAGGAGCTAGGAATCAAGACTATTCAGCAGGGGCTGGGATAGCCATAATACTGAAGGCCAACCTCAAGTAGGGCATGGCTTAAGGCAGGGCACAGGAAACCCTTGAAATGCATGGACCACAATTCCCTTGTGTTTCACCAGCAGCTTTCTGAAAAGAAATGGCAAAAGAGGGGCTCCTAGAGTATGAAGAGGTAGACAGGTGAATTGTTCTGGAGCTTCTTGGATGTTCCTGATGACATCAGCAGTGACTGCAGAAAAGATTAAGGGAGAATCTTCAGCAGTACAAGAGTTTCTGGACCCTGGAAGATTCCTTGACAATGTACTACAAATAGGAACCTCAAGACATTGAAATAATTTGTATGCCTGGGATAATAATAATGGCTAACATTTATTTAGTGCTTACTGTGCATCAGAAACTGTGCTAAATGCTTTACCTGGTTGTATTAGGGTTTTCTAGAGGGACAGAACTAATAGGATAGATGTATATATGAAAGGGAGTTTATTAAGGGGAGTTGGCTTACATAATCACAAGGTGAAGTACCATGGTAGGCTGTCTGCAAGTTGAGGAGCACGGAAGCCGTAGTGGATCAGTCCAAGTCCCAAAATCTTAAAAGTAGGGAAGCTGACAGTGCAGCTTTCAGTCTGTGGCTGAAGGCCCGAGAGCCCCTGGCAAATCACTGGTGTAAGTCCAGTGATGTTTGAGGGAGGGAAGCATCCAGCATGGGACAAAGATGAAGGCCAGAAGACTCACCAAGTCAGCTTCTTCCACCTTCTTCTGACTTTTTCTAGCCATGTTGGCAGCCAGTTGGATGGTGTCCACCCACATTGTGGGTGGGGCTTCCTGAGAGTGGGTCTTCCTTTCCCAGTCCACTGACACAAATGTTAATCTCTCTGGCAACACCCAGAAACACTTAGATACACCCAGAAACAATACTTTGCATCCTTCAATCCAATCAAGTTGACACTTAATAGAAAACATCACACTGCTCCACATTGTCTAATCTTCACAACTGTTGGGAGACAATTCTCCACAGTTCTTTTGCATTTCTGCATGTCTTACAGGCAGAGGCACTGGCTTTCTTTGTTTCAGACTATCTTTCCAAGAAGATTTCTGTCGAAAATAGCTTATAGCTTTAAAAGATAGATATAGTAGTTCCTTCTGAAGAAGAGGGTATATTTGTTTGCTGGCCAGGATAATAAAGAGAATGTTTCCATTTCGAAAAAATGTTGGACAGATTTACTTGCAGGACCTTTAAAGAATTGTGGTTTTCTCAATTTGGAGTTCCTCATCTGTGGCAAAAACTCACTGTACAGGTAACATCTACTTTGACCCACTTCTGCATTGCACCCTGAGGAATTAACGGGACAAGTTTCATGCGAAAATGAAGCTCATGCTATATTCTGTATCTTGAGTAATGAAGTCTTCACGTGATTCAGGAGTCACATGTCTTCTGTCTGCCTCTATGAAACAGTGGCAAGTTAGCCGTTTAACTTGAAAGTAGGATCAAATGTCAGACCATTCACAGTTCTTGCAACAACAACTCCATGATGTTGATAATAATTATTATGCCTGTTTTACAGATGGAGGTTTTTTTTTTACACCATTTGATGTTTTTAAAGGTGAAGGGACTTGTCAAAGTCTACCGTTATTAAATGATAGAGACAAGATTTGAATTTAAGCAAGGGTTTCAGGGATGAGGATTTATGGCTAGAACTTTTAGTTATATGAATGAGGTATTCTTCAAGTTGAGAAGACACAGATGATACAAAGTTTGATGAATGATAATTGAGGATTTATTTTATGCATGAGTCTAACTAGAATAAATAGGTGACATATTTATCCTTCACATAGCCTCAGAAAAGAAAGAAATTCTTCCCTGCTGAGATTTTAGGAATGGATTTTTACATGTTTTCATATCATTAAGTAAATGTACAGTAAGACAAATGACCATGACAAAGTGAGCAGTTTCTTAATTCAAAACTTGTTTTCTTTGACAACAATGCAAGTATACCCATGGAGGAGGTTTGGGCTTGTCCTCAGAGCTCAGCAAAACACTTGGATTTAAAAGATACAAATATTTAGGTAGTGTGACCAATGAAACATCTTGGCAGCATGAGGGCACCCACTGGTGGGCAGGCCAACATTGTTTCCTGGATATATTGAAGATGAAGGTGTGCTATTAAAAATAAAAGAATGTAAGTGTTCTGGGCAAGGACTTCTCTCCTAGTGTGCCTTAAAGCTGTTGGGAGTTTTCTTCTGCACAGATGTGATCAGTATACCTTGAAATTTCTTTCTTCTGTAGATTTTCTGAAATTTTTCATGTTTAGTTTTAAAGAGTCTAAGAATACCGAGGAAGTCGAGTCCTCTCTGCATTCACTGTATGTAACTTTCCTCCCTTTTACTCACTTGGGAAGAGCTCAGGTTTATATGTGTGTCACCGTGACTTTGAGAGCTATCTGGAACGTAATATTTGCAAGTATTTCAGTAAGACACTCAATACTGTCTTTTGAGATTATCTCCCTCCTAACCTCCTTCAGTTTCCTGGAATTTAGATCTAATAGCTGGAGCTCTAGCTGCCATCTAAGACCATGAGACAATCTTTATAGAAGAAGCCTGAGCTAAAGCACTTTCATCAAGGGTAGGTTTGGTAGCTTGGTGAAAGAGTGTATTGACATAAATTTTATAGGAATTGAAGTTTTACTGTACTAAGTATATAAGATATATTGTCACCAAATGTTATAAAATTAGGTGATGTTTGTGACATGCCTTCTCAAGTCTCCTCAGTTTCTCATGAGAGATAAGCTTGGATTGTTAGCAAAAAATTTTTGCCAAGTCTCTTATACTCTCCAATGATGTCACTCTAAGACTCTAAACAGTTTTTTGAGATTATATGTGACTCACCTACATTTTCTTTCTATGCTATGAATATCATCTTGATATACTGTTCACAGGTTACATAATAATAAATAGGTTTCAGACATGTTGTAATCGTGGAAAGGATAATAGCCTGGAGGCCCCCACAAGGTCCAGAGACTAAGCAGAACAGACGGTGCTAAGCTCTGCCATACTTGTTAAGGATGGTGAAGCAGAATGATAAAAGTGCAGAATTCTCATGACTCTGCTGAGCCATCACACCAGTCCTGGACTGCTCAACTTAGGTTTTCTTTAGTGCGTGTATATCTTATTCAAGGTAGGCTAACTGCTACAACAACCCTATTTGAGTGGTTTAACCCAATGGAAGTTTATTTTCACTCATGCAAATGTCCAAATTAGGTGTTTGGGTTGAATGACTCTGCTGACAGATTCTTTGAAAGTGGCAACACAGGCGTCTGATTTTCTATTTTAAGACTCCATTATCCTCTGAGTCTTAGAGTCCACTCCATTCAGATGAAAGTGGAGTATCCCTCTGGGAGGATTTTATCTCCCAGTCCGGAAGACAGCACACATCATTTTCACTCATAGCTCATTGGCGAACCTTGGTCACATGATGTGTCCAGCTGTAAAGAAGTCTGGGAAGGGTAGTTTATTTTAATTTTTGTGGGTACACAGGTATATATATTTATGGAATACATGAGATGTTTTGATACGGCATGTAATACATAATAATCACATCATGGCAAATGGAGTATCCATCCCCTCAAGCATCTATCCTTTGTGTTACAAACAATCCAATTACATTAAGTTATTTTACAATGTAGAATTAAATTATTATTGACTATAGTTACTCTGTTGTGCTATCAAATACTAGGTCTTATTCATTCTATCTTTTTTGTACCATTAACCATCCCCACCTCTCCCCTCACCCTCCCACTATCTCTGGGAAGGGTAGTTTAACTGTGTGCCCAGGAGGAAAAGGAAGATGGTTTGAAAACAACAAGCCAGTTTTTGCCATGGTAGAGAAATGATATTTTAGTTTTTTTAAAAGCTATTGTTATTTCTAGCCTCTGTTCCCAGAAGCTGAACACAATTCCTAACCTATGAAGTTGTATGAATTTTAGCATCAAACATGTACATCTTATGTACCAATATAATAAAATTGCCAAGAAATATACAGATAAATGATATAAAAAGTGTAAAATAATTTATATAAAATTCAACACATATATGTTTATATACATACACAAGTCTGCACATAGAAAGACAACATTCCAAGAAGATACATATCAAATTTTTAAATGTAGTTACTTCCAGGAAGGGAAGTAGTTTGAGATGAAATGGGACTTTTATTTTTTAAACTATATGCTTCTATACTGTTTGATTTTTTGACAAAATGAATGTATTTGTGTCTATAATAAATTTGAAATAAAAAGAACTTACATAGAATCTTGGTTAATATCTCTCTTAAATAACCTGTATAATTCTGAACTCCAAAACTGATGAAATTTTAGGATTTGGAGAGTTCACACGCAGCCCAGAAAATGCCTAGATTGTAGGAGAATAAGAATAACAGTGAACTTAAGTGGTTCAGAGAAGATAAAAGAAAGTAAGAGAATAGACATTAGGTAAATGAAAGTTTCTCTGTTTCTAGTAAAGACAATCAAAGGGAAATGTGGCTTAAAGTGCAAGATTAAGGATTTAATTTAGACATAAGGAAGACCTTCTTTCATGGTCCTGCTTGTTAGAAATTGGATTGAGTTGTAATGGGAGGATGTGAAATCTCATTTCCCAAGAGTTGCTATGAGGAAAAAAAGGGCTTTTATCGTTACATTCCTCCAACTGGACTGAATTTCATCACTTTTGACTCCTTGGGCATGGTTATTCTAGGTGAAATATGCTTTAAGGCTGTTCATGATTCTTATTTATCTTGTGTTTTTTGTCTTTGCTTGCACCGTTGCTAGAGAACTCGGATGGTGTATATTTAGAAAGAGAAAGAGCGAAGACAGGTTGGCTGATTGTTTATACTTCATAGGAGGATATATGGAGCTGAGGCAGCACAAGGCTCTCATCCTATTAAGCAGGGTTAAGATACGGATTTTCACCATTGATTATACTTTGTTCTGCATTCTTTTATGTTCACCTTTTTTCTTCTTAGCTTCTTTCTTAGGAGAAACCTTTTGCTTATTAAGGGTGGTGTAAATAGATGTTTAATTATCATCTCCTTATTGTACTGCATATAAGGCTGAGACAGTATTCTCTCACTTGATAAATGTGTTACATTTACTTGCAAATTAAGGATATTTATATTGCAGACGGGTGTGTCATGAGGGAATAAAATCTATGCTTAATATCATAATGTCTAACAGGATATTTATGTTGAGCCTTCCTTTTAAAAATATTTCTCAATTTTTAGATTTAGTATTCACAATTTTATAGCACTGAAGGGCAAAAGTAGAATAGGAGAAATGAGAAAACTGATCTTAACTCATTTGCTGGCTCCTGCTCAATCTTTTTTCTTCCTCAAACAGCTGGAGACCCATCTCCTTCCACCTATATGGGGATAAAGTGTCTGTGTAGGGGAGAATTAGATTAAGTACTAAAATGGCAACGGACATTTCAGCTTTTAAATAACACCTTGGTTCATGCCAGGGAATCTTACATTTTGACAACATTTAGGAGAAAAATTTGGAATTCAATAATTTTCATTTTATAAGCTCTCCATATTCATTTTTACCTCTGATCTGCTTAAGCAGTGTATTCCTCCAACAATTTATTGCCTTTTAAGGCCATGAATTCAGAGGGCTGACAGTAAATCTGGACAAGCTCTAATATGCCTTGTGCCAACTGTAATTTAGCTGGTCCTTTGAGAGCTCAAGTTTTTTATTACCATAAATATTCTTCTGCTTCCAGGCGTCTCCCTACTGACAACGTTGCCCAATTTTGAATCCTGACATCTTCATTTCAAAAGCCTGAAAATGAAACTGCAAAGGTCAGGTTTCATTGTAATTGCAGGCTATGGTGAAAAAAGACCACGTTCCTTAGGAATGAGCTGCCACCCACCGATTGCTTTGGAGAGCACAGGGCTTGGGGAAAATGTCACTGTGCAACTCAAGTGAATGATTGTACCTGGCACTTGGATCATCAGGAAATATTTGGTCGTATTTCACAGTGTCTGACTTTGTCACCACATGAAGAGGGAAAGACTTTAAAGAGGACTCTGATTTAGCATACGTGAACACAGCATACTTCCAACTTCTGGAATGTCCTTTTCTCCTTTATATAATGAATGGCTCTCAACCTTCAGATCTTATCTCAGTCAACACAACTTTACCTGACTGACCTCTTAGTGCCTTGTATTTACCTGCAAAACAGGGATAATGATGGTTTCTATCTCAGTCATTGGAAAGATGAAATGAGTTAGTGCATGCCACATACTTAAAAGAGTGCCTGACACAAAGTAAATTTCCACCGTAGTTAGCTATTATTATGACCTATCACCATAATAGCTAAGGCTGTCTGAGCAAGGCACTTTGTGTGATTCACTTGTATTTTCTTGTTTAATCCTCACAGCAGCCCTATGAGGTTAGCACCACTGTCATCTCTCTTCTACAGTGGAAGAAACTGAAGTTAGAATGGTAACTTGTTCAAGGTCACAGAGCAAGCAACGATGCATTCAGAATTTTCACCCAAGCATTCAGGCTCCAGAGCCCATGCTCATGAGGAAAGCCATGGAGACAAAGCTATGTTGCAAATGCTGTTGCTGCCCTGCCCTTAACCCATCACTCTTATCTCTTCAGGGCACATGGGCCCAATTTCCAACTCTTAGCATTTGCATTTTGTTGCTTGATGGCTCTCTGTGCTCCCATCCTACTTTACCACTCATGTGGAAGACAGAAGGTGCCAGGGAATCAACAACCCCCACAGCAGCCCTCAACTCCTGATTGCTGTGGTTTCGTGGATAAATATTCTCTTGTCCCAAGGTGGGATAAGTCTGAGGCATGTCCTACCCTGGCTTCTGGCTCTACGTTGGCAGCTGACTCTTCATCCTTTATTAGCTTTCTCCTGCTCCCTGACTCATCTCATGTTTCCATGCTCCTGTTGTTTCCTCCACCTCCCAGATAACTAACACTCAAACGTCATTTTGAAATCTTCTTCTGGGGGAATCAAACTAAGTCTCAAGACTAAGATTCCATGATCCTAAAGATGCTGGAAGTGGAGTGGAGCAAGGGCGTGGCTGGAGTCAGACAGAAGAAAGAGGGCATATCACCAAGTTGTGTGCCTGTGAATACCTCAACTTTGACTCTAGTGATATTTGGGGCTGTATGATTCTCTGTTGTAGGGGGCTGTCCTTTACATTGTAGGAAGCTGAGTAGCATCTGTAGCATCTCCTCACTAGATGCCCGTAGTAACCCCTTCACCACCGGTTGTGACAGCCCAAAATGTCTCCAGATACTGCAAAATGTCCCAGGGGAGAGAATTGGAGGATTTAAGTGCCTCACGTGGGAAGTGGCTGTAGAGAACTCAGAGGTGGGCCAAGTTTACATGGGATGGGACATCAGCAGCCATTGCTACAATCTAATGCTTAGTTTGGTGCCTGGTACAAAGTTGTGGCTCAAGATATATTTCTTGCACCAAAGCAAACAAAATCAAACTGCACTAAGTTTAGGGGGTTAATCTGAAAAAATTAATCACTTTTATGGGCATTATTTTGTTAGAAAATGTGTTCTAAATTTCAAAAACCTTACAAATAAACTCTTGGAACACAACCTATACAAAAACTAGAAACTACTTGTGCACATTTTACAAAACAAACTTTTTCTTTTTTTTTTCTTTTCTTTTTTTTTGAGACAGAGTCTCACTCTGTTGCCCAGGCTGGAGTGTGGTGGTGTGATCTCGGCTCACTGCAACTTCTGCCTCCTGGGTTGAAGTGATTCTCCTGCCTCAGTCTCCCGAGTAGCTGGGAATACAGGCGCATGCCACCACGCCTGGTTAATTTTTTGTTTTTTTAGTAGAGATGGGTTTCACTGTGTTAGCCAGGATGGTCTCGATCTCCTGACCTCGTAATCTGCCCGCCTTGGCCTCCCAAAGTGCTGAGATTACAGGCGTGAGCCACCGCACTGGCCTTTTTTGAACTTTTATTTTAGATTCATAGGGTAAGTGTGCAGATTTGTTACATGGGGGTATTGTGTGATGCTGGGGTTTGGGGCACGATTGAACCCATCCCCGAGGTAGTTAGTATAGCACTCAGTAGGTGGTTTTTCAACCCTTGCCCCCATCCCTACCTCCGCTTCCTGTAGTCCCCAGTGTCCATTGTTATATATTTATGGCCATGTGTACCCAATGTTTATCTCCCACTTATAAGTGAGAGCATGCAATATTTGATTTCTCATTTCTGCCTTAATTTGTTTAGGATAATGACCTGCAGCTGCATCCATGTTGCTGGACAGGACACAATTTTGTTTTTTTTTTTAATGCCTATGTAGTATTCCATGGTGTATATGTACCACATTTTCTTTATCCAATCCACTGTTGATGAGCACCTAGGTTGACTCTATGTCTTTGCTTTTGTGAATAATGCTGCTATAAACATATGGGTGCATATGTCTTTTTGGTAAAATGATTTACTTTCCTTTAGGTATGTACCCAGTAATGGGATTGTTGGGTCAAATGGTAGTTCTATTTTTAGTCCTTTGAGAAATCTCCAAACTGCTTCCCACAGTGGCTGAACTAATTTACATTCCCACCAACAGTGTATAAGCATTCCCTTTTCTCTATAGCCCTGTGAACATCTGTTATTTTTTGTCTTTTTAGTAGCCATTCCGACTGGTGTGAAATGGTATCTCATTGTGGTTTTGACTTGCATTTTTTCATGTTTGTTGTATGTCTTCTTTTGAGAACTGTCTGTTCATGTCTGTTGTCCACTTTTTAATGGGGGCTATTTGTTTGTTTGCTTGATTTGTTTACATTCCTTATAGATTCTAGATATTAGACCTTTGTCAGATGTATAGTTTGAGAAAATTTTCTCTCATTCTGTAGGTTGTCTGTCTACTCTGTTGATAATTTCTTTTGCTGTGCAGAAGCTCTTTAGTTTAATTTGGTTCCACTTGTCAATTTTTTTTTTGTTGGAATTGTTTTTGAGGGCTTAGCCATAAATTTTTTGCTAAGGCCAATGTTGAGAAGGGTATTTCCTGGGTTTTCTTCTAGGATTTTTAGTTTGAGGTCTTACGTTTAAGTTTTTAATCCATCTTGGGTTGATTTTTGTGTATGGTGTAGAGAAAGAGTCCAGTTTCATTGTTCTGCATATGGCTAGTCAGTTATCACAGCATCATTTATTGGACAGGAAGTCCTTTCCCTATTGTTTATTTTTGTTGGCTTTGCCAAAGATCAGATACTAGTAGGTGTGAGTCTTTATTTCCAGGTTCTCTGTTCTGTTCCATTGTTTTGTGTGTCTGTTTTTGTACCAATACCATGCTGTTTTGGTTATTATAGCCTTGTATAATTTGAACTCAGGTACAGTGATGTCTCGGGCTTTGTTCTTTTTGCATACAATTACTTTGGCTATTTGGGTTCTTTTTGGTTCCATATGAATTTTAGAATAGTTTTTTCTAATACTGTGAAAAATGACATTGGTAGTTTAATATGAATAGCATTGAATCTGTAGATTGCTTTGGGTCATTTAAATGATATTGATTCTTCCAATCCATGAGCATAGAATATTTTTACATTTGTGTCATCTATGATTTCTTTTAGCAGTGTTTTGTATTTTCCCTTGTAAAGATGGTTTACTTCGTTGGTTAGATGTATTCCTAGGTATTTTTTTGTGTGGCTGTTATAAATGGGATTGCATTCTTGATTTGGCTCTCAGCTTGAATGTTATTGGTGTATAGAGCTGCTACTGATTTTTATATATTGATCTTGTATCCCGAAACTTTACTGAAGTCATTTCTCAGGTCTAGGAGCCTTTTGGCAGAGTCTCTAGGGTTTTCTAGGTATAGAATAATATCGTCAGTGAAAAGAGATAATTTAACTTCTTATTTTCCTATTTGGGTGCCTTTTATTTCTGTCTATTGCCTGATTGCTCTGGCTAGGACTTCTAGTACTATGTTGAATAGGAGTGGTGAGAGTGGACATCCTTGTCTTGTTCCTATTCTCAACAGGAATGCTTCCAGCTTTTGCCTGTTCAGTATGATGTTGGTTGTAGGTTTGTCATAGATGGTTCTTATTAAAAATATATATTTTTTCTTTATCCTTTGGACTTAAAGACTTCACTTCATAAATAGTACATGGTTATGAATTCAGTGGATGTAGTGATTACTTTAAGTTCTGGGATATATGTGCAGAACATGCGGATGTAGTGATTTTTATGGGAACTCATGGGAGCATGAATTTTGGTGTTTTCAGAATACCATTTCATTTTCTTTGACTTAGGCAATTAACGAGAGGACCTTAGCTGCAGATCATAGTTTCACTTAAGTTTCTCATGACTAGAAATTAGAAAGTAGTTTCCAAGGTAACTGAAAACCAAGGTGTTTGCCCTCCAATGTATCAGGAGTTTAAAATGGGATTCTATCTGTTTTAGTTTTAGCTTATGTCTCAAAGGCTGGTAACAAAAAATAAAAAGCATCAAGTACACTCACATTCTAATGTTTCAACATGGGGTGCAGATTAGCATGCACATCCCCCACCAACACACATAGAGTTTTGGACTCTTTGTTCAACATCAACTCAAATATATAAGAGGATTAATGCTTGAGAAGTGGTTGTGGGGCAGGGAAGTTATTTGGACTCTGCAGTTGTGTGACATTTCCTCTTTATCATATGGTGAAGGGGAAGGCAGACGCTTCACCCTCACCTCAGTCAGCGATGGGGCATCATGGGCACCTCTTAGAGTGTTCCTCCTGTCCTCTGGAATCAGACCATGTAGAGAATGAAGCCAGACCTATGATGAAAGAAAGAATATAGTCAAGGGGATAACTGAAGTAGCCTGTAGGAGTATCCTAGGGCTGCTGTAACAAGTGCCACAAACAGGGTGGCTTAAAACAATAGACATTTATTCTTTTACAGTCCTGGAAGCTAGAAGTCAGAAATCAAGTTGTCAGCAGGGCCATCTTCCATCTGAAGATTCTAGGGAAGACTCCATCCTTACCTTTTCCAGCTTCTGGTGGCCCCAGGTATTCCTTGGCTTGTAGCAGCAACATTCCAAACTCTGCCTCTGTCTTCTCCCTGTTTGTCTCTTGCCTCATATTGTCTTATAAGAACACCAATCATAGTGAATTAATCCCTCCTCCCACTCCAGTATGACCTCATCTTAACTAATTACATCTGTAATGACTCTATTTTCAAATAAGGTCATGGTCTGAAGTACTGGGGGTTAGGACTTCAACATATCTTTTTGAGGGACACAGCTTGACCCATAAGATGGCCCTTGGCAGCAGAGGAACAGGGATCCATTTGAGCAAATTGTATCTCTACCAAAGGGGAGAAAATTAAGTGTTTCTTGGGAACCAGATCTTTGTCAGCCTGGAGCTGCCTTTAAAAGCTCTGCCCAAACGTGGACTTTTGGAAGCACAGGGGCTGGGGTTCAGCACTGTAAGCCATCAACCAGAAGACATATATTACCCAGGTCAGGAGCAATGAAATACAGATTCCTTATGAGGGAATTTTCAAGGACTCCCTCAAAGAACCCCATGAAAGAAAAAGTTTTTTCCCCATCTCTTACCTCTCTTCTTTCCTGCTCTTGCTTCTCCATTCTCCAATCCTTGGGTGATCAAAGTCCACAGTTGGTGAGGTGCATAGAGAACTGACAGAGAAAAGAGAGAAGCCAACCATACCTCATACTCCACTACAGGCAGCCACACTGGGGGTGGGGTGAGGGCAATAATAAAATGCTCTGAAATATGAGGGTACAAAGTAATAGGTGTTTGACTCATGCTGAGAGGATTAAAAATAAGTGGCTTGAGCTGCTTATGGGGGAGGTGGGAGCTATGCCATCTGTGGGAACAGTGGGCCATTCTATATGATGTGATAAGAATGCATGACATTCTTGGTATCCAAGTGGAGAACTGGGCTGGCATTTCCCGTAAGGAATGGCCAAGAGGGGAGCTTCCCGGGTAGAGGGAGCCCCACCAGTAAGATGCTTTTGAGGAGGAGCTGAGGAAGTTTCTCAAGAGGTCAGCGGGAGAGGACACAGTCGATATCAGGAAAGTACAGGCTCTCAACTCCCAGAGGTGGGGGCAGGTATTTATTTTGTATTCCACCTCAGTGGTACTTCCTGGAATTTTGTCTTCTAAAGCACAGAGCCCTTTAATGCCTGATGGTGATAGTATGGGTTGAGACCTTTCCTGTCCCTCATCTTTACCCATACTCCTTCAAACCTGGAGGAGCCAGAGGCAGCCTTCAGTGGGTGGCTGGAGAAAGAAGAGGAAAAGGCAGGTTGGGGGACAGGTAGGGGCATTGAGAGGAGCCAACTGAGCTCCTTCTCTATAGGAAAGTTGGGAGCTGAGGGAAGGGAAAGAAATTAGAAAGTAGTTCCTAATTTCTAGAATTAGAAATGCAATGCTGTAAGTGACGTGAGGGGTTTCAATTATTAAGCTAGACTATAAGTACTAGTTATTGAACTTATACTGTTTGGGGGACTAAAGTGGCCAGAAGATGCTTTTTAAAAATATCTAAGAGTAATAAAGAAAATCACTGGCCCTGGACTGGATTTTTTCAACCTGCTAGAAAAATCTCAGCTCTCTGGATAGTAACAGTGTGGGTGTGGAGGGGATGAAGCTGTTTTCCATTGTACCATATGGAGTCCTAACTGTGCAATATAAGTGTTACTCTAGTTCAGCCAAATTCCAAGTCAAGGGTACTTTGCCCTCTGCCTGAGCTGGTGGCCATAGCTGAAACCCAGAGAGAATGAGAATCATTGTGGAAGATAATTCTACTTATCCCCAGAATCGTTCTGTTTCTTCAAACTGTGTTTGACTTTGGGCTATGGACGATGAGCTTAGAATTGTGCTTCTCATGGTGTAGTCCCAACCAGCTGCAGCAACATTACCTGGGAACTTGGAAACACAGAATCTCAGGCCCTGACCCAGCCATATTAAATTATTCTTGGGGTGGGGCCCTGCAATCTGTGTTTTTTCCAGCTTGCTGAATTTTGACAACCACTGGTTTAAAGCTCCGGCTGTCCATCCTGATTGTGCACTAGAATCACCTGTGGGAGCTTTTCAACAGTGCACTGGCCTAGGTTGAATCTCACAGGTTTAGTTGTACCTTGAGTCAAGCCCTCTCAAAATGTAATGAGCAAATGGATCCCCTGGTGATCTTGCTAAAATGCAGATCCTGTTTTGGTCAGTCTGGAGTGAGGACAAAGCACCTACATTTCTAACAAGCTCCCAGGTGAGGCCGATGCTCCTGGTGTGGGGACCATACATTAAGTCACCAGACGTTAAGCTATCTGCTAAATATTGTGTTCATGCACATTTTTGGGAGAAGAGGATTCATTGTTTCCATCAGTTTCAAGCACTCTGTGACTTGAAAAACATTAAGAAATTTGAAAATACAAATATAAAAAGAGGCTAATAGAGATGTCCGTGGAGGGGGCCCATGAAAGTCTCCTAATTTGTGAGAGGGAAGAATGCTGTACTCTTTAACGTTCCCTTTCTCTTGAGGGTGGGATGGGAGAGGGGGAAGAGATTTTCCTGATTTCTGTTGTCCTTACTCAGTGCCTTGGTATTGCTTCTTGGGTTCTCTGGGTCTGTCTGGTTCCTCTGCTGCTCCCCCACCCTTTCCTGAGAGTGGTATAAGGAGATGAAAACAAAACAAAGACAAAACCTTTTGGGACGTAGTAATGACCACCTGAGGCAGTCTTAAAATGCAGATTCGCAGGATCAAGTCTCTGGTAAGGCTGAAAGGTGGGAAGAACCCAGGAAACTGTATATTTAAACATTCTCCAACTGAATTTGTTATAGCCCTCCCAAACAATGCTGTGAGAAACCCTGATCTATTCTTTTCCAAGTGTTATGCTGGCTTCAAGAAAACAAATTAAATCTCTAGGTGCATCACAAAACTAATTTCTCAGCTACTCGTGGTTATGAAAGCCAGGCATCTCTCTTTTCTTATTATACTTCCAACTAGGGTCATTTCCTCCTAAGATTCCAGCTCCCTAGTGCCCTGAGGTTAAGTTAGAGCATTTCTCCTCACTTGCTTTCCTAATTGCTGGGAAGAGCTACCATACCTGGTTTTGCAACCTCTTCACTGTACCCTGGAGGGGCGCCATCTCAGTGGTGAGTCCAGTATTTTCTCTTTGCCACATGCTTTGTGGAGTCAGTAAAGTTTATAAAGTGCTTCATAAGCTGTTTGGACCTGAGGCATGGAATAGATTACACAAACAGAATGGCATCCACATTGCAGGCAGGTGGTGAGAAATTTCCTCTCTATCCCTCCTACCTGCTCAAGTGCTGGGAAGAATTTGAGTGCAGATCTGCTGGGAAGACTTTGCAGAGAAAGGCTGAGCTGTTAAAAGAGTAAAGTCGATGACATAAACTGATAACATCTGCAGACAAGAACGGCGTGTCATGGGATGAGATGGATGGAGATGTTAGACGTTATGGTTTGAGTAGAGAAATCCATCAACCAGAGGTGTAATAATACCATTTACTAAGCATCTACTATAGGACAGGTCCTGAACTACGCATCTGCTTATATACCTTTTCTTATTCCATTTTTCATCACAATGACACAAGGGAAAGCATTTTTAATCTCCATACTATACTATACTATAGAAGGGGGAACTGAGGCTTAGGGAAATGCAGCGAATTTGTTCCTTATCATATGATTACCAAATTGAGACTCTGAGATTCAAAGCCAGCTTTCCAGCTATCTTCTTGCCAGTATACAGCTTTTGCATTCATTAATATCTAGGAAGGGAGTGAAAAGGAATAGAAATGAAGAGGAGAAGATGTATGACTGAGGCTGTAAACAAAAATACTTTCCTGGCTTAACTTAGCATCAAGTTTTGGGATATTCTTGCTATCATATATTCTTCTTTTATGTTGTGCCTGGAAAATGTTTTCATTTCTGCTAAAGCAATAAGATTTTGTAAACAGATGGGGATAACATTTTGAAAACAATAACTCAAAATATATATTTATTTCCCTTTCCACCTTCTTGTGAGTCATAAGATTTATGGCCAAGGAAAAAATGGGAGGAATTAAAGATCATACACAAAGAAGGAGAAAATGGGGGAGAGATGCATCCTCTCCACTGGGACAGGAAGTTCTTTAGGTTCTGGGAGAAAGATCAAAGGAAAGAGAAAGCTGTTGAAAAGATCAGTCACCAGTATCCTTGCTTCTTCCCATGCTAATGGCTGGATATGCATTAGTAAAAAAATCCACATAGTTTGTTGGGTGATGCCCAACAAAGGGGATTCATGTCCTACCTTCTATTTAGGACACTGGGGAGAAACTTCACAGGGTGCCCCCACCTGCGCACAATACTCATGGAATGTTCCAGAAGATAACCTAGCTTTTATTGAATTCATTTTTTTTGAAATCTGCCATGGTGTTCAGATGTAACTGCTTTAGACAGCTTTTAATTTAGTTTTTCTAGTGCAGAGTTCTCCTCACCAATTGTATTTTGGAAACACATACATGTTTTTTTTTTTTTAGTCTTTTTGCTCTAGTAGCATAACACAATGAATCAAATTTCATGAAAGGCCAGAAAAATTTGACATCTTCTCTGGGTGCTGAAACTTGTGGTTCCTTATATGCCAAGGGGTAGAATTGGATCTCCATTGCCTGCTCCCATTCCTGATGATGAAGCATCAATGTGGGCCATGCCATTAACACTTCATGTCCACAGTAACAACACCCAAATATAGGGCAGACAGAGGTGGTGGTGCTTCCTGTGGCTTAAGAGCTGTTTTGCTTGAATTCACCTTGCTTTAAGAAAGTGATGTAGAATATTG
This sequence comes from Homo sapiens, assembly GCF_000001405.40. Lineage (NCBI taxonomy): Eukaryota > Metazoa > Chordata > Mammalia > Primates > Hominidae > Homo > Homo sapiens. Next base: position 14,135,742 of record NC_000023.11, read on the forward strand.
CAATTGTTGGGTGTATTGAATATTGACAATAATTCAAGAATGTCTGAAGCTACTTGGTTTTCAGGATGTTTCCTGATGTTTCCTTGGTGTTATCACTATGCCCTGGCTCTCAGCTTTGGGTACTTGGTAGACTGATTGCAAGGATGGCTCAGTTTGTTCATGGCTTCCAGTATTCATTTCCTTTAATAGTGCCCACATTGACTCTAGGATTAGCCTTGTGGCTTGCTTTGACCAATGGGACAATAGCATACACGACACAAGCAGAGATTTGAAAGTGCTTATGCACTGGGGCTTGTCCCCTTGGTGCCCTTGGAATCTTGCCACCAGGCCCAGATTAGCCTGCTGGAGGATGAGATACCATGTGGAGGAGAGCTGAGACACCCCCACTGACAATCAGCTAGCCTCTAGTCAGCTTAACAGTAAATTACAGCTACATGTGTGAGCCCATGTGAGACCTCAGCAGAGGTCAGCCAGGCTGGCTCAAATTAGCAGTACCAGCCAGTTTAGCTCAACCTAAACTGATGACCCACAGAATCATGAGCTCAATATATAGTGTGGCTTTACACCACTGCATGTTTGTGATGGTTTGCTATTCAGCCAAATTAATACAGATGTCAAGAATATGATTTTGTCAGTGTACTCAATTATCTAGTGTTGGGGGGATGACCTCATGAAGGACGGATGAATGAAACCATACACATTTATTAACATACTAAGTAGCAAGACTGAGAGATAGACAGGGTGATTGTTAGTGCATTTTTTTCTTTAGGAGAGTTTTCATGGGAAGCCAAATTATACTCAAAATGCAGCCTAGATAGCAAAAATTCAGCGTGAGAGTGGTGATTGCTTGGTCTCAGGGCTAACTTGCTGCATCCACATCTACTCAATAGTATGGTAGATCTTAAAAATGAGGGAGGGAGAGAGGGGGAGAGAGAGAGAGAGAGAGAGAGAGAGAGAGAGAGAGAGAGAGAGAGAGAGAGAGAGAGAGAGACCGAGACCAAGTATATCCAAGAGTGGTCAGAGCCTCTCTTCCCTGGAGAGGCTGAAGTCACATGTGCAGATTCTTCCAATTTGGTCTCTCCTTTCCTAGAATCCATGAGAACTTGATTAAATATGCCTTTCCAAAGTTACATCCAGGATAATTTGCTTACACTTGGAAATTATTACATCCTACAAATCGGTTTTTATGTTATGTTGCTTCTGTGACATTTTGTGTTTAAGATTTTAACTCATGTATGTTTTAATATTTAATGCTATGTGAGGAATGGATTGAGTTGAGACGGATGGTTCATGGAGACTGGTCAACAGGTTACTGCAGTGGTCCAGGCAAGGGGAATGATGATGAAGATTAAGCTGCTAGCCACACAGAGGGAGAGAAGTAGATGGTGGCCCAGGCAAGAATAATGATGACTTGGACAAGGTTGTTAGCTGTATGATGGAGAAAATTAGATGGATTCAAAGAGTCTGTAGGCAGGGCAGTCATGATTGGATGAAGGTCGGGGGCAGGGGAGGAATAAAGGGTGATGCCTGGTTTTTGGATGGAATAGTTTGGTGGTGCTATTTGCCACACAAGTTATATACCTTTATGTTTGTTTTTTGTTCTATGGAAAAAAAAACACAGGGGCTCAAAGGTGTTATAAGTGTGACTTGGGCACAGTTCTGGCACCATTAAGCCCTCAGTAAGTGTCAAGCTTTATTTCTATTGCCTAGCCATACAGCTAGTCTGTCTCCAAAATCGATATGCAAGCACTTCTCAAACTTTCATGTGCTTACAAATCACATAGCATCTTGCTAAAATGCAAATTCTGAATCAGCAGGTGTGGAATGGGGCTTTAGATTTATTATTTCTTATAAGGTCTTGCATGAGGCTGCTACTGGTGGTCCATAAGCCATTCTCTGAGTAACAGGAGCCTGGAGCACTTACATGAACATGGACCTATCATAAACACTTGAATAGTAGTAATCATGTTACTTTGGCACTAGGAATAGAGGAGGTAGGGTATGAAACTCTGTCAGGGTAAGATACTGGGACACCCAAATCAGGTACTGAGCAATAGCTATGGATTTTAACCTTTTTGGTGAAATTCAAATCTTTAGATGAGTTAATCTTCTCAGAAGAAACATTAGAATAGTTTTCTTTTGAACAAGGTGTAGAAGAACCATTGTGAGCCTTCCAGCAGAGACCTAGAGTAGCCTTGCATAGCATAGAATGCCCTTGAAATGCAAGTGACTGAACCACATTTGACATCTTTAATGGACGAAGACTCACCCCTCTTTTTGTCCAGTAGTTGACAGAACACAAAGAGCCAAAGAAGCTATAGCAGGCTGTCAGAAAATATTCAACTACATTAGGCCAGGATCAGTTCACTTGCTCAACAATTTAACCCAGGATGTTGTTGACAGATTTCTTAAGCAGCTCCATCAAACTGCATGCAACCTGACAGCATTTTGAAGTTCTAAGCCTGTGTTTTTGTCAAAGATAAACATTTTAAGTTGATTTTTCTTAGGGGGTGGGGTGTCAAGGTATGAAATAGTTTTTATGGGCTGTCAGAAATCATAGTGAGTTAATATCAGAAGTGATTTTGATCACCAAACTTTAGGCTGGAAAAAATGTAGAATCCATAGAGGTCACCAAATCTCAGAGCCGGTAGGAGCTGAACATAAACTCTCGTTATGCAATTGAGAAATGTGACTCAAAGAGGTGAAATGACTTTCAGTAAGTCATGCAACTAGTGAATGACCATCCTTAATATAGTTTCCTGTTGCTACTGATGGTGCAAAATAATCATATTGTTAAACTCTAAGAGTTAGAATTTGGCAAGGCCCCCATTTCCCATGGAGAGATTTACTAAAAGTACTTGGAGCACTGAAAACAATAGGATCCCCCCTACAACCCAGATGAAAGGCTTTGACCGTCATCCCTCCTTGAGAAATTAAATGAGATTTAGAAGCAGTCCATATTCCACAAACAGGAGACTCCTGGCATTATCATTAGAAGGCAGGATAAATTAGGTTGGGCGTGGCTGCTCATGCCTGTAATCCCAGCATTTTGGGAGGCCAAGGCCAGAGGATCACTTGAGCTCAGAAGTTCAAGACCAACCTAGACAACATGGCAGAATCCCGCCTCTACTAAACATACAGAAAATTAGCTGAGCATGGTGGTGTGTGCCTGTAGTCCAAGCTACTCAGGAGGCTGAGGTGGGAGGATCACCTGAGCCCGGGAGGTAGAGGCTGCAGTGAGCTATGATGGCACCACTGCACTGGGTAAGAGAGTGAGACCTTGTCTCAAAAGAAGAAGGAGGAGAAGAAGGAGAAGGGGGAGAAGGCAGGATAATTTAAATCAAATGAAGAAATTTCTTCTGCTTTCTTCTAGAGGTTAACATGAGCTAAAAGACACTCCATGAGAAAGATGGGATGATGGTCCTTGCTTGATAAGGACTCCTGCCCCCGCAAGTTCTTTAGGGATGATAAATATGTGTTCCATACATTCATTATATAGCAAAAATTAGTGTCTATACCTTTGATTTTCTCTGGTTTTAATTCTATTTTTCGTCCTTCAGTTTTATAGTAAAATTCCTATGGAAAAACATTGAGCTCTCTTTTAGATGACCTAAAAGGGTATTGGAAGAAGGGTATTGGTTCATACCTAGGCTACAATAGCCAGGACCCTGGCTTGTAGGATTACAGTGCGGCACCCAGCATGGCACCCAAGGCCATTAATGATCTGGCTCCTGCCTTGGAAACACTCACCTGCTGTTTCGCCATGGGGTACCATATTTCTTTTCAAAATGTATCTTTTTTTTCTCCCTAATTCTGTGTCTTTGGACTTGCTTTTCAATCTTCCTGGATATCCAATCTCCCCTTCCTTTCTACCCAGTGAACCTTTGTTCACCCAATTAGACCAGGTCAGTCAGTGTCTCCTCCTCTGTGAAGGCCTCTGCAGGGTTCCGGGTCAGAAACAGTGGCTCTGTCTTCATGCTATTTATAGGACTCTGCTCTTACCCTAACCATAAGGTTTTATTATTACTCATTTACATGTGTGTTTCTCTGTCTGTTCATTCAAATCACTTGGAGAGTTCCAGAAAGAAAACCTCTGTCTTGTCCTCACCCTAGAGATTCTGATTCAGATGATCTAGAGTGGGGCAAGGGCACTGGTATTTAATCTGAATCCAAGTGATTTTAATGTGCAGGCAGCATTGAAAAATACTATGATTAGAATGTCAGCTCTTTGCAGAGACTGTGCTTATTTATCTTTTTCATTATCCCTCTCTACAAACTGCCGAACTCAGTGCCTGGCAGCCGGACTTGTGTAAGTCCAGGAAGTCAAGGCAGTCAAAGTAGGCTCTCAGTACATGATTGCTCCCTTTGCCGAATGATCCACCTTCTCAAAAGGGCTTTAAGTCCAGAGGGAGAGGATAACTACACAAGCATCACAAAGAGAAAAATGTGGCCAACTTCCTGGTTTTAATTAATTTGATTAACATCCAAATCCAATTATGTTTTAAAAACCTACAAGAAGCTGCCTAGAGAGTCATTTGTTTGCTACTAAGAAGGGCAGAAGTAGGAGGAGGTAAGTACCTCCAGTTTGTAGCTGGGGTGATGTTCTGCAAGGTAACAAGGTGCTTTGGCAAGGCAGTGTAAACACAAGTGGACACTAGAGCTGTACTGGCTGGGTCCAGCTCCCAACTTTGTCACTTACTAGCTCTGTTATCTGAAGTTACTTCACCTGTCTGTCCTCATTTTTCTTATGAGCAAAATGGCATGCTGATGTTAATACTGGGCTTCTTAGGATTATGATGATGTTAAGTTCATATGCATAAGGCACCTAGGACAATGTCGATGGGTAGTAAACTCTCAATACATATTAGCTTTTTTTGGTTATTGTTATTATTTGGGCAAGTGGAAGCTTCGCTGGAGTAGTGAACTTGTGGAGTTAAGCCAGTCACCTAGAAATCTTTAGCCATCAATATTGGCTGGGGCAGTATCAGGCATAGAAGTAGATAAATGCAGCCTTATTATTGTCCTCTGTTCTCTGTGTTTGTCCAGCATCTTTGATCAAATGTGTTAGAAAGAACTGCTGCCTTTTATCTTTAAAATATAAGTGAAAAAGTGTTAGGAAGATTCCTTGGGGCACCTTGTCCATTTGACTAGAGAATGACCAATGATGGCGCTCAGCTTTTTAAAGGGAGCCTCAAGTGCATCATTTAAGCACAGTTGTCTTGGGGCCTTTGGCCCAGAATACCATGCTTTCCTACATTCCTGCTGGGGGCAATTTCAGGTCTAAAGATTTATACGTATTTTTTTCCTCTATCAATTGTTTTTCTTAGGCAACCCTGAGAACAGAATGCATATTCCTGTTAAACTTGTTTCCTTCAAAAATAATGTTGATTATTGATTCACAGAAAATATATTTCATGACAGCCTTCCTGAAGTTCTTACATGACTTTGCAGGAGAATTAACACTTTGACCACCACCTGTTCTATTTAATATCGACTACAGCCACCAACTACATGCCAAACAGAAATCGTAATTTTTTTCTGGGTTCAATCTCAACATGTACCCAATTTCCAATTGACAAACCGGATTTAATTAAGGAGGAAAACAGAAAATATTATACACATTTAATATTTCGGCCTAGGGGTTGGCAAACTCAGCCCTACTTGTTGTTTTAAATAAAGTTTTATTGGAATGCAGGCAAGGCATTCTCATTTGCTTACATATTGTCTATGAGCCATTTTTATGCTACAGTGGCAGAGTTGAGTAGTTGTAACAGATCGAATGGCCTGCAAAAATGAAGACATTCTCTCTGCCCCTTTTCAGACAAAGCTTAGTGTTCTCATTGTTCAATTCCCACCTATGAGTGAGAATATGCAGTGTTTGGTTTTTTGTTCTTGCGATAGTTTACTGAGAATGATGATTTCCAAGTTCATCATGGACACAGGAAGGGGAACATCACACTCTGGGGACTGTTGTCGGGTGGGGGAGGGGGGAGGGATAGCATTGGGAGATATACCTAATGCTAGATGACGAGTTAGTGGGTGCAGCGCACCAGCATGGCACATGTATACATATGTAACTAACCTGCACATTGTGCACATGTACCCTAAAACTTAAAGTATAATAATAAAAAAATTAAAAAAAAAAGGCTTAGTGGTTCCTGTCCTAACTCATTTACAGCTCTTTTACTTACAGAGAACTTTGTTCAATCCAAATGCAATTCTGTAGCCAGTGACAGGTGTTTGCAGTGAGGAACCCAGAGATTCATGTACTGACATGCTCTGTCACCTGAGTACTTAGTGGTGAGCCCCATGAACCCTCTCTTCTGGCTCTTGTTTGTTTCTACTGTTGCTGGAATGCTCTAGATTCTGACCAGCACTTGCTGAGACCCCTGCAGTGGCTTCCTAAATAGACTTCCAGAGTCTCTAAACCATCTTCAGTAGTGCTGTCAGCATTACCTAACACATGGGATCCTGCCTAAAGCTCCTCAATGCACCCCCACACACCCTCATAGCTATTGTAGGCCTTAGCATGGAATTTGAGGCTCCTCAAGATTGGGCCTCAGTTTGCCTTTGTATTCATTCTCACCTGCTGACACTTTATAGCCCTCTGACTCTAGCCACCCTGGCTGCTCGCTGTTGCCAGACCATTGTCATATTTTTATTCCGCCTTTCCCATTTGGATATCTGAAATGCTCTGCGTTGCTCACTCAGCTTTCAGATTCAGTTCAAATGTCACATCAAATGTGAAATATGTCCTTTTCCTTTTCCCCATGTGTATACTCCTAACGTTGCCTTTCCTACATTGCATTATAGCAAGTGTTTATTTGTTTATCTTTTTCTAGCAGACTTAGAATGCTTGTCATTGAATCCGAAGTATTTGCACAAAGTGAGCAACAATAAACACTTTTTTTTGTTATCAATTAGTAAAATCTCTTTTTTCAGGCTCAAAATTACCTTTTTCCTTATTCTCAAGTACTTCCAAGCTGTCTGACAGATTTCATTTAAACTTCTTAGAAAAGGAATCATTACAGAAGTCATTATTATTTGAGGAATAGGTTAAAAATACACATAAGGACCTGTGGTTGAATAAATCATTAATATGATTAACATGATGTATCACATCAAGCGGTGGGTTCTTTATTTTCTTGTGTGGCAGGGTAATGATGAGAAAGTGTGCTCCTAGCACTAAGGGGCCATTTACCTGGCCTTTATGGAATTGTTTTATTACAGCCAAGCTTATGTTAAAGATATGGGACTTCTCAATGGCTTCTCAAATTTCTCACCAGGTGTCAAGCTCCCGCAGAGAAGGAGAATGAGAAAAGCTTGTGAGTTTCATGCCACCAAACCCTAGCAGTCTGGCACCCTTTGGCCAATGTTGAGGACTTCTGTCCTATTGTTCACCTACCTGCCATGGTGAAAAAGATCAGGAGTATAGGCTCACAGTGCTGATTTCTTAAAAGGAGCAAAAGTCTCTGAGGATCAGGAAGGATGTATGTCACGAGAAGTAGTCCTTCTCAGCTGGGAGATGTAGCAAAATACCATACAAACAATGAGAAAGGCAGGCCTGGGGAAGGAGTTTGATGAAGCTCCCCAGGTAATTCTGTTATGACTGCCAACCCCAACCTTGAAAACAGCTGTGGTAGAAGCCCCTTAAACACTGTCTTTAGTTTCAGCTTTTGTTCCGGACCAATGAGCTCTGAGCTAGCTAGCAGAATAGGAGTGACCCACTTAAATACCCTCAGTTTGAAGCTCAGACAGGTCAAATGAGACATTTAGCAGCCACGACTAATAAAGGGAGAAAAGGTACATGCTTGTTGGTTCTATAAAGGAAAAATGAGAAGTGGCCCCATCCTTTCCCTTATTTTGTTATGGGCTGAGTTGTGATCCCTAAAATACATATGTTGAAGCCCTAATCCCCAGTACCTCAGAATATAAGTGTATTTGGAGATAGGGCCTTTAAAGCAGTGATTAAGTGAAAATGAGGCCATTGGGATGTGCCCTAATCCATCCAGACTAGTGTCCTTAAAAAGAGAGATTAGAACACACAGGGATATGTCAGGGATGCACGTGTACAGAGAAATGACCATGTAAAGAGGTGGCAAGAGACTGGCTATCTGCAAGCCAAGGAGAGAGGCCTCAGAGGAAACCAACTATGTTGGCGCCTTAATCTAGGACATCTAGCCTCCAGAATTGTGAGAAATATCTGATGTTTAAGCCATCCAGTCTGTGGTATTTTGTTATGGTAGCCGTAGTGAACTAATACACTCCCCTTCTCCTAATGTTGGTTCCAAGGCATGGCACTATTCTGGTCTGCTATTTCTCCTCCCTTCTGGAGGGATGTGGCTGGCAATGGGCATGATGGCGATAACCATTGTCCTGGCATCTGGATGACCCAGCCTCAGGTGTGCAAAGCATAGTTTACACAAACACATCACATCCCATGAGTTACACTCAGAACAGCTCCAGCTTCCAGGGACTGAGCTGTCATAGAATGTTATCCCCTCTTCTAACACAGACCCCTTGTCCCATCCTCCAGAGCAGGGGAGGATCTCTGCCATGACTATTAAATGTGAATTGAGAGCTTATCTCTCATTGGTTCATTTTCTGTAAAATCCACTTGAGCGACCCAGGGCTGTAATTACTGTTGCTTAACTGCTTTATCTTGTTTGAGAAGACAAATTTTAGCAATGCTGCGAAGTAAATCATTTTTGTGGCCACATCATGCTGACTAATACAACATAATCTCAAATTAATTATTCAAAAGAGTACATTCCCAGCCCAAGCATATTCAGCATTTTTGTAGTTTGCCTGTAACCAATATGAGATACTCAAAGCATCTATTATGACTTTCCCATAATTCCGAAAGCTAAATATGCAACATATTCTTGAGAAGATTTCTCATATATTAACTGACACCTGTTTTTCTTTCCTCAACCTCCATGGAGAGGTAATTAAAAAACTATTTTAATAACAACACTTAGAATACTAGATAACAAGTATTGAGCACTTCTGTGGGTGGGATAGTGTGCTACACACTTAATCTGTTATCTCATTAATTAATTTTAAAGATAATTTTATGAATTAGTTGCTATTAATGTTTCCATTTTGCAAATGAGGAAATGGAAATACAGAAAGACTATCAAAACTGTCTTATTATAGGACATTATAGAATAAAAGACCAATCTTATAAAGCATTTTATCAAGAGATCACCATCAGCTTTGAACATATTTTATTTTCAATTAAAAAATGCTTTTAAAAATCTACACAGACCTGAGGAACAGTGTGGCACATTGAGAGAAAGAACACAGTCTTTGGAACCAGACAGTATTGGTTTAAAATATTAACTCTGCCCTTGACTAACTCCATGACCTTGGAAAAATTACTGAACTTAGCCAAGCATCAATTAATTCAGCTATAACTGGGGCTCATATGACACCCATTGCAGTATACAAGTTTTTAGGTGTATATATGTATTCACTTCTCTTGGGTAGATACTTAGGAGTAGAATTTACATTTACCTTTTTAAGATACTGCCAAGCTATTTTCCAAAATGGCAGTATCATTTTACATTCCTGTTGACCATGTACAGCGTTCTTGTTTCTTCACACTTGTAATCATCTGTCTTTTGATTACAGCCATTGTAGTGGGTGTAAAGTGGTACCTCATTGTGGTTTGAATTGGCACTTCCCTAATGACTAATGATGTTGAACATCTTTTCATGTGCTTAGTATTCATTTGCATATATTCTTTGGTAAAATGTGTATTGACATCTTTTGCCCATATTTCAATTGTGTTATTTGTCTTATTATTGAGTTATAAGAGTTCTTTGTATATTCTGAATAAAAGTCTGTGAAATTCTTTCACATAAATTGTGAATTGTCTAACATCAAGTTTGCCACATTATACAGGGCATCTAATAAATATTTGGCAAGAATGATTCTGATTATGCTATTCAATTCAATTCAGCAGGTTTTTATTGAGTACCGACTGTGTGCTAGGCATATTTTAGGTGTTGGAGATTCAGTAGAGAACATTAACAGACAAAAATCTCTGCTCTCAAAGAGGTGAGGAGTAATCATTAATAGTTGCATAGCTATTAGACGGAGAAAGCTGGGATTTGGGATAGGCCTTCTCCTCTGAGACTCTGGCTCTCAGCCACTACTCTGAACATCCTAGGCCTGAGTGTAGTCAAATGTGCAGAACCTTTGCCCAAGAAGCTAATGCTTAATATGCTGTAATTTTTTTTTATCTCCATTTGGTAGTATGGAAATCCTAAATTCCAGAAGCTATCTATATTTAAAAGTAAAAACTGACATAGAATGGAAGTTTATTTATTTGGGTTAATCCTATAGAATAGATTATTGTTATACATGCCTAACATATGTAACTGTATTTTTTTTCTTCCAAAGGCTTAACCTCCACCAGAAACTTACTAGCTGGGTCATAGTTCAGCTCTCTCTTTCTCTCCGAGACAACACTCTTCTTTTCTCTTTTGCCATATTTTTAGCCTAAGAACTCGTTACTCAGAAGTTCTGGGGACCAACCCCACCAGATTTTAGGAAATGTTAGGAAATTTCATTCCCTATCTTTAGGAAGCGGGCCACTGAAAGATCCAGTGGAGTCAGTCCTTTGCCTTGGTGTCAAGAGAGTTTCCTCTCAGGATGGCAGAGAGGTGAGGAAACCTTTGATTACAATGTCTTCCCAGACCAGCCCTCTATTTGCAGCAGCCTCAGCAGCCTTCTCTGGTGAGGTGGCGCCCTACATCTCAGGTCTCAGCAGTTTCCAGGAACATCTCTTCTTCCTGGTGGTGATAGCATTTCAAATGGCTGCTCCCAGTTGTTGCTTCTGCTGACTGTTCTCCTGAGTTCTGCCCTCCAGGACCATTTCTGGCAACTCTAGATATCTCCACAGAAGGTTCCCTGCTGAGTCTTCTGCTCTTTCAAAATGTGCTTGACATAGAGCTGCTTTTAGGATGAGACCTGGCGATAACATCCCAGGTGGTCACAATTGGAGCTGCTCCCTCTGGCAGCACTGTGAAGGTCTCCTGAAAGGGTACAGACGAGGCAGGGAGACAGCATTCTCATTAAGTTGAGGACACAGAATTCTATATCAGACAGACCTATCCAAGATAGCTCTGCCCTTTTCTAGTTGTATGATCTTGGGGGAAGTAACTTAATCTTTTGTAGTAGTCAGTTTCCTCCTGTGTAAATGAGAGAATAAATGTTCCTATCTCATTGGGTTGCCTTGAGGATTAAATGAGATAATTCATTAGAAGCATTTAGTGTCTGACACATTATAAGCACCGAGTAAATATTAGCTACTATGAGATTATTAGCTGCAGAAAAATTTTGCTTGAATAACTAAATGACGGAAGGGAGTTGCAAACAGTACTACATTCTTCCTCACATTGAGTTCAAGGGCATCCTGGAAAACTGGCAAAAGAAACAGCTGCACGTTCTTTCCAGAACACTGCCCTGTCTTTATTCCTGCCTTTCCTATTTGGATATCTGGAATGCTTTTCCTCCTTCCTTTACCAGCAAGGGGAACTGATCTAGCTCAAATGTCATATAACATATGAAATATACCCCTAGCTTTTCCCCATGTGCATACCTCTAATATTGTACTTCCTATATTGCGTTATAGCATTTGGTATCTGTCTTCTTTACCAGTCTTGGAATGCTTGAAAAACAAGATTTTTGCCTTCTTTACATAGATATTTCATTTCAACATGTACTCAATAGAAAAAGTTATTTATGAGATAACCTTACATTTTTGAATGTGTGTATTTTACATTTCTAGCACATCTCAATTTGGATTATCCATATTTCAAGTGTTTAATAGCTGCATATAGCTAGTAGATACTAGATTAGACAGCAAATTTCTAAGTATCCCATCCTCTATATTCTCATAACACTTTATGCATATCTCAATTAGATCAATGAAAACAGATTATATTACAAATTATTTGTTTATGTGTTTTTTATGAGCATTTCTAGGGTTAGGATTTTGTCTTATTTGTCTTTGTATCCCCATTCCCTGATGTAGTGCTTAACAAATAGTAAGTGATCAACTAATAATCATCAAATGGAGTATAGTAGCTATTATTATTGAGCAACTACTAAGTGTCTGAGATGTTATATATTTCTTTTACTCATTGCAAAATCTTGATTGGTCAGTAGTTATCCCCAGTTTACAGATAATACAATGCAGACTCAGAAAGTTTAAACAGCATACATAAAGTTAAAAAGTTCTAAGTAGCAGAGCTGGGATTGTTGAGTCCTTCTAGCCCTAAAATTGGAACATGATTCTCATCAGTGCATGTGGGTTTCATCCCAGCTTTATTTCTAATTGGATGACCTTTGACATATCACTGAATCCTTTGAGCCTCAGTTCCCTGTAAGTAAAACAAAGAACTGCGATAGCTAATATCTAGGGTCTCTTTTTGTTTAGGATGCTGTAATTGTCATTGAGCCTAAATTTCTCCACATCTAAGCTGTTTTCCGAAGTATAAAATGCCTTCCAAGTTAGGCATACTTATGCCACGTCAAAGAGTGACTATATATTCACCTGATTTTATTGTAAGAGATAGATAAAAATAAAATTAAATTTTTATAAATAGAATTCTGTTTTTTAATCCTGCATGAAAAAATAAAAGTTGTTTTATTGGCATTCTTACTTGATTCTAATGCTTTAACACTGGTGTCCCCATTTAATTAATTTGAAGACCCTTAATGAACTTCGTGAGGATATGCCTAATTTCAACAGATAAAACACTAATTTTTCCCTGAATATTTTCCATCCAGTTCTTAAGATCTTTCTTCCACTAGCTAACATTTATAAACAAGGCTCAGAGTCACTAAAAGATAGTTATCTCTGGACTTGCCTTTACATCTAAATAAAATCAAGTGGGAATATCTTCTAGATTAACTTCCTCATTGAACTAGGGCACCTCAAAATTTCTTCTGGCTTTAACTTCATATGAGTTTTTACTACATATTGTGTAATAATGACTAAATCTTCAAGACTTTCTGAAAGTGGAACTCATAGGCAGTTAATGATGAGGGATGTAACTGCGCTCTACAGTTCTAAAGCAGGGATTAGTAAACTAAACCAGCCTGATGTCCATGTTCATAAATAAAGTTTTATTGGCACAAAGCCATGCCCAGTTGTTTGTATATTTTCTATAGTTGTTTTCAGGGTATATATGGCTGGTAAACCTGCAAATATGTATTACCTGGTCCTTTACAAAAAACAAGTTGGTTGACCCCTATCTAGAGCACATTGATTTGGTCTGCTAAATACCTGTGGGAACAATCTCTGCCATGAGGTACATCAAGATTCTGAAGTCACCTGTTTCTCAGGAAGAGTTCATGAAAAATCCAGTTGGAATCCAAGTCTAGCAAAAATTTGAAACGAAGAAAGAGATAGTTATCTCTGAACCTGCATTGCTAGATGATAAAGTTATCTAATGCCAGTTCAGATGTAGATGGGAAACAGTGTGCTGCAGTGGTCAGAAGGGGTTCAATTCCAGGATTGTCTACTTATCGCTTCCGTGGCTTTAGGTAAGTATGATGATTTCAGAAAGTCTTCCTCCTTGTCTTTAATTATAACATATGGCTGATGATAGTACATACCTACTGGGGTCTGTATGAAACCTAAATGAATTAATACATGCATAGACTTAGAATTGAGCCCGGCGTTAAAAGAATGTTAGCTTTTTGTAGGCAGCTTTTTCAAAGGAACCAAAGCATACCAGGAAAATACTTTTTCCCTGAAGCTATTCTAGATTGTAATTTAAAGGATGAGCTAAAGCCACCTCCACCAAGACTGTTTATTTTCCTTATCATGTGGAATCCTATGGTGACATCACACAAGAGAAAATACATTTCTATGAGAAAAAATTGTTTGGTAGGACTCTATTTGTTTATTATTAAAACATGTTCTGATGATGCTTTAGCTTCCATAGCCAGAGAGAAGTCATATACAAACCAAAGCAAATCAGCAAATTGTGAACATTATTTTCTGAACACGATACATTAGGAAGCATATGTTGTTTGACAGTTCCCAAGTCTTTGGGACTCCAGGAGAGGCATCCATCATCTTGCAGGAAAAAATGAAACTATAACATGAAGGAAAACATTACTATTTAAGTGTTACCAGTGCTAATTATTGTTTTGGTTTGAAGGATCGTAGCAGCTGCTGTTAGTGCCCTGCCCACATCCCCTCAACACTGATATATGTGTGTGACAGTTTGACTTTCAACTGCCAGCACCTGTGATTTTTAGGGATCTCTCTGGCCACTGAGGCCCCTCTGTCCACCTACATACAGTAGGCAAGACATGCCAAAGAATTAAGATTGCCTGGGAGCAGCTCTCAACCAATGTCTAATGGAAATCGGTGGACAGATAATAACCCAGCTCTCTCATTTTTCAGATGTGCTATTTTGAGGTGTGTGTTCTACGCCGGCCTTCAGAGCTCCTCAGTGGGATTAAGTTCCAGTTCATTATACACACTTTCTTGGTTTTCTTCTCTGTCATGTATAACTTCTCTCTCCCCTTCAAATATTTCCTGAGACCACTTCCCAAATACACAACTTGTACATAAGTCATTATTTCAGTCAGCTTCTGGGGGAACTGATATGAAGACAAGATGGTAGCCAGCTGTACAGTTTTAAACTGTATTTTACTGTTATGTTTCCTTTAGTATTCACAGAAGAACTCACAGCACACGATTGAATAGATTAACTATATAATGACCAACTATTTTATTTTACTTTAAGTTCCAGGATACACGTGCAGAACGTGCAGGCTTGTTACATAGGTATACATGTGACATGGTGGTTTGCTGCACCTATTGACCAGTCCTCTAAGTTCCCTCCCCTCATCACTCCCAAACCCCCAACAGGCCCCAGGTGTGTTGTTCCCCTCCCTGTGTCCATGTGTTCTCATTGTTCAACTCCCACTTATGAGTGAGAACATGCAGTGTTTGGTTTTCTGTTTCTGTATTAGTTTGCTGAGGATGATGGCTTCCAGCTTCATCCATGTCCCTGCAGAGGACATGATCTCATTCCTTTTTATAGCTGCATAGTATTCCATGGTGTATATGTGCCACATTTTCTTTATCCAGTCTATCATTGATAGACATTTCGGTTGGTTTCATGTCTTTGCTATTGTAAATAGTGCTGGGATAAACATACGTGTGCATGTGTCTTTATAGTAGAATGATTTATATTTCTTTGGGTATATGCCCAGTAATGGGATTGCTGGGTCAAAAGGCATTCCAGGCTCCAGATCCTTGAGGAATCGCCATACTGTCTTCCACAGTAGTTGAACTAATTTGCATTCCCACCAACAGTGTAAAATCCTTCCTATTTCTCCACAGCCTCACCAGCATCTCGTTTCTTCACTCTTTAATAATTGTCATTCTGACTGGCGTGAGATGGTATCTCATTGTGGTTTTGATTTGCATTTCTCTAATGATCAGTGATGTTGAGCTTTTTTTCATATATTTGTTGGCCATGTAAATGTCTTTTTCTGAGACGTGTCTGTTCATATCCTTTGCCCACTTTTTGATGGGGTTGTTTTTTTCTTGTAAATTTAAGTTCCTTGTAGATTCTGGATATTAGACCTTTGTCAGATGGGTAGATTGCAAAAATTTTCTCCCATTCTGTAGGTTGACCAACAACATTTTTTTTTTTTTTTTACCATAAAAGCAGTAGATTGCTATACAGCAACCAATTGGGTCAATTTTCACACACTCAAGATAAGTGGAAATGAAGACGCAGTATGGTGGACATAAAGTTTAGGTTCAATTAGGAAAAGGCTTTGAAAAATTTGAAATCTTTTCCTAAAGTGAAGTATAAACCTGTTGAGGTATGCATAAAAATGTATTCCTCTCAGGTGTTCAAACTCATTTACCTTCTAGAAAATTTATCCAAATTTTCTTTTTTTTTCTTTCTTTTCTTTTTTTTTTGAGACGGAGTCTTGCTCTGTCGCCAGGCTGGAGTGCAGTGGCACGATCTCAGCTCACCGCAATCACCACCTCCCGGGTTCAAGCGATTCTCC
The DNA here is from genome assembly GCF_000001405.40 of Homo sapiens. NCBI lineage: Eukaryota > Metazoa > Chordata > Mammalia > Primates > Hominidae > Homo > Homo sapiens. Next base: position 14,151,807 of record NC_000023.11, read on the forward strand.
TGCCTCAGCCTCCTGAGTAGCTGGGACTACAGGTGCACCCCACCATGCCCAGCTAATTTTTGTATTTTTAGTAGAGACGGGGTTTCACCATGTTAGCCAGATGGTCTCGATCTCTTGACCTCGTGAGCTGCCCACCTCAGCCTCCCGAAGTGCTGGGATTACAGGCATGAGCCAAACTTTCTATGTTGGCTCTTATTAGCTTGCTTTCAATTTTTGAAACAAACCCAAACCAACCACATGTTTATAGCTATAGAAAAGATATTGAGCAGGGTTTCTTAATCCTCAGTCTGTTGACAGCAATGCTTCATAGCTAAGCTTCAGGGGATTGATGAAATCCCTGGGATTCCCTGATAAATGGGACCATACACATTTTTCTGAAGAAAGCTTCCTAATCTTCTTAGATTCTCAAAAGTATCTATGACCCAAAATACACAGGAGAGGATAACCACAGTAAAGACACCAGAGTTAATTAGCAAAGGCCTTTAGATACATCCTGAAGGAAATCGTTGACAATTTTAAAACATTAATATTAAAGACCTTTGTTCTGGTTATGGCAGAATTATAGCTATCAGACTTACCTTCTCATCATAAACAACTATTGACTGAGTAAAATATATGATGCAAGTGGTCTAAGGCAATAGACAAGGCAGGGTTTTGATCTTTGAGGAAAAAAATTACATGAGGTAGGATTCATATTTGCTTTACTTTCTGCCTGGGTGAACTTTCCAAACCATAGCCCAAGAAAGTAACCTAGAGAATAACAGTCTTTCTGGGCTCAGGAAACAGAGATCAAATTTCTGGATTGGTAAAATGCCTGGAATTTACTGGAGAGAGGGACCTGAGCAGAACAGGAGCTTCAGAAATCTGAATAAGTTGACCCCTTGAGTGTTTGGTCAAATACTAAGCTGCACAGGTCAAGACTGGGAGGTCTGGCAGAGAATGGCTGCTGGGGATGTGGGAGATAGAAGAGACATAGGAGGTCCAGCCAGCCAAAATGAAGAGATATCACTCAATATCTTGGTCATTCAGTTGAGATCCTGGAAAGATCATACCTTGGGTTAGGGCTGCTTTAATCCTAGAGGAAGGACTACTATAAGTTCACTATAAACAAGTCTACAATCTAGCCTCAGTAGGTTAAAGCTGATCCACAAGAAAGTACTTGCTGGCCCAGATAAAATCCAACACACTTTATGGGAAGACAACTGGATTCATACTTTCAAAAACACAGCATTCATGATGCTCAGTACATATTTAAAAAGTTACAGTATGTGTGAATAAGCAGAAAAACATAAAACATAATCAGGAGAAAAAGCCAGAGATCACACAGATTCTGGAATTAGCAGGCAAGGTTTATGAAATAGCTATTACAAATATAAATATTAAGAAAAAATGGGCACAGCGAGAGAACGTGGGGAATCTCAGCAGAAAAAGATCAAACTATAAGAAAAAAGTAAATAGGAATTCTAGAATTAGAATGTATAACAGCTTAAATGAAAAAATTTCTCGATGGGCTTAACAGCAGAAGAAAAAACCGTTGCATTTTAAAATAGATTAATAGAAACTATCAAAACTGAAGCATCAAGAGAAAAACAAAACCAAAAAATAAAATACCTGCTGCATAGGGGTTGACCTGTGCAACAATACCAACAGGTATAACAATATGTATTTTAATTAAAAGAAAATAGCATAATTGGGGAAGAACAAATATTTCTATTTTCAAATTTTTTATGTTGGCAGATAATATATGTTTTTTGTCATGTACAACATGATGTTTTGAAGTACATATATATTGTGGGATAGTTAAATCCACCTAGTTAACAAATGCATTACCTCACATAGCATTTTTGTGGTAAAAGCAAATAGCATTCACTGTCTACATTTTTCAAGAATACAATATATCATCATTAACTATAGTCACCTTGATGTACAATAGATCTCTTGAAACTTATTCCTTCTGTTTAACTGTAATTATGTATTCGTTGGTCAATGTCACCTCATCTGCCTCTTCCTTCTAACAAACCCAGCCTCTGATAACCATCATTCTACTTTCTGCCTATATGTGATCAACTTTTAAAGTTTCCACATATGAATGAGATCATGTGATATTTGTCTTTCTGCGCCTGGCTTGTTTCATGACATAATGTCCTCTGGGTTCATCCATGTTGTTGCAAATGGCAGGATTTAAGTCTTTTTTTATGGCTGCTAGTATTCTACTGTGTATATGTGCCACATTTTCTTTGTCCATTCATCCATTGATGAACACTTGGGTTGATCCCATATCTTAGCTATTATGAATAGTGCCGTGATAAACATGGGAGTGCAGATATTTTTTCAACATATTTCAATTTTGTTGGATATATAACCAGTGATGGGATTGCTCAATCATAAGGTATTTCTATTTTCAATTTTTCGAGGAACCCCTATACTGTTTTCCACAATGGCTGTACTACATTCCTACCCACAGTATGCAAGGATTCACTTTTCTCCACATCCTTTCCAGCATTTGTTTTCTTTTGTCTCTTTTTGATAATGGTCATTCTAACTGGGATGAGGTGGTATCTCATTGTGGTTTTGATTTGCATTTTCCTAATGATTAGTGATGTTGAGCATTTTTTCCATATTCCTTTGTGGCCATCTGTATGTCTTTTTTTTTTCTGAGAAATATCTGTTCAGGTATTTTGCCTGTTTAAAAATCAGGATATTTGTCTTTTTGCTATTATGCTGTTTGAGTTCCTTATATATTTTGGATACTAATCCCTTGTCAGATGTATAGTTTGCAAATATTTTCTCCCATTCTGTAGGTTGTCTTTTTGTTCTGTTGATTGTTTTCTTTGCTGTACAGAAGTGTTTTAGTTTGATGTAATTCCATTTGTCTGTGTTTGCCTTTGTTGCCTGTGATTTTGAGGTCTTAGCCAAAAAAAAAAAAAAATCCTTGGGGAAGAACAAATATTTGAAGAAATAATTGTTCCTCAATATTAAACTTGTTGAAAAAGATTAACTCACAGATCTTAGGAACTCCAATGCCTCAAGAAGATGAACCCAAAGAAAACCACATCCAGGAAAATTGTAATCAAATTTCTGAGAACCAAAGATAAAGAACAAATTAAAAAGTCATCCAGAGAAAAAAGACACATTACACACATGGGAATGGCAATAAAAGTAATGACTGATACCTTATCAGAAACAATGCAAGCCACAGAAAATAAAATGACATATGAAGTGTCGAAAAGCAAAACTTTCAACAAATCAATATTCAGAGACACTTTTCCCCAGAAAAGAAAGAAAAATAAGGACTTTTCAGATTGAAAGCTAAGAGAATTCATCATAGCAGAGCTGCATTTAAAAATTTTTCAAAGCTGAAGGGAACTAGCTACAGATGAAAAGTCAAATCTACCTAAAGTAATGAAGACAGCCAGAAATGATAAATATGTTAGTAGATGTAAAATACTTTTTAAAAATAATTTCTTAATTTAAGAGAGAATTGACTATTTAAGGCATAAATGATAGCAATGTATAATTCATGGATTGGAAGGCTCAATATTGCTAAGATTTTAATTCTCTAAATTTATCTATATATTTGCTATGGTTTGCATGTTTGTTTGCTCCACAATTCATGTTGAAACTTAATCCCAAACGTGGCAGTATTGAGTGGTGGGGCCTATAATAGGTGATTGGGTCGTGAGGGGTCTGCTCTTATGAACAGATCAATCCATTCGAGGATTAATGAGTTAATGGATTAATGGGTTATCATGGAAGTGGGACTTGTTGCTTTATAAGAAGAGGAAGACAGACCTGAGCTAGCACGCATAGTCCCCTTGCTATATGATGCCTGATGGCCTGTGCCACCTGCAGACTCTGCAGAGAGTTTCCATTAGCAAGAAGGCCTTCACCAGATGTGACCCCTTTACCTTGGATTTATCAGCCTCTGTAACTGTAAGAAATACATTCCTTTTCTTTATAAATTACTCTGTTTCAGGTATTATAAGCAACATAAAACAGACTAAAACAAAGTTCAATTCAATCCCAATAAAAATCCTAGCAGATTTCTATGTAAGAATTGTGAAACCTTTTCTAAAATATGTATACAAATGCAAAAGACCTAGATTAGCTAAAATAATCTTTACAAAGAAGAATAAATTTAGAGGATTTACACTTCTCAATTTTAAAAATTACTACAAAGCTACAGAAATCAAGAGTGTGATATTGGCATAAAAATAGACAAATCAATGGATCAGAATAGAGTTCACAAACAGACTTACATGCATGATGGCCAACTATTTTTGACAAAAGTGCTAGGTATTTCAACAAATGATGATGAACAACTGCTTATCCATGTGGAAAGAAATGAAATTTGAGTACTACATTGTGTTACACATGCAAAGTTAATTTCAGATCGATCATAGATAGACCCAAACATAAGAGTTAAAGCTTCTTTTGAGAAGTGTCTGTTCATATCCTTCGCCCACTTTTTGATAGGCCTGTTTGTTTTTTTCTTGTAGATTTGTTTGAGTTCATTGTAGATTCTGGACATTAGCCCTTTGTCAGATGAGTAGATTGCAAAAATTTTCTCCCATTCTGTAGGTTGCCTGTTCACTCTGCTGGTAGTTTCTTTTGCTGTGCAGAAGCTCTTTAATTAGATCCCATTTGTCAATTTTGGCTTTTGTTGCCATTGCTTTTGGTGTTTTAGACATGAAGTCCTTGCCCATGCCTATGTCCTGAATGGTATTGCCTAGGTTTTCTTCTAGGGTTTTTATGGTTTTAGGTCTAACATTTAAGTCTTTAATCCATCTTGAATTAATTTTTGTATGAAGTGTAAGGAAGGGGCCCAGTTTAAGTTTTCTGCATATGGCTAGCCAGTTTTCCCAACACCATTTATTAAGTAGGGAATCCTTTCTCCATTGCTTGTTTTTATCAGGCTTGTCAAAGATCAGATGGTTGTAGATGTGTGGTATTATTTCTGAGGGCTCTGTTCTGTTCCATTTGTCTATATCTCTGTTTTGGTACCAGTACCATGCTGTTTTGGTTACTGTAGCCTTTTAGTATAGTTTCAAGTCAGGTAGCATGATGCCTCCAGCTTTGTTCTTTTGGCTTAGGATTGCGTTGGCAATGCGGGCTTTTTTGGTTCCATATGAACTTTAAAGTAGTTATGCAGCCAAAAGACACGTGAAAAAATGCTCATCATCACTGGCCATCAGAGAAACGCAAATCAAAACCACAATGAGATACCATCTCATACCAGTTAGAATGGCGATCATTAAAAAGTCAAGAAACAACAGGCGCTGGAGAGGATGTGGAGAAATAGGAACACTTTTACACTGTTGGTGGGACTGTAAACTAGTTCAACCATTGTGGAAGTCAGTGTGGCGATTCCTCAGGGATCTTGAACTAGAAATACCATTTGACCCAGCAATCCCATTACTGGGTATATACCCAAGGAATTATAAATCATGCTGCTATAAAGACACATGCACACGTATATTTATTGTGGCACTATTCACAATAGCAAAGACTTGGAACCAAGCCAAATGTCCAACAATGATAGACTGGATTAAGAAAATGTGGCACATATACACCATGGAATACTATGCAGCCACAAAAAATGATGAGTTCATGTCCTTTGTAGGGACATGGATGAAGCTGGAAAACATCATTCTCAGCAAACTATCACAAGGACAAAAAACCAAACACCGCATGTTCTCACTCATAGGTGGGAACTGAACAATGAGAACACATGGACACAGGAAGGGGAACATCACACACCGGGGCCTGTTGTGGGGTGGGGGCAGGGGGAAGGGATAGCATTAGGAGATATACCTAATGTTAAATGACAAGTTGATGGGTGCAGCACACCAACATGGCACATGTATATATATATGTAACTAACCTGCACGTTGTGCACATGTACCCTAAAACTTAAAGTATAATAAAAAAAATAAATAAAAAATGGACTATTCTCAGCAAAAAAAGGAAAGTTAAAGCTGTAGAGATTCTAGAATAAAACAATAGAAAAATATCTTTGTGACATTTGGAGAGGCAAAGGTTCCTCACACAGGACACAGAAAGCACTAAGCATAAAAGAAAAATAATTGATAAATTGAACTTAAGGTCAAAAAGCTCTGCTTATCAAAAGACAATGTTAAGAAAATGAATAGGCAAGCCACAGACTGGGAAAGCATATTTAACAAACATATATCTGATAAAGAACTAACATCTAGGATCTATAGCGGACTCTTATAACTCAAAATTAAATGACTAGCAACTAAATTAAAATGGTTAAAGATTTAAATAGACAATTCAGAGGAAGAACATATATGACTGGCTAATATGCACCTGAAAACTTGGTCAATATCTGCAGTTATCAGGAAAAAAATACAAATTACATCTACATTGAAATACTACCACGTACTCACTAAAATTTGAAGAGGGCATTGTGCAACTGAACTTGCATATGGTTTTTATGAGTTTGTGAAATGATATAATGACTTTATAAAACTGTTTGGCAGTTTCTTATAAAATGTATACGTACCCTATGACCCAATAATCCAATTCCTAGGTTTTTACTCAAATGAAAACAGGTTCACAAAATAATTTGTTCAGTAATGTTCATGGCAGCTTTATTTATTAGAGCCTTAAACTGGGAAACAATCAAAGGCCCATAAACAAGAAAATGGCTAAAAAATTGTGTTATATTCACACAACAGATTACTAACCAGGTATAAAGAGGAATGAATAACTGATATAGAGAACATAGACGAATATCAAAACCATTATGTTGTATGACAAGGGCCAGATGCAAAAGAGAACATACTATATCATTCTACTCGTATCATGAAGTTACAGAATAGGCCTACATAATCTATCAGAATATTAATCACAACAGAGGTTGCTTCTGGGGGCCCATGCTGATTGATTGATTGAAAAGGGCATGAGAGAATATTCTGTGGTCATGCTAATGTTTTATATCCTGATAAGTGTTTGGGTTATGCAACTGTATGCATTTATCAAAACTCATCGAAATATAGTCCTAAAATCTGTGCATTGCGCTGTGTGTAAATTGTATCTCAATTTAGAAAAAGGAAAACAAATTAAGCAGAGTTCTTGGTTAATTGCATACTTCCTCTGCAGATATTTTTTTCTGTAACAAAGGAATTGAATGAGCAACACCTTGTCTCTAATTTATGCAGTTCTGTGTGCTAAGTATAAGTAGACTATGAAGACAAATAATACACAGCCTTTGTCCTCAACTTGCTTATATGCTTATAACCTGGGAAGGGGAAAGTTGAGCAAATATTATGGAAGAAAAGGAAATATAGCACTGCAATATTTCCCTGACAGCTGTGAGCCCAGGCACCACTACAGCCGGAACTCTGCTTGGCCATAGAGAGTATTAATTAGGTTTAGCTTTTCACCAGCTTAGCAGTGAAAGGGCCATGGTGATTAACGGGACTAATTAGGCCAGCCCCAAGGGCAATATCTGCATGTAAATATAATAGAATTATTCTTTATGCCTCTCTAGCATGTCACCTTATATTACTATTGTGAAGTGTTTGGGGCATTTAACTTAATCACTTGTCTAGACTTGTCTTCAAGATAGACAGGCTTTTCAGATTTTATTGTCGTTTTTACCAAAAGCAGAAAAATCAGATTCACTCCAGGTAGAGGCAAAAGCAAAAGGGAAAATGTTTCCACAATCTGATCTCAAAAGAACCCAGGGAAAATGTCACATGTACCACTGTTATGAATTCAAAACCTGTCAGGAAAGCTCACAAAACAATGCCTCTTTAAATTCCCACTAGTCTGAAACCTTATGCCGTTGATTTCAAAGTCTTTATTAAATCAAGCCCCTATCTTTCTGCAATGGAAATGGTTTATAACAAATTTGAGATCCCATAAGTAAAAATGGTCAAAATTCCGTGCGTAATAATCTATAATCCAACCCTGAGGTTTTGATTGCTCTGTGCAGAAGCTGAGAAAGATTTTCTGCTGCTGATGGATGTCCCTAGTGATGATGTAACTATGGGGGTGAGTAGAGGTAGGTGAGCAGAAATACAATGAAAATATACTAATGTTAGTGGTAATAGGAGTATAAACATTACTTTTTAAATATTTTTCATTTGTATCCCGGAACTTAAAATAAAATAAATATTTTTATTGTGAAATAAAACACATATACAGAAAACCACACAAAATAAGTGTGTACTTAGTGCATTATCATAAGGTAAACATGATTTTAACTACTAACCAGGTCAAGAAGTCAATCCTTGAAGTTACCCCTTAACACCTCTTCCTTTAAAAGTAACTACTGTCTTTACTTTTTTTTTTTTTTTTTTTTTTTTTTTTTGAGACGGAGTCTTGGTCTGTTACCCAGACTGGAGTGCAGTGGCATGATCTCAGCTCACTGCAGCCTCCTCCTCTTGGGTTCAAGTGATCCTCTTGCCTCAGCCTCCCGAGTAGTTGGGATTACACGCATGTGCCACCATGCCCGGCTAATTTTTGTACTTTTAGTAGACATGAGGTTTCGTCCTGTTGGCCAGACTGGTCTTAAACTCCTGACCTCAAGTGATCCGCCCTCCTCGGCCTCCCAAAGTGCTGGGATTACAAGGCATGATCCACTGCGCCCAGCCTGTCCTGACTTTTTATACTAATCGCTTTTAAAAAATTTATTTACACTTCCATTATGCAATTGGCATGCCTGAAAACTATAACTTAGTGCTACCTACTTTTTAAAAAAAAAAATTGGCTGGGCATGGTGGTGTGTGCCTGTAGGCCCAACTACTTGGGAAGCTGAGGCAGGGGGATCCTTTGAGTCTAGGAATTCAAGTCCAGCCTGGGCAACATAATTAGATCTTGCTGCTTAAAGTAAAAATAATAATAAATAAACTGTCTTTTTAAAAATTATACTTTAAGTTCTGGGTTACACGTGTGAAACATGCAGTTTTGTTACATAGGTATACATGTGCCCTGGTGGTTTTCTGCACCCATCAACCCATCACCTACATTAGGTATTTCTCCTAATGTTATTCCTCCCCTAGCCTCCCACCCCCCCGACAGGCCCTGGTGTATGATGTTCCCCTCCCTGTGTCCATGTGTTCTCATTGTTCAACTCCCACTTATGAGTGAGAACATGTGGTGTTTGCTTTTCTGATCTTGTGATAGTTTGCTGAGAATGATGGTTTCCAGTTTCATCCATGTCCCTGCAAAGGACACAAACTCATGCTTTTTTATGGCTGCATAGTATTCCATGGTGTATATGTGCCACATTTTCTTAATCCAGTCTATCATTGATGGGCATTTGGGTTGGTTCCAAGTCTTTGCTATTGTGAATAGTGCCACAATAGACATACGTGTGCATGTGTCTTTATCGTAGAATGATTTATAATCCTTTGGGTATATGCTCAGTAATGGGATTGCTGGGTCAAATGGTATTTCCAGTTCTAGATCCTCCAGGAATCACTACATTGTCTTTCACAATGGTTGAACTAATTTATACTCCCACCAACAGTGTAAAAGCATTCCTAAAAAGTTGATGTCTTTTTCATCTCTTTTATTATACAGTCACTCCTCAATCCCCTTTTTTTCCTACAGTTTACCTCTTTTGACCTATAGAATTTCACATATTCAGATTTTGCTGATGGCATACTCTTGGTACAGGTCAATATGTTTCTCTGTTTGCTATATTTCCTACGAATTGACAGTTGAATCCAGAGGTTTGATCAGACTCAGGTTAAATCTCTTTGACAAAGCCAGAGAGAATGATGTCTTCTTTCTTCAGGAGGCACATGGTTTTCTGTGATTTTTGTGATGTTAACAACTGTTGTTTCTCAGTGTAGATCCATTAGTCCCAATGGGGTTGCAAAATGGCGTTATTTTAACTTATTTATTTTTCATTCATTAATTTGAACACTTTTACAAATAATTACTTCTTATCTATTCTGGTTACCCAGTGGTACAGTTCATACAGGAAAGGTAGGATAAATGCTTGATTCCCTTCATTTACAAAGGAATGGATGTTAATTCATCTCAAAGCAATGAATTGGCTCATTATCATCCTGATCATTCAAAATTGACATGAGATTTTAAAAAAATATTTTGTGCTCATGGATTCCAACATATTTGATGGCTTTCAATTAATTGCAACTGTTATTCTTTTAAAACTCAAATTGTCCCATCTTTGGCTAGTGGAAGCCTCCTCGAGTTAGCTCCTGAGACCTTTTGGCTTGACCCTTGTAGTCTTTGATAGCTCCCTCAGTATCTGGTGTAATAAAATATTCCCAGATCATCATATGCATTTCTAATCCCAGACCTAGAATCATCCACTTCTCCCAATTGCCCTGGTTTCTTTTAATGGGAAATGATATTTAAGGACCCAAATTGGGTACCATCACTATTGGGTTTGCCATTGTTTCTAAGCCTCTTCAGTGGACAGAGCTCAGAAATACATGTATCTATGCAGTTAAAAAAAAAAAAGATAAAACGCCTCATCAGGTGTTACTGATACTTTCATTTCAAATTCAGCAATACAGTTTTTTGTTTTGTTTTGTTTTATGCTTTACCTGTCCCTTATTACATCTTGGTTCCTTTCTTCCACACAGAGAAACCTGGTCTTCAAGGACATGAGAAATTGTAGAATGCAATGTTCCATAATTGTTTATATTTTTTACTCCACATTTCACACATACAAGTCTAAATAACGACACTGATACTCAACCACCAACATAATTGCCAAAAACAGTTAAAAAGTTTTGCCTATGTTTTCCCCCTTCCATTCTAAATAGTTGAACTATATGCACATTATCTGAGCATGTAGATGTTACACACAACAATCTTTCCCTTCTAACCCTCATTTAATATTTATTCTAAAAGTAACTATATATATGTTTAAGTCTTGTCAGCAGTCCTTATGTCAATGTCTTTCTAGTTTTTTTTGGTTGTCTGAAGTTTATTGTCTAGTGGATTTTTCAGGCAAGTTCATGAGAACAACATTCCCTGTTCTTGCATGTTGATAACAATTTTTGCCCTTTACACTGGAAAGTCAATTTTGCTGGATATAAAATCTTTGTCTCACATCTTCTTTCCTTGAGAATCTTAAATATACCTATTTCCTTCTGGCTTAAAGCATTGATGTTGAAAATGAAGCTAATTTGTTCATTATAATTCACAGGTTTTTTTTTTTGCCTACATGAACAAAGGATTTTTTTCTTTATATTTAAAGTCTAGTTATGTTATTAAAATATATCTTGATGTTAGTAATCCCAGGTCAGTATTCTCAGGTAAGCAGTGTGCTCCTATAGTTTCAAATCTTTAAAAACATTATTATTACAGTACAGTTTTCTTAATAATAATTTATAGTATTTGTTCTTTCTTTGCTTAGTTTTCTTCATTAGGAATTTCCATTATTCATAGGTTGAATTTTCTTTGCATATCTTCAATATCTGACTCTCTCAAATTCTTGTTATCTCTTCATTCATTGTAAAAATATTTCTCCCTGTTTACTCTCCATTTCATTTAAGGAATTGTATGTTGTATTTATTCATTCTTGATTTCCTTCTGGTTTCACCTTTATTTTTGAAGTAAAGTTTTTTTATTTTTAATTCCTTGTTGAGTTTAATCACACTTTTGTGTTTTTCTAACTCTGATCTTTTCATGTGTTTTATCTTTTTCTTAATGCCTTTAAGCCCGTTTTGAAAAAGTTTTGACCTGATCTATGGGCACGTCTTTCTAATGATTGCATTCTCTGTGGGAATGTTATTCTGTTCCTTATTCTTTTTCTCATTTTTTAAGTGGCATTTGGCCTTGATAATTTTTGGTTACTTATCTTTATGTGAAATATATTGTCCTGAACTTTTCAGGAGAAGGTGGGATTCATTATAGCTTTTCTAGCTTCATAGAGCTCCTTTGTGGGTTAGTTCTATGTAGTGTTCAAGACTATGGTAGTTTGCTTTTTGCAATTTCTAGATTCTGTTCCTCTCCTTCCTTTTATCTAGACTCTCTCTTTCCTGCATCTCTGTTGCCCCTATCCTCATCCGTGTTTATTCTACTCCTAGCAATTTGTCTAAATTTGAGGGTCTTGTCCTGGAAAGGAGTCCTAGTATGTCAATTTTGAGAGTCCATAGGGCCTTAACTGCTCTACCTCCTGTAGACATTCTTACCAAGGGCCCTTGTCCTCATTTCTTAATGGAGTGGGCAACCTCCTGCAGTTTCAGCTGATGTTCTCAAATTGATCCATACTGTTTTCAGGGGAGCACCTTGGCTAGTTTGGCATTTTCCTGTTCTCTGGTCCTTCAGATATGAATACCTCTTTCTGCTTTCTCCCACACAGAAACTATTACCACTCAGGTGTCAGGGTTTTGGTGACTTTTTCATCTCTGCTTGTACTTTTGTGTTCCAAGTGATACCTTATCAGGTAGTTTGCTGGAAAATATTGTCTATGAGGTTTCTATTTTGCTCTCTAATGATTCTTTTTTATGTGAGAATTTGAAGAGACTCAGAAATGATGTCACTGTGTGACTGTCATCTTCGCAGCTTTTTCCATTCTTTCGAACATTAATTTTCAAAGTGCTCTTTTAAAGAGTGAAAATGCTTTATATCTGTTTTTTTTTTAAATCCTACCAGCAAACTTTGTGCTGGTAGCAGATAATAAGGTAATTTTGCTTTTAGACACCTACTGATGTCTAGAGTTGACTATATGAAGTTAAATTTTCATCATCCTCTTTAACCCACTAAATGCGGAAAAGTGCAAGCTGTAAGTGGGACTTATATGATGGCTGGATACCAATTACAGGCCCATTGGGTCCATAATTTAAAAGACCCAAGTGATGCCTTCAAGTGGAGTCTATAGGGATTCAGTTATGTGGGTAAGTGGTGGTGATTGTGAGGATTGGGGGAAGGCATGTATTCTTACTGTGAATGTTTGAGCATTATGAGTATTCTCAATGAAATTGATTCTATCTATAAAATTTGAATAAAAATTTATTGAGGCCCTGGGAAAAGGGTTTCAACAGTTTTTGGGTTTTTAGCCGAGTTGTGTTCAGGGTTGTCTCTTAGGGAATATTCTCTCTCTTGGCAGGGAGAATTATCACTGGATTTACAGAAAAAGTGCCTCTTCAGACTTCCCTAGGTGTGTGGTGCAGTTTGCTGCTCTGTTTTTGCCCTTGGGTCTGTGTGATTACACTAACATATTGTATTCATCTCTGCTGCTTTTAAAATTTAAATGAGACATGACTTTATTCATTTATTGAGGGAAACATGCAGGGAGGTATTAAGAGGCAACTCATTTCCCTTACATTCCTTGTTTATTTTAAAAGGCATATTAAAAAGGCTTCGGTTACTAGAAGGTTGCCAAATGGCTGAGCAAAATTACAAAACCCCATGCAGAGTGCATTTGAAAATGTGAAAATCTGACTATGCAGACTTTTGGATTTTGCCCTTGCATTGATAATTCTCATTAGAAGACAAAACCAAAAACCTCACTGTGACATTAGCTAAACCATTTGATGTCTTTGGGCCCATTTTTCTTTATTAATTGATAAGATAGGTTTAGATATTTTCAAAGTTTCTTCTCTACCATTTGTAACTGCCAATGATCTTCTTAAAATCTACTAAAATGAAACAATTATACTATCATCACATTTCACACTAGGGCTTTAGCCCATGGGCCATTTTAAAGTATTCAAAACATTTGTAAGCTTTGGAGTATATATAGGGTTTGGGCAGTTGCAGAGAGATACATTCAGGTTTAAAATATTTGAATGACAAGATTTAGTCCTATTCATGTGTTTCTAAGAGGAACCTTATAAAGCTTGTGCTCATCTTTCACATCCTTAACTTTCTTCAAGATGTTCTTTGTTAAACAGAAATTTTTAATTTTGACAGTCAAGTTAATCAAATTTTTGCTTTATGGTTTGTGCTGTTGTTTTGTTTAAGAAGCTCGTCCCTTTGACAATGTCACAAAGGTATTCTCCTATGTTCTCTTCTATTATTTTATAGTTTTAATTTTCATACTCAAATATTTCATTTCAAGCTCCCATTGTTGCATAGTAGAAATCCAGTATTGCATTTCTTTGTATAATGAGCCAGTTTTCCCTGAGGCCATACAAAGAGCAGTTCTTCTTTCCTCCATTAATTTGTGGTGTTCTTTTAGATATAAAGTTTTCATACATTCATGAGGCTGTCCGTAGGGTTTCTATTTGGTTTCACTGGTCTATTTGCTCAATTTTCTGGCCAGTGTCTTACTGTATTTATTACTATGGGATTTATGGATCTTTTAAACCATAGCTAGGCTAAGTCCTCCCTCTTTGCTCTTCTTTTTCAAAGTTGAATAGCTATTTGTACATACTTTTCTTCCATATAAATTTCAAAATAATTTTATTAAGTTCCTAAAAAAATCCAGCTATGATTTCTGCAGAATTTGCATTGAATTTATAGATTAATTTTGGAAGAATTGGATTCTTCATAATATTAAATTGATTCAGCTCAGAACACAAAATCTCTCTCTATATATTCAGAACTTTTATGTTATTTAATATTGTTCAACAATGGCTACACTGAGATCTTGTGTATTTATTGTATACATTTTATTGCTATTATAAAAGGCATATTATTTTTATTATAATTTCTAGTTGGTTATTGCTGTAATAGGAAAATATTATGAATTTTTCTAAGTTGATCTTGAGTCAGCAAACTTGCTGAGGCTTCACTGTTAATCTAATGATATATCATTTAATTCTGTTAATTTTTTTCAATGTAGTTCATTTATTCTTTCTGCAAATGACACCATTTTATCTCTTACCTTGCAATCTATATGCTTTATTTTCTTTCCTTGCCTCAGGGCTTTGACCAAGATCTCTAGCACTCAAGATGGGCATTCTTATCTTCTTCCTGTTCTTGAAGAGTCTGTGCCTATTTCCCATTAAGCATACTATTTACTATATATATTCTTAGCTTATCATCTTGACAAAATTAGAAAGTTTTATTCTATTTTTAGTTTACTAAATCTTTTAAAAATCATAAATAGATGTTGAAAATTTGCTCAATTTTTTTGTAATACACTTTTGGATTTTGTTGGCTAATTTAATATTTATGGGTTATGTTCATACATATTAAAATCAGCTTACATATATTTTTGTTACATTGTCTTTAACTAATTTGGAAATCTAGATAACCTTAGCTTCATAAAACAAGTCAGAAGCTTTCACTCTTTCTCTACATTCTGGAATGACTTGTAGAAGTGATGAATTGTTCCTTGAAAGTTTGATGAAACTCACCTGCCAAACAATCTTGACTGGGTCTTTTTATGGCAAGGAAGACCTTTACTTGCCATTTCAATTTATTTATGCTTTTTTCACCTATAAATGTTTAACTTTTTTCCATAAATGTATCCTTTTAGTTTGGGTTTTCAAATTTCTCAATATGTAGATGTTTATAGCATGTTTTTATTGTTTTTAAAAGCCACCATTTTCAGTCTGTATTTTATTTGCAGAATAATTTCTTTATTATTGATTTATTTATTGATTTTTTTAAATTTAAATTTTAACTTTTGTGGGGACATGTAACCCATATATTGATGGGTTACAGGAGACATTTTGTTACAGGCATACAATGCGTAATAATCACATTAGGGCAAATGGGGTATCTACCCCCTCAAACATTTATCCCTTGCATTACAAACAATCCAATTATAATCTTTTAGTTATTTAAAAATGTACAATTAAATTATTTCTGACTATAGTCACCATGTGCTAGTAAGTGCTGGTCTTATTCATTCTAACTATGTTTTTGTACCCATTAAACATCCCCACTTCCCCTGCCCCGCCCATTCCCCCTACACTTCCCAGTCTCTGGTAACCATGCTTCTACTCTTTATCTCAATGAGTTCAATTGTTTTCATTTTTAGCTCCGACAAATCAGTGAGAACATGCAAGGTTTGTCTTTCTGTGCCTGGCTTATTTCAATTAATTATGATCTCCAGTTCCATCCATGTTGTTGCAAATGACAGAATCTCATTATTTTTTTATGGCTGAATGGTACTCCATTGTGTATAAGTACCATGTTCTATTTATCTATTCTTCTGTTGATGTACACATAGGTTGCTTCCAAATCCTGGCTATTGTAAACAGTGCTGCAACAAATATGAGAGTGCAGATATCTCTTCAGTATACTGATTTCCTTTCTTTTGGGTATATATCCAGGAGTGGGATTGTTGGATCATATGGTAGCTTTATTTTTAATTTTTTGAAGAGCCACCAAACTGTCCTCCATAGCGGTTATACTATTTCCATTCCCACTAATAGTATACCAGGGTTCCCTTTTCTCCACATCCTCACCAGCATTTGTTATTGCTAACTTTTGGATAAAAGTCATTTTAACTGGGGTGAAATGATATCTCATTGTAGTTTTGATTTGCATTTCTCTGATGATCAATGATGTTGAGCTCCCTTTCATATGCCTGCTTGCCATTTGTATGTCTTCTTTTGAGAAATGTCTATTTACATATTTTGCCCATGTTTGATGGGATTATCAGACTTTTACCTATAGAGTTGTTTGAGCTTCTTATGTATTCTGGTTATTAATCCCTAGTTAGATGGGTTATTTACAAATATTTTCTCCTATTCTGTGGGTTGTCTCTTTGTTGATTGTTTCCTTTGCTGTGCAGAAGCTTTTTAACTTGATGTGATCCCATTTGCCCATTTTTGCTTTGGTTACCTGTGCTTGTGGGGCATTGTTCAAGAAATCTTTGCCCAGACCAATGTTCTGGAAATTTTCCCCAATGTCTTCTTGTAGTAGTTTCATAGTTCAAATGTGAGATGTAAGCCTTTAATCTATTTTGATTTGATTTTTGTATATGGCAGAGATAGGGGGTCTCATTTCATCCTTTTGCATATGAATGATCCAGTTTCCCCAGTACCATTTATTGAAGAGACTGTCCTTTCCCCAGAGTATGTTCTTGGCAACTTTGTCAAAAATGAGTTCACTGTAGATGTATGGCTTTATCTCTGTGTTCTTTATTCTGTTCCACTGATCCATGTGTCTGTTTTTATGCCAGTACCATGCTGTTTTGATGACTATAGCTTTGTAGTATAATTTGAAGTCTGGTAATATGGTTGTCCCAGTTTCATTCTCTTTGGCTATTCTGGGTATTTTCTGGCTCCATAAACGTTTTAGAATTGTTTTTTCTATTTCTGTGAAGAATGTCATTGGTACTTTGATAAGGATTGCATTGAATCTGTAGATTGCTTTGGGTATTATGGACATTTTAACAATATTGATTCTTCTAATCCATGAACATAAAATATCTTTCCATATTTTTGTGACTTCTTCAATTTATTGCATCAATGTTTTATAATTTTCATTGTAGAGATCTTTCACTTCTTTGGTTAATTCCTAGATATTTAATTTTATTTGTAGCTATTATTGTAAATGAGGTTGCTTTCTTGATTTCTTTTTCAGATTGTTCACTGTTGGCATATTGAAATATCACTGGTTTTTGTATGTTGATTTTGTATCCTGCAATTTTACTGAATTTGTTTATCAGTTCTAATAGTTTTTTTGGTGTAGTCTTTAGGTTTTTCCAAACATAAGATCTTATCTTCTGAAAACAAGAATAATTTGACTTCCTCTTTTCTAATTTGGATGCCTTATATTTCTTTCTTTTTTCTGATTGTTCTAACTAGGACTTCCAGTACTATGTTGAATGACAGTGGTGAAAGTGGGCATCCTTGTTCCAGATCTTAGAGGAAAGGCTTTCTGTTTTTCCCCATTCTGTATGATACTAGCTATGAGTCTGTTACATAAGACTTTTATTAAGTTGAGATATGTTCCTTTTATATTCAGTTTTTTGATGGTTTTTGTTATGAAGGGATGTTGAATTTTATCAAATGCTTTTGCAGCATCAATTGAAATGACCTTATGGTTTTTGTCCTTCATTCTGTTGATATGATCTATGACATTAACTGATTTGCATGTGTTGAACTGTCCTTGCATCCCTGGGATAAATCCCACTTGGTTATGATAAATGATCTTTTGAATGTTTTGTTGAATTTGGTTTGCTAGTATTTTGTTGAGGACTTTTTGCATCAATATTAATCAGTGATGTTGGCTTATAGTTTCTTTTTTTATGTGTCTTTGTCAGATTTTGGTATCAGGTAATACTGGCCTTGGAGAATAAGTTAGGAAGTTTTCCTTCCTCTTTTATTTTTTGTAATAGTTTGAGTAGGATTGGTATTAATTCTTCTTTAAATGTTTGGTAGAATTCAGCAGTGAAGCCATCAGGTCCCAGGTTTTTCTTCGCTGGGAGACCTTCTATTATGGCTTTGACATAGTGTTAGTGCTGTATGTGTCAAGAAATTTATTCATTTATTCTAGATTTTTCCAATTTTTTGGCATATAGTTGCTCATAGAAGCCATTAATGATTCATTTAATTTGTGGAGGATCAGTTGTAATGCCTCATTTTTCATCCTGATTTTATATATTTGGGTCTTCTCTCTGTTTTTAGTTAGTCTGGCTAAAGGTTTGTCAATTTTATCTTTTCAGAAAATCAGCTTTTTTTGATATTTTGTATTGTTGTTCTATTTCAAATTCATTTATTTCTGCCTTGATCCTTATTTCTTTTCTCCTACTAATTCTGGGTTTGGTTTGCTCTTGCTTTTGTAGTTACTTAAGATGCATTGTCAGGTTGTTTATTTGAAGTTTTCCTTTTTTGATGCAGAAATTTATATAAACTTCCCTCTTAGTATTGCTTTTGCTGTATCCCATAGGTTTGGGTATTTTGTGTTTCCATCATCATTTATTTCCAGAAATTTTTGTTTACTTTTTAATTTCTTCATTTAACCACTGGTCTTTCAAGGGCATGTTGTTTAATTTCCATATATTTGTATAGTTTCCAAAATTCATCTTGTTATTGATTTGCAGTTTTATTCTAATGTGGCAGAAAAGATGCTTGATGTTATTTCAATTTGTTTGAATGTTTTAAGACTTGTTTTGTGACCTAATATATGGTATATCTTTGAGAGTGATCCATGTGCTGAAGAAAGGTATGCATTTTCTGTAGCCATTGGGTGAAATATTCTGTAAATATCTATCAGGTCCATTTGATCTATAGTGCAGATTAAGTCCGATGTTTCTTTGTTGATTTTTTGTCTGGAAGATCTGTCCAATGCTGAAAGTGGAGTGTTGAAGTCTCCAGCTATTTTTGTATTGTGGCGTAGCTCTCTCTTTGGCTCTAATAATATTTGCTTTATATATTTGGGTGCTCCAGTGTTGGGTGCATATATTAGGTTGGTGCTAAAGTAATTGTGGTTTCTGCCCATTAGAAGTAATTTCTGCCCATTACTTTTAATGGCAGAAATCAGAATTACTTTTGCACAACTGTATATTTATAATTGTTATATCATCTTGCTGAATTGACCCTTTATCATTATATAGTGACCTTCTTTGTCTCTCCTTATAGTTTTTGTCTTGAAATCTATTTTGTCTAAGTATAGCTACTCTTTCTCTCTTTTTGGTTTTATTTCGAATGGAATATCTTTTTCCATCCCTTTATTTCAGTCTATGTGTGTTTTTATAGGTGAAGTGTGTTTCTTGTAGTCAACAGATCATTCGGTATTGTTTTTTGTTTTTAATCCATTCAGCCACTGTACATCTTTTGATTGGGAGAGTTTAGTCCATTTACATTCGATGTTGTTATTGATAAGTACTGACTCTTGCCATTCTGTTATTTGTTTTCTGGTTGTTTTATAGTCTTCTCTTCCTTCTTTTCTTCTTTCCTGTTGTCTTTTCAGTGAAGGTAATTTTCTCTAGAGGTATGATTTAATTTCTTGTCTTTAATATTTTTGTATATCTGTTGTATGTTTTTCAATTTGAGGTTACCATGAGGCTTGCCAATAATGCCTCATAACCCATTATTTTTAACTGATAACAACTTAACATTGTTTGCATGAACAAACAAGCAAAAAATGAAACTAATACAAACTCTACACCTTGTCTCCCTGCTTTTTCACTTTTTATTGTTTCTATTTGTATCTTATTGTACTGTGTATGTCTTAAAAAGTTGTTGTAGTTATTATTTTTGATTAGTTCATCGTTTAGTCCTTTTATTTAAGAGCAGTTTATGCACCATGGTTACAGTGTTATAATATTTTGTGGGTTTTGTGTACTTAACGTTACCAGTGAATTTTGTATCTTTAAATGATTTATTATTGCTCATTAATGTCCTTTTCTTTCTCACTAAAATATTGCCTTTAGCATTCCTTGTAGGACAGATTTGATGTTGATTAAATCCCTCAGCTTTTATTTGTCTGGGAAAGTCTTTATTTCTCCTTCATATTTGATGGATATTTTTGCTGGATATATTATTCTAGGGTAAAAGTTTTTTCCTTCAGCACTTTAAATATGTCATGCCACTCTTTCCCGGCCTGTAAGGTTTCCACTGAAAAGTTTGCTGTCAGATGTATTGGACCTCCATTGTATGTTATTTGTTTCTTTTCTCTTGCTGCTTTTAGGATCCTTTCTTTATCTTTGACCTTTGGAAGTGTGATTATTAAATGCCTTGATACAATCTTCTTTGAGTTAAATCTACTTGGTGTTCAATAACATTCTTGTACTTGAATAGTGATATCTTTCTCTAGGTTTGAGAAGTTCTCTGTTATCTCTTTGAATAAACTTTCTACCCCTATCTCTTTCTCTACCTCCTCTTTAAGGCCAATAACTCTTAGATTTACCCTTTTGAAGTATTTTCTAGATCCTGTATATCTGCTTCATTTTTTTCTTTCTTTTTTTTTTTTTTTTTTTTGGTCTCCTCTGACTGTGTATTTTCCAATAATCTGTCTTCAACCTCACCAATTCTTTTTTTTTTTCTTGATCAGTTCTTTTATTAAGAGCCTGTAGGCCAGGTGCGGTGCCTCACACCTGTAATCCCAGCACTTTGTGAGGCCAAGGTGGGCGGATCGCTTGGGCCCAGGAGTGTGAGACCAGCCTGGCAACATGTCAAATACCCATCTCTACAAAAAATAAAAAAAAAATACTCAGGTATGGTGGACGTGCAGTCCCAGCTACTTGGGAGGCTGAGGTGGGAGAATCACTTGATCCTGGGAGGTCAGCACTGCAGTGAGCCATAGCTGTACCATTACATTTCAGCCTAGGTGATAAAGCAAGACCCCGTCTCAAAAAAAAAAAAAAAAAGAAAAGAGAGAGAGAGAGACTCAGATGCATTCTTCAGTCAGTGTCACTTGCATTTTTCAACTCCAGAATTTGTGCTTCATTCTTTTAAATTATTTCAATGTCTTTGCTAAGTTTATCTGATAGAATTCTGAATTCCATCTGTGCATTACCTTGAATTTCTTTGAGTTCTCAAAACAGTTAATTTGCATTCTCTATCTGAAAGCTCACATATCTCTGTTTCTCCAGGATTAGTCCCTGGAGCCTTATTTAGCTCCTTTAGTGAGGTCCTGTTTTCCTGGATTGTCTTGATGCTTGTAGATATTTGTCTGTGTCTCCGCATTGAAGAGTTAGGTATTTATTGTAGTCTTTGCAATCTGAGCTTGTTTGTACCCATCCAGGTATTTGAAAGGACTTGGGTGTTGTGATCTAAGCTGTATCTGCATTAGGGTGCACCCCAAGCCCAGTAATGCTGTAATTCTTGCAAACTCATAGAGGTACCACCTTGATGGTCTTGGATAAGATCTGGAAGAATTCTCTGGATTACCAGGCAGAAACTCTTATTCTCTTCCCTTACTTTCTCCCAAATAAACAGAGTCTCTATGTTCTGAGCCACCTGGTCCTGGGGTTGGAGTGATACAAGCACCCCTGTGACCACCACCACTGAGACTATGCTGAGTCAGACCTAAAGCCAGCACAGCGCTGGATCTCACCAAGGCCCACTGTAATCACTGCCTGACTACTGCCTAAGTTTGTTCAAGGCCCTGGGGCTCTACAATTAGCAGGTGGTGAAGCCAGCCAGGCTATGACCTTTCCTTTAGGGTGGTGAGATCCCCCAGGCCCCAGGCATGTCCAGGTACCTTTTGGGAGCCAGGCACTGGAGTAAAAGACCTTACAAATCTACTTGGTGTTCTATTGTGCTGTGGCTGAGATGGCACTCAAATAATGACATTCAGTCCTTCCTACTCTTCCCTCTCCTTTCCACAGGCAGAGATGCCTCACCCCATGGCTGCACCATCACAGGCCCATGAGGAGTATTGCCAGGCTCCCCGTGATGTTCCCTTAAGGCCCAAGTCCTCTTCAGTCAGCTGGTGGTGAATGCTGCCTGGTCTGTGACTCACCCTTCAGGGCAGTGGCCTCCTCTTTTGCCTAGGGCAGGTCCAGGAATGCCATACAAGAGCCAAGGCCTGGAACTGGGGACCCCAGGAGCCTGCTTGGCACTCCACCCCCCTGTGGCTGAGCCTGTGTCTAAGGTGCAATAAAAACTCCCCTTTTCTTTTCCCTCCACTTTTCTCAAGCAGGAAGAGTCTCTCCTCATATTCACCATAGCTGAGAATGTGCTGAGTCTCATCTGAAACCAGCAAGTCTCAGATGCTCATCCAAGACCCATGGCATACTACCTGGGTATTGCTGCTGGTTATTCAGGTCCCAAGGGCTCTTTAGTCAGCAGGTGATAGGTCCTGCCAGGACTGGATCCTTCCCTTCAAGGCAGCAGGTTCCCTTCCGGCCCAGAGTGTGTCTAGAAATGTTGTCCAGGAACTAGTGCCTGGAAAGGGGGCCTCCGAACTCTGACTGGTGCCCTATCCTCCTGTGGCTGAGCTGGTATCCAAGATGCAAGACAAAGCCCTCTTTATTCTTCCCTCTCCTCTCCTCAAGCAAAAGGGAGGGGTCTCTTTTGGAGCCATGGGCTGTGCTGCCTCGGGTTGGGGAAGGAGTGGTGCAAGCATTTCCTTATCCTCCTTGACTGTCACAGTAGGTCACATGCCCCCAGCTCTGAGCCTAGTTCAGCACTAGGACTTGCCTAGGAGTAGTAGTCCTTGTGACCTAGACTGACTTTCAAGTTTATTTACGGACCCAGAGCACTTTAGCCCATGGTAGTGAGGCTTGTCAGAACTCAAGATCTGACTGTTTGGATAGGTGTTTCCCTTCTGACTAGGTCTGATTTAGATACTCCCTCTGTGGGTGGGCATCAGCTGAGTTCAGCCTGGTTTTGCTTTCTGCTCTGACAGGGCAGCACTGAATTCAGTGCAATGTCTTATAATTGCTGTGCTCTCCCTCTCCCAACAGATTCTCTCTATGCACACTGCTGGGGAATGGGGGATAAATGGTGCTGGCAACTCAAGACTGTGTTTCCCACTGTCTTCAGTGCCACTTTCAGTGATATGAAGTTGAAACCAGGTGCTGTGATTGCTCACCTGATTTGTGGCTCTTGTAAGGTGCTTTTTATTGTGTGTGTGTGTGTAGATAGTTATTAAATTAGTATCCTTGTGGGGGTGGGGGGACAACAGGTGGAGCCTTCTATTCAGCCATCTTGCTGCACTGACGAAGTTCCAGATTCATTTCTTGATCAGTCTTACCAAAAGACTATCTATCTTAATATTTTCAAAGACAGGTTTTGGTTTTCTTCATCCTGTTTTGTAAGTCTGCCTTTACTATTTGCTTCCTTCTTGTTTATTGAGTTTGTTTTGCGGCTGTTTATCCACCTTCTTGTGTTGAAGTTTTTGTTAGTTTTCAACCTTTCTGATAGTCTGATAATTATATTTAAACATAAACATCCTTCTAGGTGTGGCTTTAGATGTGTCCCACTAACTGTCAACATGTGGGGCTGTACATTCAGTGGATGTGCATGTTTCTCCCAGCACTTCTGCTGTTGTTTGAGGCTGTACTAAGAACATCTATGTTTCTTATGAATATGTTTCCACTCTGTTGTTCTTTTTATGGGTAGATAATATTCTATGATATTTCTTTTGGTATTTTCAGCTAAAATGTTTTGCTTGTTTTTTTCTTTGCTTTTGTTTAGTTTGGTTGTTGTTAGATAATAAAATTCCCATCTCAGCATTCTCTTCATTTTATATTTACTCGGTATATCTTTCCCAGCCTTTGATTTTTGACAGTTTTCACTTTTTTTTTGTTTTAGGTATATATACCTTTTATAGAAATCATCCTGTTGACACAGTATATGCGTGCGTGTGTGTGTGTGTGTGTGTGTGTGTGTGTGTGTTAAATGTGAGAGCCCTTGTCTTTTCGTTTATGTTCTTATCTACACACATATAAACTGGGTTGGTATTCTTTAGAATTTTAACTGTTGGTTGTGGACAAATTTCCCTCCTTTATTTCTTTTTTCCCTTTATTTTTACATAATTATGTTATCTGATCACCCATACTTTCCACATCTCTTGCAACATCTCTCTAGATTTAATTTTTTGTTCTTAAATAAAATTTTAGGTTCATGTGTTTTTATCTTTAATATGGAAAAATTATTAATCTGTTATATTTTTGCACCCAGTAAGGTTGTTGAACAATTTGAAGTAAATCTGGCTTATATTCATTTGACACTGAACAATTATTTTTCTCTGAAAGCTCATGGAATTTTGTCTTTGTTTTTGACATCCCTCTGATTTTAGAATTTTCTACTCGCATTAGCTCTTCAGAATTTTTACTATGATATTCCTAGGTCTTAATTTCTCAATATTATCATGCTTGAGACCTTTCATAAGTTTTGAAAAATCATCAATCAATATAATTTCGGGTATTTTTTTCATTCTATTTTTTCTCTTTAGGGACTCCAGTTTGTATATTTTAGAGCTTTTCACCATTTCTCAAATGTTTTTAACCTTTTAAAAGATATTGTCAAATCTTAAGTCTCTCCTTCTTTCAGCCTGGATAATTGCTCCTAATTTATCTTCCAGTAACTTGTTTTATCTTCTCTATAATATACTGTTAAGCCCATCCATTTAATTTTAAATTTTTGGTATTGCATTTTTTACTACTAGAATTTACACTTAAAATATTTTCAAGTTCCCTGCTGAAATTCTCAGTATTATCATTCAATACATTGAAATATTATAGTTTTTTAAGTTCATGTCTGGCAATTTCATAATCTGCATTTCCTGTGGGTCTATTTCTAATATATTTTATGTCTTGTTTTTTATTCTTAGTCTTCTCATAAACCTGGCTATTTTTGATCAACAGTTAGTCATTTTATTTGAAAAATTATAAGATAATTTATGGCTCTGGGTAATGTTATTTTGTTCCAGAGGGAATTTACGTTTGCTTCTGCCAGGCAGCTGGATCTGAGATTGAGATTATTCAAAATTGGGCTTTTATATTTATGAGGGTTGATTTATTTCTGGTGTTAATCTTTACTCAGAGTATAGCCTTCTGTTGTCACAACTGAAAAACTCTGCTGTTTATCAGAATCCTCCTTTTTTGGCAACCCTTAAACTCCAATTTTTGTCTCCCTAACACCCAAGGGTCTTTGAAAATCTCTGCTTAACTTCTCAGCCTTTCAGCCAGTACTGTTTGAATTGAAAATTGGCCTGAGTAGAAATGAAGCCCCAAATGCTGCCAGGCTCATTTCTCTGAATTTTTCTTCTCTCTTGACTCTTGGACTTTTTATTCTTCATTTCCTTGGTAGCTCTCTGATGACTTCAGGAAGATATTTAAATACTTGCTCAGTATTCTAGTTGTCCTCAGTGGGAGTGTGGGCTCAAAATGACTTAGTCTATCATTGCTAGAAACAGAATTTCACAAACCACTTTTGTTTAACCCCTTATGCTGCTTCTCCACCAGGCAACTCCTTTTGCTAGAAATTCAAGAGATTTTTAGGGCCTGGGGGTGGAGAAGTGACTGTCAAGGGTAGTGGAGTCACCTGTACCTGTTTCAGCTTTTAAAAACTTTTTAATTTGAAATAATTTCAGATTTACAGAGAAGTTGAAAAGACAGTACAAATGATTCTCATACACCCTTCACTTTCACCCAGCTTCCCGTAATGTTATCATCTTACATAATCATGGTACATTTGTTGAATCTAAAAAATTAACATTGGTTTAACACTAGTAAATAAACCACAGACTTGATTATTATTTCACCGGTTTATTCACTATTGTCTTTTTTCTCTGTTCTGCTATTTATTCCAAGATGCCACATTGCATTTATTTGTCATATCCTCTCCTTTGTAAGAGTTTAGCAGAATTTCCTTGTTTTTCATGAGTTTGACAGTTCTGAAGAGTAGTGGTCAGATATTTAGTAGTGTGCTCCTCAATTTGTATTTGTCTGTTTTCTCAGAATTGGAATGGGGTTTTGGGATTTTGGAATATGTACCACAAAGAGAAATGTCTCTTCTCAGTCTGTTATATCAGGGATACACGATATCATTGTGACTTATTACTGGTGATGTTAACCTTGAACACTTGGTTAAGAATGTGTCTGCCAGGTTTCTCCATGTAGAGTTGCTATTTTTCTCTTTTCCATCCTGCACCTGTTTTCATTAGCTGTTCACTGCAAAAGGACTTCTTTGCTGTCTGGATATCACCCTCACATATCCTTAGCAGCCTGGATTTCTTTAGTAGGGGGACAGGCAATGATAGCCTCAAGGTAATGTGAAGAAAAAAAATAATAGGAGAATGTGAAAGCTGTCTCTCAAACAACTTTTTGTTTTTAAATTTTAACTTCTTATTTTGAAATATGTATAGACTCATAAGAAGTTCTGAAAACAGTAAAGAAAAGTCCTGTGTACACTTTCCATCCTCCAATGGTGACAACTTGCACAACTAGAGTACATTATCAAAGCAGGAAACTGACATTGGCACAATATCATCTCAGGCTGGTTTTTATATGCACTTATCTAAAGAAAACTTTAAATGTTAAATCGGCAAATTCTAGGAAATACTTGATTTAAGTTTATGCTTTAGTTTTTGGGATATCCATGATTTAATTAAGTGATAAGAGAGGATTGATAAAGCCATATCATATTTCTATAGAAATAAGGTGTATTAATTTCCTGTTGCTACCATAGCAAATTACCACAAACTTGGTGGCTTAAGACAAGAGAAATGTATTCAACCTACTTTTCATTGCTTCAGCTGCTGCCTTCCACCCCAAGAAGTTGCCTTCTCACTTCCCACTTCTTTATGACAGACTTGTCCTGGGCCCCTTAGGGCATCTTAAGTTTTTCCTAATTTTACTTCTTCAGTCTATGGTTTCTTCTTACTTTTGTAGGAGGCGGTTTGTCAACTTGTCAGAAACCAGAAGCGACCCTTCTGTACTTCTCACAACCCTGTGGGATTCCACAATAGTAATGACCCAATTTTATAGCCAAAGAGACTGAGGCTTAGAGAGGCTACAGAATCTGCTCAGTGTCACAGAGCCACTTCTTGCAGAATTGAAATTCATGCCTAAAGCCCTGGATTTTAATCTTTGTGTTACATACTCCCTGCCAATCAGATCCTAGCACATACTCAAAACTGTGCCCTCTCCTTTCACACAGAGCCATTTGACTTGGGTGAAAATTGAGTGCCCAGCTCAGCTTTGTTTCCTTGGGATGATTATTTTATAGGCGACCGTGTCCTCTTATGTGAGGAGTCCTGACAAGCCAACTCAAAGCCCTCCAGACACTGTACTTCATCTAAATCTGCTGGATCTTCATGACTGGGGCTCTCAAACTAGAACCCCTGAAACACTTGTTTAAACTGACACTTCATCTCTACTGCTTCAAGTGCCTCTCTTGAGCAGTGTGCCAAAGTCCTCTTCTGATAAGTAGTTGTCTCACAGTAGTTCAAGATAATCCAATATGACATTTATCCTGCAAATACTTATAGAATGCTTATTGGAGAAGAACCATGTTAGGTGCTGGCTGAGGGGGAATGAAATTTGAGGAGTACTAAAAATGACCAAGACACAACCCCGAACTACATGGAGTTTAAACAAATTGGCATTGCAATGAAAAAGTATATATCTCTATCTCTATTTCTATCTCTATCTCCAGCTCCATCTTCATATCCATCTCTATCTCTATTTCTATCTCTATCCACACACATACCCATATATAACTGGATGCAAGTTTTTCCCTTTACTTTGGAAGTCAGAGAAATATTTTCTGCACTGAATATAGAAGAAAAGGACCCACAAATGTAATTCTGTGGTCAAACCACATGCCATGTCAGCCCTAGAGAAGTCTTGTGGGTTGGAAAGCCATGGAGTTTTATTTCTTTAAAAACTTACTACTTTTTCCTACCTGTATACTTGGTGGCAGATTTTGTTTCACTTTCTTTGTTTCTTTGCTGATTAAAATTTCCTCTCAGAAACGTGTTTAATTTTTACTGTCGCATATGTCATCTCTATGCAAAATCATCTTGTTGATTCATTCTGATATTGTATGGAAGAAAACCTGGTGGCTTCTTTTTGGTTTCCAGAGCATAATTAAGAGGAAGTTCCTCTGAATCTTTTCAATAAGAGAATATAAATTTGCTTCCAAAAATGGGCTTCAAAAGACACATATCTCTTTTTAATTATCTTTATAGTGGGTCTACCAGGTGCACACATTTTAATTTAGGCTTTTTAACATCTAATGAAAAATACCTATTTTCTTCCTCAGCTTGGTAGAACCAATGCCAGGGGCAATGTAGAAATAGACTGTGTCTTTGTGACATTTACTGGTAATTTTTTTTTTTTTTTTTTACCATAATGACTATTCTACTGTATCAGATTCTAACAAGGGATGAAATGTTGTAGAGAAATGTTTTCTCCTTCTTTTAATATTCTTACCAATTCACTTGCCTTCTGCTCTGCAAATATGTTGCTATTTTTAAAAATTGGAATTCATAATCATATGATTTGGAAAGTCCTTGAATCCTGGTGAACTGAAGCTCTATTTTAGTAGTTTCTACATTTTTATCCCAAGAAACTGGCAGGTTTAAAGATGTGTTATGTGGTATTTCTTGAAAAATTTTCAAAGATACATATTTTAAAAAATTCCTTCTTGGATTAATTAGGAATTTCTCTAGGGATAGTTAGAAAGCAGATCAGTGAGCAGGAGAAGTGGTTGTTGATCAGTGATAGAACAGTGGTACTAGAATATGGATTTTGTGGGTATTTAATGTATATATGTATGTATATTATAGATATACAAATAAATATAAAATTTAGTATCAAAAGTTAGGAAATTCACATAAATGGATTTTAAAAATATGTTCATCCTACTTCTATGTCAAATTACCCATACAAGTAAAATTCGAATATCAGACTTTATGTAGTAAGTTATATTCTGGAGTCAGAACAGTTATGGTTCATTACCCGAGAATTACAATAGCTATACATTCTGGTAATTGAGGTAAGCTTTAATGTTAGTTTTATTTTAAGGTAACTGAAGGCAAATCACTATTTTAAAGCTACAGGATCACATCAGAAAATATGTATAAAACCATTTTCCCAGATAAACTAGATCAATCCAACACACTGTTAATTAAATGGGATGGCTACATTGAGGTATCCATTTTTTAAATGGTTTCACCTCCTTGTTGATATATATCATAAACATGGAAAACAGAAATAGTGTGGTAAAGTGAAAAGTACACCAGATTAAAAGTCAGGATACCTTGATCCTAACCCTGAGTCAGTCACCAACAATAATGAAAAAATATACATGTGTATCTTTTTACTATTATAAAAGCACTTCTACACATATTGTGTCATTTGATATCAATTCAACATCTTGGGAAACATGTATTGTTACTGTTACTTCTTTTTTTTTTTTTTTGAGACAGAGTCTCGCTCCGTTGCCCAGGCTGGAGTGTAGTGGCATAATCTCGGCTCACTGCAACCTCCGCCTCCCAGGTTCAAGCAACTCTCTGCCTCAGCCTGCTGAGTAGCTGGGATTACAGGCACGTGCCACCACACCCAGCTAATTTTTTGTATTTTTAGTAGAGATGGGGTTTCACCATGTTGGCCAGGCTGGTCTTGAACTCTTGACCTCGTGATCCTCCCGCCTCGGCCTCCCAAAGTGCTGGGATTACAGGCATGAGCCACCGCACCCGGCACTTCTTTCTTTCTAAAATATTCTGGCTATGCTTATGAGGATATCAAAGCTCAAGAAACTAAGATTCTTGCCCAAAGTAATTTAGTACCTGGAAATGTTTGACACTTGAATCCATACCTCTGAGTTTTGGAATTCTCATCTTTAAAATGAAAACTGGGTGCTCTCTAAGGCCCATTCAATTGAAAAAAAGCTATGCAGAACTTATGTTTTCTGCATGGAAACAGTATGTTAGCAACCCAAACTTGCAGGACATAACCAGAAAACACATTTTTTTTTTTTTTCTCTCAGTTGCTTTACAACTTATTCAATGGGGGAAATGCCACCTATGATCCTGGACAAAAACTCAGGCAGTCTCGTGATGTTTCTGTTCACTGTTAGAGAAAGAAAAGCCCAGTGGTCCTTTTAAGTTCCCAATTTGGAATTTAGAGTGTCAGGGCTTTGTTATATTAAGCAGCTCTAACTGGATTTATAAGTTAAAACCTTTCTTTTCCCTAACTGAGGCCTTCTTCGTGAGGGAAGCAAAGAAAGCATGGCATACTTCCCTCCCTCCTCCACTATCCACAGTTCTGACAAGACCTTGGTCTAAAGAGTGGAGGGAAGTCGAGAGGTAAGAGAACAGGAACATTCTTACTTGTCTGGCACTGTGTCATGAGCTGCCTATGACGTCTCTGGGCCTGCATCCTTCTGGGGCCCTCACTGGGAATATTTGATGGTACTTCTTGTGATATGGAGTGGGCATGTCTCTAACTGGCTGTTCCTTCTCAGCAGCTGGCCCTTCAGTGGTCCACTTTACACAGACTCCCTTTGTCGAGGTCCCAGCTTCCTTTCAGTCTGACCTATCAGTGGGATTTAAAATGGTACCAGGTCCATGGGAAGCACTCATCCATTTTCTGCTTCAGTAAGCCAGTCCCAGCACAGTCACCTGTTCTTTGCTTCCACCTCCAGAGCCCATCTCTGCTTTTAAGTTTTTCATGTGGGAGTCAGAGACTTGGCCATTGTGTTCCTCTGGTTCTCAGGAACATATCAAGCCTTTTTTTTTTTTTTTTTTTTTTTTTTTGCTAAAGATGAAAGACAGGCATCCTACACACTCTTTCCTTGGAATGATAGGACTCATTGCCAGCTCTGTCCAAAGAAATTCTCCTCACACATAATCTCTAAATCGCATCTCCAATAAAGACAGTCATTTAACTATTTCTCAGGCATGAATTTGGACATTTTTGTTCTCTTCGGAATGCAGTATTTGTTATTTCCATATAGCAGCCAAAAGCCACAATGGAGACAGAAAGTGTTCCATTATTAATATCCTGTAACATATAGAGAGGCTGGTGAAAATTTATATCTAAACACAGCTAGTCCACATTGACTGTAATACAGCCAATCTAATTATTTTGGTCACTATGCTAATAAAGAAACCAAATGAATGATAGGTTTTCTAATCTGTTGACCAAGTTGGTTGTGTCACAATTTTGTTAGTGGATAAAAATTTTTAATTTTCTTCTGTTGTCAAAAAAAGGATGGACAAAAAGGTGAAGAACTGTTTAAACTTAACGTGGTGATTAATCATAAAAAATATGAAATGCCTTCTAATAGTCATTTGCTTAACAAATAATTGTTGAGTGCCTATTTGTGTCAGGCATTGTGGAGTCATGAAAGTTTCAACAGTAAACAAAATATACAAAACTCCTTGCATTCATGTAACTTAGATTTTACATGATACCTTTATGGCTTATTGAAGGTCAAGTGTGTCAACAAACATGAAAATGAAATGCTTCAAGAAAACTATCCACAATGAATGTACACAGCGATATTCACTGAATAACATTTGCTATTTTGACTATTCACTAGCAACTCATATTGTCCAAGGAATTTTGAATTTTCTAGGGCAAAATTGGAATAATATATAATAGGCCGGAGTGTGGGGATGAACTATATGCCTGTTTGAAATACCATTATAGGAAGAATCAATATCATTAAAATGGCCATACTGCCGAAAGCCATTTATAGATTCAATGCTATTCCTATTAAACTACCAATGACATTCTTCACAGAACTAGAAAAAGCTGTTTAAAAATTCATATGAAACCAAAAAAGAGCCTGAATAGCTAAGGCGATCCTAAGCAAAAAGAACAAAGCTGGAGGCATCATACTACCCAACTTCAAATTATACTACAGGGCTACAGTAACCAAAACAGCATGGTACTGGTACAAAAACAGATATGTAGACCAATGGAACAGAATAGAGAGCTCAGAAATAAGGCTGCACACCTACAACTATGTGATATTCAATAAACCAGACAAAAACAAGCAATGGGGAAAGGACTCCCTATTTAATAAATGGTGCTGGGGTAGCTGGCTAGCCATATGCAGAAAATTGAAACTGGTCTCCTTCCTTATGCCATATACAAATGTTAACTCAAGATGGATTAAAGGCTTAAATGTAAAACTCAACACTATAAAAATTGTGGAAGACAACCTAGGCAATACTATTATGGACATAGGAATGGGCAAAAATTTCATGATGACACCAAAAGCAATTGAAACAAAAGCAAAAGTTGGCAAATGGGATCTAATTAAACTAAAGAGCTCCTGCACAGCAAAAGAAACTATCAACAGAGTAAACAGACAACCTACAGAATGAGAGAAAATTTTTGCAAACTATGCATCTGACAAAGGTCTAATATCAAGCATCTATAAGGAATTAAAACAAATTTACAAGAAAAAAAAAACCCCTTAAAAAGTGGGCAAAGGACATGAACAACGCACTTTTCAAAAGAAGACATACATACAGTGAACAATCACATGAAAAAGCTCAAAATCACTGATTATTAGCTCAATGCAAATCAAAACCACAATGAGATGCCATCTCACCAGTCAGAGTGGCTATTAATAAAAAGTTAAAAAAAAAAAAAACAACAGATGCTGGTGAGGTTGTGGAGAAAAAGGAATGCTTTTACATTGTTGGTGGGGGTGTAAATTAGTTGAACCATTGTGGAAGGCAGTGTGGCGATTCCTCAAAGATCTAGAGGCAGAAATACCATTTGACCCAGAAATTCCATTATTGGGTATATACCCAAAGGAATATAAATCATTCTACTAAATGTATCTAAAGACACATGCACGCATATGTTCATTGCAGCTCTATTCACAATAGCAAAGATATGGAATCAACCTAAATGCCCATCAATGATAGACTGGATAAAGAAAATGTGGTACATATTCACCATGGAATACTACGTAGCCATAAAAAGGAATGACATATGTTCTTTGCAGGGACATGGATGGAGTTGGAGGCCATTGTCCTTAGCAAATTAACGCAGGAACAGAAAACCAAATACCTCATGTTCTCACTTATAAGTGGGAGCTAAATGATAAAAACACATGGACACATGAGGGGGAACAACACACACTGGGGCCCATTAGAGGGCAGGAGCTGGGAGGAGGGAGAGGATCAGGAAGAATAACTAATGGGTACTAGGCTTAATACCTGGGTGACAAAATAATCTCTACAGCAAACCCCCATGATGCAAATTTACCTGTATAACAGACCAGCACATGTACCCCTGAACTTATAATAAAAGTTAAAAAAAGACTGTTGTTTAACTTCCTTAACTTAATGAGAACTTGTGGTTTCCTACTCCTAATTATACACTTATTTTGGGGAAGAGGAGAGTATATAAAATGAAAACCATTAAATCAAGTATAACCAAGAATTATCACTTTAGATATTATCATAATCTGGAATGAGTTGTCCTTTTCGGAAACACTTACTGCAACTCAAACAAGGCTGAATGGGGAAATACTGAATGGGGAAAGATAAACTACTGGGATCAAGGGATGTATACTCTATGAGTACATGACAGCAAATTTGAGACTATTGTGAATTTGAGACTTTGTTTTCCTACTTGGTAAAATAATTTAAAGTACAGGAGACTCTTGATATTCATGAAGGATGTGTCTGGAGACCCTCTCACTTCCCTAATACATGACTACCTCTTAAGCATGGAATTTCTGTGTGTGGCTATTATGTGCAAGGTTTTGTGCTGGATATTATGTGGGGTATCAGGATGAGAAAGGTAATTTCTCTGTTGCCTTGAACTTGGGGCTAGTAGAGAGGGACATGCAAATATGTTACATATTGAAGAAGTGATTAATATGTGATGGTTATTATTATTGAGACACAGTCTCACTCTGTTGCCCAGGCTGGGATGCAGTGGCGTGATCGTGGCTCACTGCAACCTCCACCTCCAGATTTCAAGTGATTCTCGTGCCTCAGCCACCAGAGTAGCTGGGATTACAGGCGCATGCCATGATGCTCAGCTAATTTTTGTGCTTTTTGTAGAGACGGAGTTTCGCCATGTTGGTCAGGCTGGTCTCAAACTCCTGGCCTCAAATGATCTGCCTGCCTTGGCCTCCCAAAGTGATGGGATTACAGGTGTGAGCCACTGTGCCTGGCCTGGGATTTAATTTAATAATCAGAAATTCAGGTATAATACATGCATATATGTTCTTATTTTTGATTTTTTGATTTTTTCTTTTTTTTTTAATTGAGGCATGACTTATGTACAGTGGCATACACAATTCTTAAGTAGACAGCTCAGTGAATTTTTACATGTATGGATACCCATGAACTTACCCCTCAGATCAAGAATATTTCCAGCATCCCAGAAGATTCCTTCCTGCCCCTTCCTAGTACTACTCTTCCCCTGCCAAGTAACCATTATTTTAACTTCTATCACCATAAACTAGTTTGCCTGCGCTAGAACTTGATGCAAATGGAATCATACATTTTTATGTATGATTACTCACCATTATTCATTTATGTTGTTGGGGGTAGAAGAAGTTTGTTCTTTTCCATTTCTGTGCAGTATTCCATTGCATGACATTTGGGTACTTTCAATTTTTGGCTGTTATGACTAGCACTGCCATGAATATTCTTGAACATATCTTTTGATAGACATAAGCACTCATTTCTGTTATCTATATACCTAGGAATAAAATTGCTGGGTTGTAAGCAAATATATGCATAGTGGATACTGCCAGTTTTTTTCAAAAAAACTGAACCAAGATACACTCCTGCCAGCCATATAGGATAGTTCTAATTGTCCTACATCCTCTTTAATCCTTAGTAATGTTGGTAGCAGTGCTGTTCCTTGTAGACATTATAGTAACTGTGAGGTGGTATCTCATTGAGGTTACACTTTGAATTCCCCTGATGGCTGGTGATGTTGAGCATGTTGCATATACTTCTTGATTATTTGATTGTCTTCTTTTACCAAATTTAAAGATTTTATCAAATCTTTTGCCCATTAAAATAATTTCCTCTGTTTTATGGATTTATATTTCTTTATAAATTTTGGACATAACTTCTTTCTCGGATGTGTGTATTGTGAGTGTTTTCTCCCAGTCTGTGACTTGCCTTTTCACACTCTATATGTTGGTTTTTTGATGAACAGAAATTCTTAACTTTTTAAAAGTCTAATTTATCAATCTTTTCTTTTATAGTTAATGCTTCTGATGTCCTGCTTAAGAAGTCTTTGCTTACCCTAAAGTTATGAAGATATTCTGCTCTATTTTCTTCCAAAAGATTTGATTTCTCTTTCATATGTAAGTCCTTATTCTGTCTCAGATTAAAATGTGTATGGTATGAGGTTAGATATAATCTCTTTTTACCTTTAGCACATTTTCTGTTTTCACTTGTTTTGTGATTCTCTTCTAATATAACACAAAAAGGAAATTTTACCTTCAGTCACATTATTGTTAAGACAGGGAAATATGGATGCAAAAGGACAAACATGTTTAGGCACATCTATACCTCTGCTGAAGCCATTTTGCAGCCAAATCTAGGCACAGATACACCTAGACAATTCACTTATTATTAAATTCCAGGATACATGTGCAGAATGTGCAGGTTTGCTACATAGGTAAACGTGTGCCATGGTGGTTTGCTGCACCTATCAATCCATCACCTGGGTGTTAAGCCCCTCATGCATTAGCTATTTATCCTGATGTTCTCCCTCCCCGTGTTCTCTTGACAGGCCCCAGTGTGTGTTGTTCCTCTCCCTGTGTCCGTGTGGTCCCACTGTTCAGCTCCTACTTATAAGTTAGAACATGCAGTGTTTGGTTTTCTGTTCCTGTGTTAGTTTGCTGAGGATAATGGCTTCTAGCTCCATCCATGTCCCTGCAAAGGAAGTGATCTCATTCCTTTTTATGGCTGCGTAGTATTCCATGGTGTATATGTACAATATTTATTTATCCAGTCTATCACTGATGGGCATTTAGGTTGATTCCATGTCTTTGCTATTGAATGAATACATGAATATATGCACGCATGTATCTTTATAATAGAATGATTTATATTCCTTTGAATGTAAATCAGTAATGGGATTGCTGGGTCAAATGGTACTTTTGGTTCTAGGTCTTTGAGGAATCACCACACTGTCTTTCAGAGTGATTGAACTAATTTACACTCCCACCAACAGTGTAAAAGTGTTCCTATTTCTCCATAGCCTTGCCAGCATCTGTTGTTTCTTGACTATTCAATAATGGCCACTCTGACTGATATGAGATGGTATCTTATTGTGGTTTTGATTTGCATTTCTCTAATGATCAGTGATGTTGATCTTTTTTCATATGTTTGTTGACTGCATAAATGTCTTCTTTTGAGAAGTGTCTGTTCATGTCCTTTGCCCACTTTTTAATGGAGTTGTTTTTTTCTTGTAAATTTAAGTTCCTTATAGATTCTGGATATTAGCCCTTTGTCAGATGGATAGATTGCAAAAAATTTCTCCCATTCTGTAGGTTGTCTGTTCACTCTGATGATAGCTTCTTTTGCTGTGGAGAAGCTCTGTAGTTTAATTAGATCCCGTTTGTCAACTTTTGCTTTTGTTGCAATTGCTTTTGACATTTTCATCATGAAATCTTTGCCTGTGCCTATGTCCTGAATGGTATTGCCTAGATTTTCTTCTAGGGTTTTTATAGTTTTAGGTTTTACATTTAAGTCTTTAATCCATCTTGAATTAATTTTTGTATAAGGTGTAAGGAAGGGGTGCAGCTTCAATTTTCTGCATATAGCTAGCCAGTTCTCCCAGCACTATTTATTAAATAGGGAATCCTTTCCCCATTGCTTTTGTCAGGTTTGTTGAAGATCAAATGTGTAGATGTGTGGTCTTATTTCTGGGTTCTCTATTCTGTTCCATTGGTCTATATGTCTGTTTTGGTACCAGTACCATGCTGTTTTGGTTACTGTGGCCTTGTAGTATAGTTTGAAGTCAAGTAGCATGATGCCTCCAGCTTTGTCCTTTTTGCTTAGGATTACTTTGGCTACTTGGGCTCTTTTTTGGTTCCATATGAACTTTAGTTTTTTTTCTAATTCTGTGAAGAATGTCAATAGTAGTTTAATGGGAATAGCATTGAATCTATAAATTACTTGGGGCAGTATGGCCATTTTCACGATATTGATTCTTCCTATTCATGAGCATGGAATGTTTATCCATTTGTTTGTGTTCTCTCTGATTTCCTTGAGCAGTGGTTTGTAGCTCTCCTTGAAGAGGTCCTTCGCTTTTCTTGTTAGCTGTATTCCTAAGGTATTTTATTATCTTGGTAGCAATTGTGAATGAAAGTTAATTCAGGATTTGGCTCTCTGCTTGTCTATTGTTGGTGTATAGGAATGCTAGCAATTTTTGCACATTGATTTTGTATCCCGAGACTTTGATGAAGTTGTTTATCAGCTTAAGAAGCTTTTGGGCTGAGGCGATGGGGTTTTCTAGATATAGGAGCGTGTCATATGCAGAGATAGTTTATTTCTTCTCTTCCTATTTGAATACCCTTTATTTCTCTCCCTTGTCTGATTTTTCTGGCCAGAACTTCCAATACTTTGTTGACTAGAAATGGTGAGAGAGGGCATCCTTGTCTGGTGCTGATTTTCAAGGGGAATGTTTCCAGCTTTTGGCCTTCAGTATGATATTGGCTGTGGGTTTGTCATAAATGACTGTTATTATTTTGAGGTATGTTCCATCAATGCCTGGTTTATTGAGAGTTTTTAACATGAAGGGATGTTGAATTTTATTGAATGCCTTTTCTATGTCTATTGAGATAATCATGTGCTTTTTGTCTTTAGTTCTGTTTATGTGATGAATCATGTTTATTGATTCGCATATGTTGAACCAGCCTTGCACCCAGGGATGAAGCTGACTTGATCATGGTGGATAAGCTTTTTCATGTGCTAATGGATTTGGTTTGCCAGTATTTTGTTGAGGATTTTTGCATCGATGTTCATCATGGATATTGGCCTGAAGTGGGTTTTGTTGTTGTTGTTGTTGTAGTATCTCTGCCAGGTTTTGGTTTCAGGATGATGCTGGCCTCATAAAATGAGTTAGGGAGGAGTCCCTCCTTTTCAATTGTTTAGAATAGTTTCAGAAGAAATGGTATCAGCTCCTCTTTGTATTTCTGGTATAAATCAGCTGTAAATCCTTCTGTTCCTGGGCTTTTTTTGGTTGGTAGGGTATTTATTACTATCTCAATTTCAGAACTTGTTATTGATCTATTCAAGGATTTGACTTCTTTCTGGTTCAGTCTTGGGAAGGTGTGTGTGTCCAGGAATGTATCCATTTCTTCTATATTTTCTAGTTTATTTGCATAGAGGTGTTTATATTATTTTCTCATGGTTGGTTGTTTTATGTGGGGTCAGTGGTGACATCCCCTTTATCTTTTTTATTGTATCTGTTTGATTCTTCTCTCTTTTCTTCTTTATTAGTCTAGCTAGTGGTCTATATATTTTATTATTATTATTTTTTTAAAAACCAGCTCCTGGACTCATTGGTTTTTTTGAAGGGTTTTTGTTGCATTTCTATTTCCTTCAGTTCAGCTCTGGTCTTGGTTATTTCTTGTCTTTCTGCTAGTTTTGGGGTTTGTTTGCTCTTAGTTCTCTAGTTCTTTTAGTTGTGATGTTAGGTTGTTAACTTGAGATCTTTCTAGCTTTTTGATGTGCGCATTTAGTGTTGTAAATTTCCCTCTTAACCCATTTATGCCTAGTGTTCCATTATTGGAATGTTAAGCTTGTGGGCGTTATTTATATCCTACTGCTCAAGGCCATCATCAAGGTCTGGATTTTCACACACAAAAAATGGGCAACCTCTGGCATAAATGGGTTAACACTGCTTTAGCTGAGTCCCAGAGATTCTGGTGTGTTATATCTTTGTTCTCTTTAGTTGCAAATAACTTCTTGATTTCTGCCTTAATTTCATTATTTACCCAGAAGTCATTCAGGAATGGGTTGTACAATTTCCATGTACTTGTGTGGTTTTGAGTGAATTTCTTAATCTTGAGTTCTAAGTTGATTACACTGTCTTCTGAGAGACTGTTTGTTATAATTTCAGTTCTTTTGCATTTGCTGAGGAGTGTTTTACTTCCAATTATGTGATCGATTTTAGAGTAAGTGGCATGTGGCACTGAGAAGAATGTATATTCTGTTGTTTTGGCGTGCAGAGTTCTTTAGATGTATATTGGATCCACTTGATCCAGAGCTGAGTTAAAGTCCTGAATATCTTTGTTAATTTTCTGTCTCAATGATTTTTCTAATATTGATAGTGGGGTATTAATCTCCCACTATTATTATTTGGGAGTCTCAGTCTCTTTGTAGGTCTCTAACAACTTGTTTTATGAATCTGGGTGCTCCTGTATTGGGTGCGTATATATATTTAGGATAGTTAGCTCTTCTTGTTTAACTGAAACCTTTATCATTATGTAATGCCCTTTTTTATCTTTTTTGATCTTTGTTGGTTTAAAGTCTGTTTTGTCAGAAACTAGGATCACAACCCTGATTTTTTTCTGCTTTCCATTTTCTTGGTACATTTTCCTCCATCTCTCCATTTTGAGACTATTTGTGTCTTTACACATGCAATGGGTCTCTTCAATACAGCACATTGATGGGTCTTGACCCTTTATCCAGTTTGCCATTCTGTGTCTTTTAATTGGGGCATTTAGCCCATTTGCATTTAAGGTTAATACTGTTATGTGTGAATTTGATCCTGTCAACATGAGGCTAGCTGGTTATTTTGTAGACTTGTAGATGTAGTTGCTTCATAGTGTCACTGGTCTTTGTATTTCATTGTCCTTTTGTAGTGACTGGTAACGGTTTTTGCTTTTCATATTTAGTGCTTCCTTCAGGAGCCCTTGCAAGGCAGGCCTGGTGGTGATGAACACCTTCAACATTGGCTTGTCTGAGAAGGGTCTTATTTCTCCTTCGCTTATGAAGGTTAGTTTGGCTAGATACGACATTCTGGGTTGGAAATTCTTTTCCTTAAGAATGTTGAATATTGGCCCCCAATCTTTCCTGGCTTGTAGGGTTTCTGCTGAGAGGTCTGAGGTTAGTCTAATGGGCTTGCCTTACTTTTAATGGCAAAAACTTCAATTTCTTTAGCATCAACCTAATAGGTGACCTGGCCTTTCTCTCTGGCTGCCCTTAACATTTTTTCCTTCATTTTAACCTTGGAAAATCTGATGATTATGTGTCTTGGGGTTGATCATCTCATGGAGTATCTTACTGGGGTTCTCTGGCTTTCCTGAAGTTGAATGTTGGCCTGTCTTGCCAGGTTGGGGAAGTTCTCCTGGATAATATCCTGAAGTATGTTTTCCAACTTGGTTCTATTCTCCCCATCTCTTTCAGGTACCCCAATCAATGATAGGTTCAGTCTTTTTACATAATCCCATAGTTCTTGGAGGTTTTGTTGGTTCCTTTTCATTCTTTTTTCTCTAATCTTGTCTGTCTGTCTTATTTCAGCAAGATAGTCTTTGGGCTCTGAAATTCTTTACTCCATTTGGTCTATTCAGCTATTGATACTTGTGGTTACGTTGTGAAGTTCTCGTGTTGTGTTTTTCAGCTCCATCAGTTTATTTATGTTCCTCTCTAAACTGTTTATTCTAGTTAACAGCTCCTGTAATGTTTTATCATGGTTATTAGCTTCTTTGCATTAGGTTAGAACATGCTCCTTTAGCTCAGCGAAGTTCGTTATTACCAACCTTCTGAAGCCTACTTCTGTCAATTCATTCATCTCAGCCTCAGCCCAGTTCTGTGCCCTTGCTGGGAAGGTGTTGCAATCATTTGGAGGAGAAGAAGCACTCTGGCTTTTGGAGTTTTCAGTGTTTTTTCATTGATTGTTTCTCATCTTCATGCATTTATCTGGCTTTGATCTTTGAGGCTGCTGATCTTTGGATGGGGTTTTTCTGAGAACACTTCTGTTGATGATGTTGTTGTTGCTTTCTCTTTGTTTTTCTTTTAACAGTCAGGCCCCTCTTCCATAGGGCTGCTGTGGTTTGCTAGGGGATCCACTCCAAACCCTATTTAGCTGGGTTCCTCTGGCACCTGAAGGTGTCACCAGTGGAGGCTGCAGAACACAGAACAGCTAAGATGGCTGCCTGCCCCTTTTTCTGGAAGCTCTGTTCAAGAAGGGCACCAACCTGATGCCAATAGGAGTGCTCCTGTATAAGGTATCTGGTGACCCCTGATGGGGGGGATAGTCACACCAAGTCAGGAGGCATGGGATCAGGGATCTGCTTAATGAAGCACTCTGTCTGCCCCTTGGTGGAATGGGTGCACTGCACTGGGGGGAATCCCACTAATTCAGACTGCCCAGATTTCTCAGAGTCAGCAGGGGGAAAGACTAAGTCCATGGATCCATGGAGACTATGGCCGCCCCTCCCCCCAGGGGCTCCATCCCAGGGAAATCAGAGTTCTGTCTGTAAACCCCTGGCTGGAGTGGCAATTCACTTTTAAAAGTGCAAATTGTTTTACCTCCTTGCCTGTCTATTCCTAACCTATTCTGCTCTCAGAGCAGGTAGCACTAGGTGGTCTAAGACTATGAAGATGAATATGTCTGCTATAGAAACTTCAATTCTTAGCTTATGAATAGTTTCTGCTGTGCAGGGCTTTTTAGTAGCCTATGTGGTATGTAAGGGGCTATATAAATGCAAATTTCATTTCACTTAGAAAGGAAATGAGCCACACTAAATGGACATGCGTACAACCCTGGAATTAAAAGGAGGGTGGATTCCTTCTGTCAGCAGGGCCAAAACAATATTCTGTGTCCAAATACATCTTTTTAGAAGTCTTAGCAGTTTAAAAGAACATAAAAGTTAGGACAGGAACAAAAACAGGATGAATTCTCTGTTCTGTTTTGTTGCTTTACCCTTCAATAGCTGTGAAGCAAAACTCACCATCTTGGTTTTCTCTAGTGATTTCTGATTCTGGATGACCACTGGGCCCAAATGAGATGCTTTTTGACCTAATTCTAATAATTATTTCTAATAATGAGGGACAAATTGGCATGCCATTGTTACATAGAGTCCTTCTATTGCTCAACAATGAACAACTTAGGAGCAATGTTTCCTGAATCAAAGGGAGAGATCAAGCAAATTGTGTGGTTGTGTTGGCACTGGACACATGTATAAATGTTATATATTTCTTCTCAGTGGCAGAAATTCCTCATTGGCATAGCAGGAAAATCACATTGCTTTATCAAAATTAATAACTGAAAGATGGCATTGTTGAACATACATACCTTAGTTTCCTGAACTTTGGATTACACGAAAGAAATATGGGGTTCTGGCAAGATAGCTGACAGAACTACCCTCAAGCTAAAAACACAGAAATGAGTACTAAACTGAAATGAAAATAAAAAATTAAGTACTCAGCTGAGTTCAAAAGGAAAAATAGGATTAATTTTCAGTTGCCAGAAACAAAGAAGGAATGTAAATTCATAGTGGAGTTTTATGAGTGGAAGGTCAGAGGGAGTTGAAGGAAATCGACCAGATAAAGGCCTTAGGGGCATAGAAACTGAGGTAGATTAAAGATGGACATAAATTCCTTACCATTCTTTCCATCAAGAAGTAGAATTTTCATTTGTAACTAAGCTGGCCTGTTATTTGCTTTGACCAATAAAATGAGACAGAAATGATGCTGTATAGTATTAAAGGTCATGACTCAAGGGATATGCAGCTACTACTTTTCTCTCCTGAAATGCTCCTTCTTGGAATGTAGCTGCCATCCTGTGTGAAGCTCAAGCAAGCTGCATTGAGTGGTCATGTGGAGGAGCACTGATGCATCCTATACAAAAGCCCCAGCTGAATGCCCCAGCCAACAGTCAGCATCAACTGCCAGCTATATGAGGGAGCCATTTTGAATGTTTTATTTCTAGTAAATCTTTCAAATAACTGCGGCCCAGCTCATACTTGCATGGAACAAAAGAATTGCCCAGCTGAGTTCAGTCAACCTACAGATGCATGACAGCTGATAAGTGGTTGTTTTTGTTTTAAGACAATAAGTTCCTGAGTAGTTTGTTACACAGCAACAGAAAACCAAAACAGGGCCTGAGATTTTAATGCGCACACAATAACAGAATACAGAATAAAGTTGTCCCTTAGTATCCATGACAGATTGGTTCCAGGACCACTTGCAGACATCAAATTCTAAGGGTGCTCAAGTCTCTTATATAACATTATGTAGTATTTGCATATAACCTATGCTCATCCTCCTTTATTGTTTAGGGAATAATGACAAGAAAACAAAGTCTGTAAATGTTCAGTGTGAATGCAACCGTTCTTTTTTTTTTTTTTTTTTTTGAATATTTTTGACTCAAGGTTGGTTGAATCTAAACATGTGAAACCCATGGATATCGAGGGCTGACTATATTTGGCTTTAGGCCCACAGAGTGCAGAGAGGGGACACTGGAACCAAGACCTCTGTATAAATCCAGGACATGGAAATGCTGTTCCTTGGTAAAAGAGTGATATGTTTTGGCTCTGTGTGTCCACCCAAATCTCATCTTGAATTGTAATCCCCAGGTGACAAGAGAGGGACCTGGTGGGAGGTGACTGGATCATGGGGGCAGTTTCCCCCATGTTATTCTCATGGTAGTGTGTGAGTTCTCACAAGGTCTGATGGTTTTATAAATGGCAATTTCCCCTGCACTTTCACTCTCTCTCTCACCTGCTGCCATGTAATATGCGCCTGCTTCTCCTTCTGCCATGATTGTAAAGTTCCTGAGGCCTCCCCAGCCATGCAGAACTGTGAGTCAATTAAACCTATTTCCTTTATAAATTACCTAGTCTCAGGTATTTCTTTATAGCAGTGTCAGAACAGACTATTACAGCGAGGAACTAGAAATACTCTGCCTAC
Source organism: Homo sapiens (assembly GCF_000001405.40). Taxonomy (NCBI): domain Eukaryota; kingdom Metazoa; phylum Chordata; class Mammalia; order Primates; family Hominidae; genus Homo; species Homo sapiens. The sequence goes on from NC_000023.11 coordinate 14,195,943, forward strand.
CATCCCAGATATGCACAAGGAAGGTTGCCTTTCTTGTCTTTATTAGGGGCTAGATGAAAAAACATTCTTGCATGAATACAGGAGCCTGAGGCCAACATTATATATCACTGTGGAGTCTAAATTTACACTTCATGCAAGATTTCTCTAAGCTGTGAAATTAACACAAAAACTGATCAAGGATGGATAAGATCTTTTGAGTACTTACAGAAACAACTTAAAACTGTTTTGTTGAAACACTTCCACAATTTAAGGTGGCTGTGACACTGGAGTGGGGAATTCGTACTGAAGATGGGCTCACTCTAAGTATTTGCAAACCTCTTAGAGAAATGATTCATGATGAGGAAGAGTCAAGAAACACAAAACACAGGATTAGTGACTCTTGAAGCGTAACAAATCCAGCTGAATAATCTATGTTTTAAAAGTGTGTTTAAAAATAATTTTGAGAGAAAAGGATAAATTAAAACTAAGTTCAAAAGAATAAACAATATATATATTTTTAAAAGCCTCATGCCTTTGAAAAAGAACCAGATAGAATGTCAAGAAATGAAATATAAAATCATTAAAATTTTAAAAGTCATTGAAAGTTTGAAACAATAGATTTGGCTCAGTGGAAGGGGGAATTAGTTGAACTAGAAGATAGATCTGAAAAAATTATTTCTAATTACCATAGAGTGATAATGAGGTAAAAATTTTAAAAGAGAGATTAGGACACATGAAGGATACAGGAATAGTTCTAACATATGCCTAATAGAGTTCCAGGAAGAAAGTCTAGAGGTAATGACAGGGAAGGAATAATTGAAGGGATAATATATTAAGTATTGTATTAAAGGTCTGCTTATCACATTTACATTTGCTATCTCATTAATTATCAACATAGAGGAGTGAGATTCACTATTATCCTTATTTTCAGTTGAGAAAAATCAGACTTTGAAAAGCTACATAACACAGCATTATCTTCCTCTTCCCTCCATAGTGGTGTCTGTGCAAGCCCCATCCCCCTATCCCACTGACACTGATCTTTGGCCAAGGTCACCAAAAGCTTCTGTGTGGTTGAATCCAGTGGGCACTGACCGCTGGCCTCTTTCCGGCCCCCACAGCAAAAGAATAAGCATTCCTATCTTTCCAGCCTCTATCTTCTTTGCTTGTTCCTTTGTTTTATTTTATATTCAGGAGGTACATGTGCAGGTTTGTCACATGAATATTTTGCATAATGCTGAGGTTTGGGCATCTAGTGAACCCATCATCCAAATAGTGAATATATACCCAATAGTTTTTTGACTCTTGTCCTCTTCCCACTCCCCCACTTTGGAGCCCCCAGTGTCTATGATTTCCATCTTTATGTTCATGTGTACCCATTGTTTAGCTCCCACTTATAAGTGAGAATACACAGTATTTGATTTTCTGATTTTGAGTTATTTCATTCAGGATAATGACCTCCAGCTCCATTCATGTTGCTGTGAAGATCATAATTTCATTATTTGTTATTGCTGCATAGTATTCCATGGTGTATATATACCACAATTTCTTTATCCAGTCGACTGTTGATGGACACTTAGGTTGATTCCACAACTTTGCTATTGTCAATAGTGCTGCAATAAATGTTCGAGTGCTAGTGTCTTTCTCATAAAATAATTTATTTTCCTTTGAGTAGACATCCAATAGTGGGGTTGCTAGGTCCAACAGTAGTTCTATTTTTAGTTTTTTGAGAAATCTCCAAACTGTTTTCAATAGGGGTTGAATTAATTTACATTCCCACCAACCGTGTATAAATGTTCCCTTTTCTCCGCATCCTCGCCAGCATCTGTTATTTTATTTCATTTTTTTATTATACTTTAAGTTCTAGGATACATGTGCACAACATGCAGGTTTGTTACATATGTATACATGTGCCATGTTGGTGTGCTGCACCCATTAACTGGTCATTTAGCCTTAGGTATATCTCCTAATGCTATCCCTCCCCGCTCCCCTAACCCGGACAACAGACTCCAGTGTGTGATGTTCCCCATCCTGTGTCCAGGTGTTCTCATTGTTCAATTCCCACCTATGAGTGAGAACATGTGGTGTTTGGTTTTCTTTATTTTATTTTATTATTATTATACTTTAAGGTTCAGGATACATGTGCACAATGTGCAGGTTTGTTACATATGTATACATGTGCCATGTTGGTGTGCTGCACCCATCAACTCGTCATTTAGCATTAGGTATATCTCCTAATGCTATCCCTCCCCCCTCCCCCCACCCCACAACAGTCCCCAGAGCGTGATGTTTCCCTTCCTGTGTCCATGTGTTCTCATTGTTCAATTCCCACCTATGAGTGAGAACATGCAGTGTTTGATTTTTTGTCCTTGCGATAGTTTGCTGAGAATGATGGTTTCCAGTTTCATCCATGTCCCTACAAAGGACACGAACTCTTCATTTTTTATGGCTGCATAGTATTCCATGGTGTATATGTGCCACATTTTCTTAATCCAGTCTATCGTTGTTGGACATTTGGGTTGGTTCCAAGTCTTTGCTATTGTGAATAGTGCCGCAATAAACATACATGTGCATGTGTCTTTATAGCAGCATGATTTCATGCTGTCAGTGGGGTGTTGAACTCCCCCACTTTTATGGTATGGCTGTCTATCTTTTTCTTAGGTGTAATAGTATTTGTTTTATAAATGTAGGTACTCTGGTATTGTGTGCCTAAGTATTTAGGATAGTTAAATATTTTTGTTGAATTGAACCCTTTATCATTATATAATGTACTTTGTTTTCATTTTATATTATTGTTAGTTTAAAGTCTGTTTTATCTGATATGAGAATAGCAACCCCTGCTCATATTTGTTTTCTATTTGCATGATATGTCTTTCTACACTCCTTTACTTTGAGCCTGTGGTGATATTACACACTAGGTGGGTTTCTTGAATGCAGCAAATGGTTGGGTCTTGGTTTTTTTTCATCAAATTTGCCAATCTATGTGTTTTTATTTGAGGATTTAGTCCGTTTACATTAAAGGTTAATATTGATATGTGAGGTTTTGTTCTTGTCATAGTGTTGTTAGCTAGTTGCTTTTGTATTTTCAATTGTGTAATTGCTTTAATAGTATCTGTGAACTTTGTACTTATGTGTAGTTTTATAGTAGCAAGTATCATCCTTTCATTTCCACATTTAGAAATCCTTTGAATATTTCTTGTATTATTGGTCTAGTGATGATGAAATCTCTTAGTGTTTACTTGTCTGGGAAAGACATTATTTCTTCTTTGTTTATGAAGCTAAGTTTAGCAGGATGTAAAATGCTTGGCTGGCGTTTTTTTCTTTAAGAAGGCTAAAAATAGGCCCCTAATCTCTTCTGGCTTTTAAGATTTCTACTGAGAAATCTGCTATTAGTCTGATTGTATTACTTTTATAGGTAATTTAACCCTTTTGTCTGGCCACCTTTAAGATGTTTTCTTGAACCAAAACTACATGTTATCACTTATAAGTGGTAGCTGAACAATGAAAACACATGGACACAGGGAGGGGAACAACCCACACTGGGGCCTGTCGGTGGGGTGGGGGGAGGGAGAGCATCAAGACAAATAGCTAATGCATGCAGGGTTTAATACCTAGGTAAGGGGTTGATAGGTGCAGCAAACCACCATGGCACACGTTTACCTGTGTAACAAACCTGCACGTTCTGCACATGTATCCTGGAACTTAAAAAAAAAAATAAGAAGAAGGAAATATTTTCAACTGTGTAAAGCTTTAAAAGAAGATGTTTTCTTTAGTGTTGACCTTGGATAGTTTGACTATATGCCTTAGTGATGTTCATCTTGTATACTAGGTTGCAGATGTTCTCGGAAATTCTTGTATCTGGATGTCTACCTCCCTAGCAAGATTAGGGAAATTTTCCTGAATTATTCCCTCAAATGTGTTTTCCAAGTTGCTTACCTTTTCTACTTTTCTCTCAAGAATGACTATAAGTCATATGTTTGGTTGCTTTACATAATCCTGGCTTTCTTGAAGGCTTTGTTCATTTTTTAAAATTCTTTTTATTTATTTATTTATTTTGTATTATTATTATACTTTAAGTTTTAGGGTACATGTGCACAATGTGCCGGTTAGTTACATATGTATACATGTGCCATGCTGGTGTGCTGCACCCATTAGCTCGTCATTTAGCATTAGGTATATCTCCTAATGCTATCCCTCCCCCCTCCCCCCACCCCACAACAGTCCCCAGAGTGTGATGTTCCCCTTCCTGTGTCCAGGTGTTCTCATTGTTCAATTCCCATCTATGAGTGAGAACATGCGGTGTTTGGTTTTTTGTCCTTGCGATAGTTTACTGAGAATGATGATTTCCAATTTCATCCATGTCCCTACAAAGCACATGAACTCATCATTTTTTATGGCCGCATAGTATTCCATGGGGTATATGTGCCACATTTTCTTAATCCAGTCTATCATTGTTGGACATTTGGGTTGGTTCCAAGTCTTTGCTATTGTGAATAGTGCCGCAATAAACATACGTGTGCATCAAAGGACTATAAATCATGCTGCTATAAAGACACATGCACACGTATGTTTAAAATTCTTTTTTCTTTATTTTTGCCTGACTGGGTTAGTTCAGAAGACTGGTCTTCAGGCTCTGAAATTCTTTGTTCTGCTTGGTCTAGTCTATTGTTAAAAGTTTCAACTATATTTTGAAATTCCTTCAGTGATTTTTTCAATTCCAGAAGTTCTATTTCACTTTTTAAAATTATAGCTATTTTGTCTTTCCTATCCTTAATCATTTTTCTTTCTTTTTTTTATTTTACTTTAAGTTCTAGGGTACATGTGCACAATGTGCAGGTTTGTTACGTATGCCATGTTGGTGTGCTGCACCCATTAACTCATCATTTACATTAGGTATATGTCCTAATGCTATCCCTCCCCCCTCCCCCAACCCCCCGGCAGACCCCGGTGTGTGATGTTCCCCACCCTGTGTCCATGTGTTCTCATTGTTCAATTCTCACCTATGAGTGAGAACATGCGGTGTTTGGTTTTCTGTCCTTGTGATAGTTGGCTCAGAATGATGGTTTCCAGCTTCATCCGTGTCCCTACAAAGGACATGAACTCATCCTTTTTTATGGCTGCATAGTATTCATGGTATATATGTGCCACATTTTCTTAATCCAGTCTATCATTGTTGGACATTTGGGTTGGTTCCAAGTCTTTGCTATTGTGAATAGTGCTGCAATAAACATACGTGTGCATGTGTCTTTATAGCAGCATGATATACGATCCTTTGGGTATATGCCCAGTAATGGGATGGCTGGGGCAAATGGTATTTCTAGTTCTAGATCCTTGAGGAATCGCCACACTGTTTTCCACAATGGTTGAACTACTTCACAGTCCTGCCAACCATGTAAAAGTGTTCCTATTTCTCCACATCCTCTCCAGCACCTGTTGTTTCCTGACTTTTTAATGATCACCTTTCTAACTGGTATGAGATGGTATCTCATTGTGGTTTTGATTTGCATTTCTCTGATGGCCAGTTATGATGAGCATTTTTTCATGTGTTTGGTGGCTGCATAAATGTCTTCTTTTGAGAACTGTCTGTTCATGTCCTTCACCCACTTTTTAATGGGGTTGTTTGATTTTTTCTTGTAAATTTGTTTAAGTTCTCTGTAGATTCTGGATATTAGCCCTTTGTCAGATGGGTAGATTGTAAAAATTTTCTCCCATTTTATAGGTTGCCTGTTCACTCTGATGGTAGTTTCTTTTGCTGGGCAGAAGCTCTTTAGTTTAATTAGATCCCATTTGTCAATTTTGGCTTTGTTGCCATTGCTTTTGGTGTTTTAGTCATGAAGTCCTTGCCCATGCCTGTGCCCTGAATGGTATTGCCTAGGTTTTCTTCTAGGGTTTTTATGGTTTTAGGTCTAACATTTAAGTCTTTAATCCATCTTGAATTGATTTTTGTATAAGGTGTAAGGAAGGTATCCAGTTTCAGCTTTCTACATATGGCTAGCCAGTTTTCCCAGCACCATTTATTAAATAGGGAATCCTTTCCCCATTGCTTGTTTTTGTCAGGTTTGTCAAAGATCAGATGGTTGTAGATGTGTGGTATTATTTCTGAGGGCTCTGTTCTGTTCCATTGGTCTCTATCTCTGTTTTGGTACCAGTATCATGCTGTTTTGGTTATTGTAGCCTTGTAGTATAGTTTGAAGTCAGGTAGCGTGATGACTCCAGCTTTGTTCTTTTGGCTTAGGATTGTCTTGGCAATGTGGGCTCTCTTTTGGTTCCATAGGAAATTTAAAGTAGTTGTTTCCAATTCTGTGAAGAAATGCATTGGTAGCTTGATGGGGATGGCATTGAATCTATAAATTACCTTGGGCAGTATGGCCATTTTCACAATATTGATTCTTCCTATCCGTGAACATGGAATGTTCTTCCATTTGTTTGTGTCCTCTATTATTTCGCTGAGCAGTGGTTTGTAGTTCTCCTTGAAGACGTCTTTCACATCCCTTGTAAGTTGGACTCTTAGGTATTTTATTCTCTTTGAAGCAATTGTGAATGGGAGTTCACTCATGATTTGGCTCTCTGTTTGTCTATTATTGGTGTATAGGAATGCATGTGATTTTTGCACATTGATTTTGTATCTGAGACTTTGCTGAAGTTGCTTATCAGCTTAAGGAGATTTTGGGCTGAGACAATGGGGTTTTCTAAATATACAATCGTGTCATCTGCAAACAGGGGCAATTTGACTTCCTCTTTTCCTAATTGAATACCCCTTATTTCTTTCTCTTGCCTGATTGCCCTGGCCAGAACTTCCAACACTATGTTGAATAGAAGTGGTGAGAGAGGGCATCCCTGTCTTGTGCCAGTTTTCAAAGGGAATGCTTCCAGTCTTTGCCCATTCAGTATGATATTGGCTGTGGGTTTGTCATAAATAGCTCTTATTATTTTGAGATACGTCCCATCAATACCTAGTTTATCGAGAGTTTTTAGCATGAAGGGCTGTTGAATTTTGTCAAAGGCCTTTTCTGCATCTATTGAGATAATCATGTGGTTTTTGTCATTGGGTTCTGTTTATATGATGGATTATGTTTATTGATTTGTGTATATTGAACCAGCCTTGCATCCCAGGGATGAAGCCAACTTGTTCGTGGTGGATAAGCTTTTTGATGTGCTGCTGGATTTGGTTTGCCAGTAATTTATTGAGGATTTTTGCATCAATGTTCATCAGGGATATTAGTCTAAAATTCTCTTTTTTTGTTGTGTCTCTGCCAGGCTTTGGTATCAGGATGATGCTGGCCTCATAAAATGACTTAGGGAGGATTCCCTCTTTTTCTATTGATTGGAATAGTTTCAGAAGGAATGGAACCAGCTCCTCTTTGTAACTCTGGTAGAATTCGACTGTGAATCCATCTGGTCCTAGACTTTTTTTGGTTGGTAAACTATTAATTATTGCCTCAGTGTCAGAGGCTGTTATTGGTCTATTCAGGGATTCAACTTCTTCCTGGTTGAGTCTTGGGAAAGCGTATGTGTCCAGGAATTTATCCATTTCTTCTAGATTTTCTAGTTTATTTGTGTAGAGGTGTTTATAGTATTCTCTGATGGTAGTTTGTATTTCTGTGGGATCGGTGGTGATATCCCCTTTATCATTTTTTATTGTGTCTATTTGATTCTTCTCTCTTTTCTTCTTTATTAGTCTTGCTAGCAGTCCATCAATTTTGTTGATCTTTTCAAAAAACCAGCTCCTGGATTCATTGATTTTTTGAAGGGTTTTTTGTGACTCTATCTCCTTCAGTTCTGCTCTGATCTTACTTATTTCTTGCATTCTGCCAGCTTTTGAATGTGTTTGCCTTGCTTCTCTAGTTCTTTTAATTGTGATGTTAGGGTGTCAATTTTAGATCTTTCCTGCTTTTTCTCTTGTGGGCATTTAGTGCTATGTTTCCCTCTACACACTGCTTTAAATGTGTCCCAGAGATTCTGATATGTTGTGTTTTTGTTCTCATTGGTTTCAAAGAACATCTTTATTTCTGCCTTCATTTTGTTATGTACCCAGTAGTCATTCAGGAGCAGGTTGTTCAGTTTCCATGTTGTTGAGTGGTTTTGAGTGAGTTTCTTAATCCTGAGTTCTAGTTTGATTGCCCTGTGGTCTGAGAGACAGTTTGTTATAATTTCTGTTCTTTTACATTTGCTGAGGAGTGCTTCACTTCCAAATATGTGGTCAATTTTGGAACAAGTGTGATGTGGTGCTGAGAAGAATGTATATTCTGTTGTTTTGGGGTGGAGAGTTCTGTAGATGTCTATCAGGTCCACTTGGTGCAGAGCTGAGTTCAATTCCTGGATATGCTTGTTAACTTTCTGTCTCATTGATCTGTCTAATGTTGACAGTGGAGTGTTAAAGTGTCCCATTATTATTGTGTGGGAGTCTAAGTCTCTTTTTAGGTGTCTCAGGACTTGCTTTATGAATCTGGGTGCTCCTGTATTGGGTGCATATAAATTTAGGATAGTTAGCTCTTCTTGTTGAATTGATCCCTTTACCATTATGTAATAGCCTTGTCTCTTTTGATCTTTGTTGATTTAAAGTCAGTTTTATCAGAGACTAGGATTGCAACCCCTGCTTTTTTTTTGTTTTCCATTTGCTTGGTAGATCTTCCTCCATCCCTTTATTTTGAGCCTATGTGTGTCTCTGCACATGAGATGGGTCTCCTGAATACAGCACACTGATGGTTCTTGACTCTTTATCCAATCTGCCAATCTGTGTCTTTTAATTGGAGCATTTAGCCCATTTACATTTAAGGTTAATATTGTTATGTGTGAATTTGTTCCTGTCATTATGATGTTAGCTGGTTATTTTGCTCATTAGTTGATGCAGTTTCTTCGTAGTATTGATGGTCTTTACAATTTGGCATGTTTTTGCAGTGGCTGGTGCTGGTTGTTCCTTTGCATTTTTAGTGCTTCCTTCAGGAGCTCTTGTAAGGCAGGCCTGGTGGTGAAAAAATCTCTCAGCATTTGTTTGTCTGTAAAGTATTTTATTTCTCCATCACTTATGAAGCTTAGTTTGGCTGGATATGAAATTCTGGGTTGAAAATTCTTTTCTTTAAGAATGTTGAATATTGGCCCTCACTCTCTTCTGGCTTGTAGAGTTTCTGCCGACAGATCAGCTGTTAGTCTGATGGGCTTCCCTTTGTGGGTAACCCGGCCTTTCTCTCTGGCTGCCCTTAACATTTTTTCCTTCATTTCAACTTTGGTGAATCTGACAATTATGTGTCTTGGAGTTGCTCTTCTCGAGGAGTATCTCTGTGGCATTCTCTGTATTTCCTGAATTTGAATGTTGGCCTGCCTTGCTAGATTGGGGAAATCCTCCGGATGATATCCTGCAGAGTGTTTTCCAAGTTGGTTCCATTCTCCCCGTCACTTTCAGGTACACCAATCAGATGTAGATTTGGTCTTTTCACATAGTCCCATATTTCTTGGAGGCTTTGTTCATTTCTTTTTACTTTTTTTTCTCTAAACTTCTCTTCTTGCTTCATTTCATTCATTTGATCTTCAATCACTGATACCCTTTCTTCCAGTTGATCGAATCGGCCACTGAAGCTTGTGCATTCATCACGTAGTTCTCGTGCCATGGTTTTCAGCTCCATTGTCTGAAGCCTTCTGACACCTCATAAGGCCGGGTGCCCCTCTCAGACAAAGCCTCCAGAGGAAGGATTAGGCAGCAATATTTGCTGTTCTGCAGCCTCCACTGGTGATACCCAGGCAAATAGGGTCTGGAATGGACCTCCAGCAAACTCCAACAGACCTGCAGCTGAGGGTCCTGACTGTTAGAAGGAAAACCAACAGACAGAAAGGACATCCACACCAAAACCCCATCTGTATGTCACCAGCATCAAAGACCAAAGGTAGATAAAACCACAAAGATGGGGAGAAACCAGAGCAGAAAAGCTGAAAATTCTAAAAATCAGAGCGCCTCTTCTCCAAAGGAATGCAGCTCGGCCTTCTTCTCTCAACTCGTCAAAGTCGTTCTCCGTCCAGCTTTGTTCTGTTGCTGGCGAGGAGCTGCGTTTCTTTGGAGGAGAAGAGGCACTCTGATTTTTAGAATTTTCAGCTTTTCTTCTCTGGTTTCTCCCCATCTTTGTGGTTTTATCTACCCTTGGTCTTTGATGCTGGTGACATATAGACGGGGTTTTGGTGTGGATGTCCTTTCTGTTTGTTAGTTTTCCTTCTAACAGTCAGGACCCTCAGCTGCAGGTCTGTTGGAGTTTGCTGGAGGTCCACTCCAGACCCTGTTTGCCTGGGTATCAGCAGTTTAGGCTGCAGAACAGCAAATATTGCTGCCTAATCCTTCCTCTGGAAGCTTTGTCTCAGAGGGGCACCCGGCCTTATGAGGTGTCAGTCACCCCCCTATGGGGAGGTGCCTCCCAGTTAGGCTACTCGAGGGTCAGGGACCCACTTGGGGAGGCAGTCTGTCTCAAACTCCGTGCTGGGAGAGCCACTACTCTCTTCAAAGCTGTCAGACAGGGACATTTAAGTCTGCAGGAGTTTCTGCTGCCTTTTGTTCAGCTATGACTTGCCCCTTGAGGTGGAGTCTACAGAGGCAGGCAGGCCTGCTTGAGCTGTGGTGGGCTCCACCCAGTTCGAGCTTCCTGGTGGCTTTGTTTACCTACTCAAGCCTCAGTAATGGCAGACGCCCCTCCCCCAGCCTGGCTGCCACCTTGCAGTTCGATCTCAGATTGCTGTGCTAGCAGTGAGGGAGGCTCTGTGGGCATGGGACCCTCCGAGCCAGGCACGGGATATAATTTCCTGGTGTGCCGTTTGCTAAGGCCATTGGAAAAGTGCAATATTAGGGTCGAGTGTCCCAATTTTCCAGGTGCCATCTGTCACGTCTTCCCTTTGCTAGGAAAGGGAATTCCTCGACCCCTTGCACTTCCTGGGTGAGGCAATGCCTCTCCCTGCTCTGCGGGCTGCACCCACTTCTCTGGCAAGCCCCAGTGAGATGAACCCAGTACCTCAGTTGGAAATGCAGAAATCACCCATCTTCTGCGTCGTTCACGCTGGGAGCTGTAGACTGGAGCTGTTCCTATTCGGCCATCTTGGCGTAGAAGACATTCCCATCCTTAATCATTTTTCTATTTTCTTTGTGTTGGTTTTCAACTTTCTCTTGGATCTCATTGAGCTTCCTTGCAATTCATATTTTGAGTTCTTTATCTGTCATTTCAGAATTTTCAGTTTGGTTAGGATCCATTGCTAGAGAGCTAGTGCAATATTTTGTAAGTGTCAAAATACTCTTTTTATATTGCCAGAGTTCTTGGGTTGATTCCTTCTTATATGAAGGAGCTGTCACGTCTTAGTTTTGAATTTGCTATCATTTGAAGGGACTTTTACATTTTTTTATTCTTTTTTTACTTGAGGGTATGACTTGGGTATATTGAGTGTGATCATTTGCCTTTGTTACTGGGTGCTTTCAGGAGGTCTAGGCTCTGTATAGGTTCCTTGGTTGTGGAGAACTTTTGTGCAGTAGCTTTCTCAAACGCTGCTTGTTGTAGTGATATTTTGTATGTATGAGTGAGCTGACATACTATCTCCTGTGGGACTGAGAGTGTGGAGGTTTCAGGAAGTTTATCTTGTACACTAGCACTGTGCCCTTCTGAGAGCAGATGTTTTATTTGGTGGTGCAGTTCAGTCTCCAGTTCAATAGGTGGTGCTTAAAAGTAAGAGCTGGTTCACCCTGGGGCACCCCAATGAGTAGAGGCACCCACTCTCATCAGGGGTGGCTGAAGGAGATCGTGTTGGTGTGTGCTGAGGTCTCAGGGAAAGGGATGATGGGGGAAGCTGCACGAGCTCCTCATACTGTGCAGGCAGGAATGTAATCCACTTCCTTATCATGCCCCTGTTGCAAAGCTCATGATTTTCAGACTTCTGGCTGCAATGTGGATGCAGACTGTGGGCACTCCCCTTTGGCAGCTACCACCAAAAGGGGCTCAGGTAGAGCCTCTTCCCCTAGTTCAGAACAGACAACTCTGTGGCTTGTCTACTCTCCATTCCTGGGATACTGTCACTCTGTGTAGAGGGGGAGAGATGGGCCCTGCTCTTTATGGAAGGCCATATGGCACAGGCTTACATTTAATAGGTGTGCAGCAGGCGTGAAAAGTGCTGGAAAGGCTTTCTCCAAGTGCGTACGTACTGGACACCAGCTGGGAGAGTCTGTGCTGTGTCCACAACAGTGGACAGGGGAATGGGAGATGACTCCCCTCTCCATGTCCATTTCTAGCTGCTGGTGCCACCCCTTCAGTGATCATCACTGTACCCATATTTCCTTTGTCCCAAGTGGGGTTTTAGTTGGTTATGCTTTCCTTCCCCTAGGGGAAGTCCATGCCGAGAGCTAGGTCTCCAGGGATCCTGTAGTTCCCCAGGGACCTGCTGGTCCCTTGTGGTTGCTAAAGTTGGAAAGAATTGTGGAGTGTGTTTGTGGGGGATCTAGTGTTGTGGAAACTCAAGGGCTGAGGTTCCCTGGGCAGGTCTGTGGCCCACAGTGGGTGCACAACCAGTATGGGGCCTGCTGTTTCAGTTTGGGTGTAAGGGGAGTGTAAGCACCCTTTTGCAAGCTGACTATTCAGTTCTCTGTCCCAGAGAATTTCCCAAATCACCACCAACAGCATTGCCCAGGGTTACAAGGGCAGAGGGGCTCCCCAACAATTTGGTGGTTATCAGATTGTTGCAGGGGTGAGGGGGACAGAGAAGCATCCTCACCTATCCTTTCTGCATGGCTACAAGCTCCTCAGGGGTTGACCTCTGCTAGACTCTTGCTGTTTTCCTTTTGTGTACCCCAGCTTCTTCCGATGGGCTCTCTCACAGGTCCTGGCTCTCTTTCCTCAGCTTTCCATTTTGATCATGACCATTCACCCCATTCACCTGTAACTTTGATCTTCTTTCTGTGGATAACTGGCATCTGATGTCACTAGTCAGCCATTCTTCTTCTATTCTGCCTTCCTCTAAACCAGTGGTTCTCAACTTTAGTCTGCATAAGAATCACACAGAAGCATGACTAAAAATAAACAATTTTTTGTAACAAGCCATTTCAATGCAAGTAGACATACTTCTTGTTTCTAGTTTTCCCCCTGTGATTTATTCCTTTTTTGTTCTATTTATTTCAATTGTTTTTATATACCTTCTAAGCAGACAATGACTGTTTTTAATTCTTCAACCTCTTGCTGAAGTTGGTCCTATTCCTCCTTTGCTATGTGTGAGTCAACATACATTTACTTAGTCATAATAACCCGTTTCTCTTTGTTTCCTTTTTGCCTTAAGTCCCAAATATTTACTTTTCTAACATACTCCTCCATATCTTGTTTGGAAAAGGTCCACCTAGTGAGAGATATGACGTCAACAAGTTCTGAATTGGCTGAAACGTCTACTATTCAGGCAAATGCCTTCAGAGTAGGGTAATTCTGCCCAGGAGATATCTTCCCATTGGTCCAACATCTATGCCAGGGCTGTAATCAATTTATAGTTGTCTCTTCTGGTTTCCCTTTAGTGCATCTCAGCTTCTATGCATCTTCTCTTGAAGCCTGAAACCTGTAACTGCTCTGGTTTGTACTTGAACTTGCTTCCCCTCCTACAGTAACTATGTCTCACCCCAATTGACCAAGCAATGTCAAAGGGAAGTCAGAGTACTTGTTTATAACAATCTGCAAAGTCAGGTGCTGGTAAAGGTGAGGTGAATATTACAGGCTGGGTAGTGCCCTTGAAACCTTTCCATTCAAATATAGAGAGTAATACATGAAGATGAGTCAGAGAGAAGAAAGAGGAAGGGAGAAAGTGTGAGAGTAAAAAAGAGGAGAAAGAACTGAAAGAGGAGCTGAAGGAGGAGAGAGGGAGAAGGTAAAGGAAAGAGAGAAAGATGAGATTGAGAATGTTGGGCCCTTAGGTGGGGATCCTGAGACTTATGATTTCATAAGATTTACTCATGCAGTCATATGGATCCAGAAAGAGAGAGTTGATGGTTCTTAAGGTACAACAAATTCAGAAAATTTGGCCCAGTAAATGCTTTGCTTTGGGAAGGGAAAGGTAGAGATGGACCTGGAAGGGAAATGACATCCTCAATGAATCACATTTTCTCCAGTCTCTTAAATCTATCTTGCCCACAAGCAGCCCAAATATTATTCCCAACAAACATCTCTGATCATATCTCCCTTTTTGCTAAAATGACTCCATGAGCACTCCACTGCCTACTGTATAAAGTCAAGTCCCTTCAGTCTAGAATTCTAAGCTTTTTGCAATACCTCCCTAGAGTGGCAGGACTTCTGCCTTATTTTGTGTCAGGTTGATGCTTCAGAATCATCCTGTTTTTCTTCTGTGACTTGGTTGATCCAGTTTCCTCCTCTTAAACATAATTTTCTTATTGTTCACTGCTAAATGACATCCATGTCTCAAAGCCTAGTTCAAATGCAATCTCTTCCATGAAACATGACTGCACATCTCACCAGAAGAGCTGAATCCTTATTCTGAACTTATATAGCATTCCAGAATTGTAATAACACATGGCAAACAAAAATAAAGCACTTACTACCCGCTATGTCCTAGCATAGGTGTTTTGTATATCTTAACCTTCATAATGAACCTAAGAGGCAGGCAATATTATACCCAGTTTATAGATGAGGAAAATAAAGCCACAGAGAGCTTAAGTAGCTTGCCCAAGGACACACAGCCCTGATGTTGCATTTAGTATATTATATATGATGTGATTGCATATATTTGCTTTATACACATCTCATCTCTCCACCTAGTCTTTAAGTTCCTTAAACTTTGAGTCTTTGTTTAGTATCTTTAAAAATTCCTATTATAATACATCTTACAAAAAAAGATGCAACAGATATTAGTGAAGGGAAGAAAGGAAAGAAAAAGAAGATGAAGAGAGACGAGAGCAGAAAGAAGTGCAAGATCCCATTATATCTTGGCTGAGAGGCTATGATTACAAGGAAAAAGAGCAAAGACATTTCAGTGGAAGCTGTTTTCATTTCAACGGCTACTAGTCCAAAATTGCTTTATGTTTCTATCTACTTTACCAGTAGACAAAAAAGAACCACGGTCTTAATGTTCTAACAGAGAAGGATAATTCACTAACTTGATTACTCTTACTAAAGGATAAGTGTTTGCTGGTTTGAATTTAATCCCTTCACTGGTTATAATTATAATGCAAAGGTCTTGAGAGACTATTTTTTTTTCTCTATTTCTCACTGATCTAGGTGACTTTCAAGATGCCTTCGAAGTTTAGGATTTTATAATTCTGAAAAACATCATGCCTGACATTGGCCATTTATGTCATCAGGTAACTAAACAGTTATGATAATCTCCCATTCCCCAAAGGATGAAGCCCATGACATTCATGTCCAACTGTCATGAAGAATGATTTGAACCTTTTTTGTCTCCTTTTATCACTGGTCACTGTCTCCAGACCTGGTACATTGCCAGGGGTTGGCAAATTTTTTCTTAAAGAGCCAGAGAGTAAATATTTTTTATTGTTGTGGGGCACGCATGTTGCAACTACATGCCTCTGCTATTGTAGAGCTAAAAGCCATAGGCAATACCTTCACAAATGGGTATGGCTGTGTGTCAATAAAACTTTATTTATAAACTCAGGCATTGGGCCAGGTTTGGCCCTTGGTCTGTAGTTTTCCAACCCCTGCTCTATAGTTATGCTATGTCAGGCCCTCAGCCTTGTTCACTGCTACAAAGGAAGTTATTTAATACAGAAATTGAAGACTCAATGGAAAAAACTGCTGGGGAAGGGCAGCACATGAATGTCATTAATGAATATTACAATGTCTTTTGTAGAGGCCGCTTTCTTCTTAATGCTAACTCTTCTGCCTATGTACAGGCAAACAAATTCTTGATTCATCTCCTTTTCAGAATAAATATTTTAACAAGCCTGCTTAAATGAAGATTTTGTATTTTAAGGAAAGCGATATTTCCTATGTATAATTGGAATCTTGACATTATAAATGTAACTAGCGTCTAGGCTATAAGGAATATCTTACTTCTGCATCATTTTGAATTTATCAAAACTGTCAGAGAAGACTCCAGTAAGGGTAAATAAGAGAAATGGTAGACTAGGTCCAAATTTATTTATTTCCATTTTACAAGATAAGGATGAAAGCATGAGAAAGTGAGTTACAAGGAATAACTGAAGCATAAAGATGAGAGCCTTCTAATACTCAAAAGAAATAGGTTTATCCTTGGTACTGACCTCAGCCTTCACAACAGATCTCCTGGGGGAACTGGGGTCTGCTGAAAAGTTATTACACTTTGTAATAACCTAGTGCCTGCCTATAAGCAAGTGCTTGATTTTCTGTTGCACTGGATGGGACAGCAGTGGTTTGAGGATGGTGTAGGGAAGGCCCATCCCCTCCCACTTTTATAGCTGCCTGATTGCATCCTTGCTCCCAGCCTGCACATGGTAGTGCATGAAGCTTAGGCATCTATATCCTCCGTTTCTATTTTATCCATCTTCCTGTTATTCCTGAAAGAGTAAGTTCCAACACACTTGTTTCACAATGGGAAAAGCCGTCTCTGGTTTTCTTTTTAAGAACTGCTTACTGTGCTGAATTTATCTCTTCTCCCCCTTCCTGTTCACCTCTGTCCTTTTTTCCAAACCCTTTTCTTTGTACATCTATCCTTTCCCTTTTCCCTTTCCCCAAATGCAATTTCACTCTCCAGTTACTTGACTGTTTAATATTTCTAATTTGTGTTTCAATTTCAATATTTTCCAATGGTCTTTCCTCATTGAGTGATCCAGCCCCTAAATTTGGAAATAGCTATAAAGCTAAAGCTTTTATTTAAAAACTTAAAAAATAAAAGGTAAACTGGCTATTTGGGACTCAGAGCACTTGTAACAGGACTACAATCTTGTCATCTATGGTTATGTGACAAACCAAGCACAGAAATGTCTTGAACCCATACTGTATGTAGAGTATGGCATAATTCTAGCAACTAGGAAGTCTGTGGAACAGGATAAAAATGGAAAAAGAAGAGCAATCTCCCTTATTTCTGGTTTGAGGTCATTCCTAGATAAATTTTTGCTGTTGGTATAGCTTCTTGCTGGCTTCCTGTCAAACCTCTTTTCCTGAACCTTCCTGGGTTCTCCCTTGACTTGTGAATCCTTCTGCTATCCTAAGTTCTTTCTATTTTTTATTTTATCTTTCCATTTAAAAAATTGATACATAATTGATATACATGTTTTCAGGGTACATGGGAGAATTTGATACATTCATATAATGTGTAAAGTTCAAATCAGGATAATTGGGATATCTAAGTTCTCTATTTTGTGGAATAATAGGTAACAGTTCCTATTTCCTACTGTGCTTGATGCAGAATTCTTTCCTTTCAGCCTCTTCTATCCTAATCAAAACAGTCATGACCTCAATGCATTGAATCTCAACTAAACTTTAGGGGATGAGGGCAGAGGGACTAAATGAGCATATGTGGAGCGTCTGATATATTTGAGGCACTTTCATGAACACTATTTCATGAATCTTCACAACCATCCTACAAGAAAGGCATTTTTGAGCCCAGTTTACAAACTGTAAGATGTATGTCCAGAGTATTGGCCTTACTTGCTTTATAAGTTATCTATTGCCATGTAATAAATAATTTACCCAATATTTAATGACTTAATACAAATTTATTATCTCAATTTCTGTGGGTCAGGAATCTAGGTGCAGCTTAACTGGAACCTCTACTTCAGAACATAACTGGAATCTCTCACATCCTGTAATTAAGGCTTTGGCTGGGTTGTAATCATCTTTTATAATTTTTAATTTTTATGGGTATATTGTAGATGTATATATTTATAGAGTACATATGAAGTTTTGATACAGGCATACAATGTGTAATAATCACGTCAGAGTAATTGAAGTATTCATCATCTCAAGCAGTTCTTATTTCTTTGTGTTGTGAACATTTCAATTCTACTCTTTTAGTTATTTAAAATATATAATAAATGATTGTTGACTGTAGTCACCTGGTTGTGCTACCAAATACTAGTTATTATTCATTCTATCTAACTATGGTTTTGCACCCATAGTTATTAATAGATCCCACATATGAATGAGAGCATGTGAAATTTGTCTTTCTGTACCTGGCTTATTTCACTTAACATAATGTCCTCTAGTTCCACCCATGTTGTTGTAAATGGCAGGATTTCATTCTTTTTTTATATAGTCAATTGGGTATACGTACCGCATTTTCTTTATCAACTCATCTGTTGATGGACACTTGCTTCCAAATCTTGGCTATTGTAAACAGTGCTGCAATAAACATGGGAATGCAGATATCTCTTCGATATACTGATTTCCTTTCTTTTGGGTATATACCTAGTAGTGGGATAGCTGGATCATATGGTAGTTTTTAGTTTTTTGAGGAACCTCCATACTGTTCTTCATAATGGTTGAACTAATTTACATTCCCACCAACAGTGTACAATGGTTCCCTTTTGTCCACATCCTTGCCAGCATTTGTTATTGCTTGTCTTTTGGGTAAATGCCATTTTAACTGGGGTGAGATGATATCTCATTGTGGCTTTGATTTGCATTTCTCTGATGATTAGTGATGCTGAGCATTTTTCATATATCTGTTGGACATTTGTATGTCTTCTTTTGAGAAATGTCTATTCAGATCATTTGCTCATTTAAAAAATCATATTATCAGATTATTTTCCTGAGTTGTTTGAGCTCCTTATATATTCTGGTTATTAATCCCTTGTCAGATGGGTAGTTTGCAAATATTTTCTCCCATTCTGTGGGTTATCTTTTCACTTTGGTGGTTGTTTCCTTTGCTGTGCAGAAGCTTTTTAACTTTCTGTGATCCCATTTATCCATTTTTGCTTTGGTTGCTTGTGTTTTTGAGGTATTAGTCAAAAAATCTTTGCCCAGACCAACATCCCAGGAGAGTTTCCCCAATGTTTTCTTATAGTAATTTCATAGTTTCAGGTCTTATATTTGAGTTTTTAATACATTTTGATTTTATTTTTATATACAGAGAGATAGGGGTCTAGTTTCACTTGGGTTAATGTTATCTTAAGGTTCAACTAGGGAATGATGCAGTCCAAACTCACATGGCTGTTGGCAGAATTTATTGTCTCATAGGTTGTTGGATTGAAGGACTCAGTTCCCGGCTGTTGGGAAGAAGCTGCCTTCACTTCCTTAAACATAATCCTCTCCAATTTGGCAGCTTGCTTCATCAAAACAGGCAAGCTGAGAAGGCAATAGAAATACTTAAGTAACAAGACAGAAGTCATAATCTCTGGTAACATAATCATGTAAATGACATGCCATCAGCTTTGCTGCATTTTATTTCTTAGAAGCAAGTCAGTATGTTCACCCCACACTTAAGGGGAGATTATACAAGGGTGTGAATACCAGTAGGTTGGGATCACTGGGGCCATCTTAGAGCCTGCCTGCCATATTTGCCCAAGAGTCTACAGCTTGTAAAGGGCAAATGGGACACGGACCCAGTCTGAGGGTCATACCCTTCTAAAGATATCTTTGGCTTTCATGTCCTCTACTACCCAAATTTAAGATCTTCAAAGTGGTAGAGCCAAGATTTAACCGAGGTACATGAACTCAAGATCAAACTGTTTCCACTTTACAATGATAAAACCTCCACTTCCTCAACTGTCAAAGATGCTACTGTCATTTTGATGACCAGTGATATACTCTGAGATCACCTCTGTTGTTATGCGGGAAATAGCTGTACATTATCCAAGTTATAATGAGCATTTTTCATATATAATGAAATATATAATGATCCAAAGTTATATAATGGTCCAAAGAGTGTTGCTATGAAGTTCATGCTTGAACTCAACCTATTAGGGCAGCTAATGGTATCACACCAATCTTCTGCTTTATGAATGCTAAAGTAAGAATGTTCATTGACAGTTTATATTCACTTTCATTACAATGCTGTGTGTGCAAATTTGTGTAGTTGTGAAATTAACAAACATAATTATGATTTTTATTATGAATTTAAAACATAATGATAAAATTAACTCTTTTCATCAATTACTTAAGTAATAGACATAATATATTAGATGGGCTTTGGAGTTGGCTAATTCATTCATTTAAATGGCCTCACACAAAAATTCAAAAATATATGCACATGGATAATTATTACAGCATTATTTTAATAACAGAAGACCATAAAAAACTCAAATACCCATCAAGAGAAGACCAAATGAATAAACCATGGTAAGAACACATAGTTGAGTAGTATGCAGTTATATAAAGGAGAGAGGACAAGATCTACATACTGAAATGGAATGATGTCCAGGCTATATTGTATGGTGAAAACAGCAAGGTACAGAAGAAGATTATAGTATTCTAACTTTTATCTAATAAAGTTGGGGATATGTGTATGTATATACATTTGCTTATATTTTCAAAAAAATAGAAAACTAGACTAAATTTTTTTATTTTTACAAAGTTCTGTTTTATTTTTTTTTAGGTTCCATTTAAATTAATGATAACCCACAGGCAATGAGCATTTTCAGAGCCCCAGACTAGGTTCTAGAAGTACAATACCTTGATTAAAAGGAACTATTTTGTTTTTAAGTGGCACATGATAATTGTACGTACTTATGGGGTACAATGTGATGTTTTGATACATGTATACATGTGTCATGATCAAATCAGGGTAATTAGCATATTAAAATGGCTACCTGTAGAGCAATGGAGGAAACAGGATGAAGAAGACAGAGGTAAAGAAAGAATGTTGAAAATGTACTTTATTATGTAGTCTGTTTTTGGACTATGTTAATGTTTCACAAAATTAAAAATTTAAAAAGAAATTGGAAACAAAACAAAAAATATAATTATATAGCAAAATGATGTCATAACCATAAAGAAAAATAATAGCCTCAAGTGACTTTAAAACACAGTATAGGCCAGGCGTGGTGGCTCATGCCTGTAATCCCTGCACTTTGGGAGGCTGAGGCGGGTGGATCATTTGAGGTCAGGAGTTCAAGACCAGCCTGGCCAACATGGTGAAACCCTGTCTCTACTAAAAATACAAAAGTTAGCCAGGCAGTAGTGGCCCGCGCCTGTAATCCCAGCTACTCGGGAGGCTGAGCCAGGAGGATCACTTGAGGCTGGGAGGAGGTGATTGTGGTGAGCTGAGGTTGTACCACTGCACTCCAGTCTGGGTGAGAGTGAGACCCTGTCTCAAAAAATAAACATAAAAATAAACCAGTATATTGGCTATATGTCTCCAGTGAAATATTTACTAAGGACAATAAGACCCACAAAGGAATCTTAAACTGTATTTAGTGATTCTACTATTGGTAGTAACATTAGTATTGGTGGCTTATATGTTACCGTCATTGGAAATCAAAATTTTTAGTGTGAAAGAAAAGAGATACAAACATAAAACCAAAGAAGTAAAAATCTTATAATCTTAGATAGATGTGAATAGGAAATATCGTATGCTTTCCCCAACTCTTCCCACTGAAAAGGTCTTAAATTAATGATAACTCAGAAGCAATGATTCCTTTTAGAGCCTAGACTAGGTTGCAAAAATACAATACTTTGATTAAAAAGAACCAATGCTCCTTGGAAAAATGACAGATTCTATGTCTGGAGAAAGAACTGGGCAAGCTGGACCTGGAACTCTTTTTGTACCAGAAGGCAGAGGATGCTATAGAAAACTATTCTGTGTAAAAAGGACACTGAACTAAGTTGGGAAAGTTTGAGTATCAAAAAGAAATATGATGACAATTAACTGAAATACATGAATTCAGAGAGTTAAAAATTATTGTCTCTGGAGATTGCACCAACAAATTAAGCTGAAAATTGATAAATAAATTATCAATTCTTTTTATTCTTCCTTTCCTGTATAAATGGTATGTGAGGGTAAATAATAGCTCATGAAAGGAACTTTCTCTCCATAGAGAAATTCTATCTAATTAATGTAGAACAGAATTAGAAAATCACTAGCTTTGCAACCATTAGAGAAATAATCAATGTAGCCAACCACCATTAATAAATATCAAATCATTAGGTGAAAGGGTGATAACATCTTTAAATTTTTTTAATTTTTAATTTTTGTGGGTATATAGTAAGTGTATATATTTATGAGGTACATGAGATGTTTTGATATAAGCATGCAATGTGAAATAATCACATCATGGAGAATGGGGTATCCATCTCCTCAAGCATTTATCATTTGTGTTGCAAACAATCCAGTTACACTCTTTTAGTTATTTTTAAATGTGCAATTAAGTTACTATTGACTATAGTCACCCTGTTGTGCTATCAAATGGTAGATCTTATTCATTCTTTCTATTTCTTTGTACCCATTAACCATCCCCACCCCCTCCCTCAGTCTCCTACTATCCTTCCCATCCTCTGGCAACCGTCCTTCTATTCTCTATCTCCATGGGTTTAATTGTTTTGATTTTTAGATTCCACAAATAAATGAGAACATGTGATGTTTGTATTTCTGTGCCTGGCTTATTTAACTTAACATAGTGACCTCCAGTTCCATCCATGCTGTTGCAAATGACAGGATATCATTCTTTTTAATGGCTGAATAGTACTCCATTATGTATAAGTACCACATTTTCCTTATTCATTCATTGTTGATGGACACTTAGGTTGCTTCCAAATCTTAGCTACTGTGAATAGTGCTGCAACAAATGTGGGAGTGCAGATAGCTCTTCAATATACTGATTTATTTTCTTTTGGATACATGCTGTCATTGCTGGGTCATATGGTTGCTCAATTTTTTGGTTTTTTGGTAACCTCCAAACTATTCTCCATAGTGGTTGTACTAATGTACATTCCCACCAACAATGTATGAGGGTTCCCTTTTCTCTGCATCCTCACCAGCATTTGTTATTGCCTGTCTTTTGGATATCAGCCATTTTAACTGGGGTGAGATGATATCTTA
The DNA here is from genome assembly GCF_000001405.40 of Homo sapiens. Taxonomy (NCBI): domain Eukaryota; kingdom Metazoa; phylum Chordata; class Mammalia; order Primates; family Hominidae; genus Homo; species Homo sapiens. The sequence goes on from NC_000023.11 coordinate 14,218,836, forward strand.
TTGCAGCTTTGATTTGCATTTGTCTGATCAATAATGTTGAACACGTTTTCTTATGCCTGTTTGTCATTTGTATATCTTTTGAGAAATGTCTATTCAAAATTTTCACCCATTTTTTGATCAGATTCTTAGATTGTTTCATGTAGGGTTGTTTGAGCTCCTTATATATCCTGGTTATTAATCCCTTGTCAGGTGGGTAGTTTGCAAATATTTCCTTCCATTTTATGGATTGTCTCTTCACTTTCCTGATTGTATCCTTTGCTGTGCAAAACCTTTTTAATTTGACATTATCCCATTTGTCCATTTTTTCTTTGGTTGCCTGTGTTTGTGGGGTATTACTCAAGAAATCTTTGCCAACTCCAATGTCCTGGTGATTTTCCCCAGTGCTTTCTTGTAGTACTATAGTTTGAAGCCTTAGATTTAAGTCTTTAATCAAATTTGATTTGATTTTTGTGTATGGCAAGAGATATAGGTCTAGTTTCACTCTTCTGCATGTGGATATTCAGTTCTCCCAGCACCATTTATTGAAGAGACTGTCTTTTTCTCCAGTGTATGTTCCTGGAAACTTGGCTGAAAATCAGTTCACTGTAGGTGTGTGGATTTGTTTCTGGGTTCTCTATCCTGTTTCATTGGTCCATGTGTCTGTTTTTATGACAGTATTATGCTGTATTTATAACATCTTAATGGAAGGATTAGGCTGATAGCCTGTGAACCCCGTGATCATTTTCACATCATTAAAATTGAACAATCAGACATTGGGTGCCTCATCATATAATCCAGTTGCTCCTGAATTGAATCAAACCTCAAAATCGATCTACCAATTTATGAAAAATAAATACTTTATGGAAGAGAGGAACAAGTTAAATGATACTATGAGGAAGTAATCACCAAAATCTAAACCACGCTATATTCTTCAGGACAAATAACCAAGTTTATCCGATAAATCATAGCATGAGAATTAAGAAAAAGGAGGAAGCACAGTAATAGAATTATAGAGACTTAGGAGTCATAATCAAATGCAATGAATGGACCTTGTAAATCTTGATTACAACAAATTAACTAAAAAATGACCAGAGTATTGGTGCCCTCTAAAGTAGATGTTTCCCTGCAGTGAAGCCAGCATATATGCCTTCACGGGTGTTTCTTCTTACCTGGAACTAGAGGAAAGGAGAAGACTTGATCAAAAGTTGGCTTTTGCTGTTTCTCTGCTGGGTTCCTAGGAACTGGGGAGGGCATTAACTTGTGAGGGTGGTTGCTTTATACACTAGAAGTATGTCCGAAAAATGATGAGTAAATTGCATGTGTGTAGATTAAATCTTATTTTAAATGTAGACAGGTCTTTAGAAAGAAAAGGCTCTGATTTGAACCCCAACTTAGTAAATCTCAAGTTTGCTTCAGTGTTTTATATTGACCTATCCACATTTCTCTCTCTTATAAAAAGGCACAAACAGAGTAGGGAGTGAGGTGTAGAGAAGGGAAATATTGACTAAATTCAGTGTGAAATGAACTCATCCTTGCCTACAAATGATCACCGTCATTCAGGAGCAAAACACTGTCATTAGCTTCCTTAGTCACGAGCCCTACCCGAAAATGGATCTTCTAGTTCATGACAACAGGCTATTTTATTTTGCATTCTATATCTTTACAACAGTTCTGCAGCCTATTTCAGAATTTAATGATATGGTAATTCAGTTTTTCAATAGACTGCACAATATGGCGAAATCACTACAGTGGCCAAGGACTTACCTCTTTATTTCTTAAAACCAATTTGCAAGTATAATTAAACTATGAAAGAAAGTGTATATCTGATATCATTTAACATCCCCTTCTGAAAGGATGTCATTAATTGCCTATATCCTTTTCTCTTTCTGAGTCCTATTTATTACAGGGATGTCCTCAGAGTGAACCTTGGGGACTGCTTTCCTGAAACGTTAGGAAGATTTAAATTTTTCAGTGGTTCAATACTTTATGGACTGTTTTATGACTTGGTCATTTAGGATGCACATGTCAGCTCCTTGACTTCAGAAGATTGCCTGAGTGTCAGAATAAGCATCCAGACAGTTTATTGAATTGCATCAGCCTTTTTGAGGATGATGCCAACTTCATGAATGACTGTTATAAAGATGGAGGTGGGGCTTGTCTACCCTGCCCATCTGCCAGTCTGCTGTCTGATCAAAAGGCAGAATGTGTCCATGGGTTTGCTGTCATTTGTAATTCACTCTACATAATGTTAAAAATAGTTATTTTGTTACATACTGATAAAATATTCTTATAAAATATGGATAAGCCAAAGCAAGAACTTTTTAAATCAGCCATAACTCCAGCTTCTTGTTGACATTTTATTAATCATCATTCCTATTTTTTCACTATGAAGAGACACACATTTACTTTAACTAGAAATAAGATGTACCTCAATAAATAGTTCAAAAAATAAAAATAAATAAAAACAGGATCCAAGCATAGTATATCATAACTTGCTTCAAAAATATTTATGCAGTGAGGACTTCTTCTCATGCTATTCAATATTTACCCATAGTGTTATTTTTAATGACTATATAGAATTTTGTTGTATGGTATAACAATGTATATAATCCAATTCATTATTTTTGGAAATTAGGGTTTTCTTTTTTCACCTTTCTTTAAGTATCGCTGAATGAGCTAGCTTATAGCTAAATATTTGCACATATCCATAACTATTTCACTGGGCAAATGTCTTAGAAATGGAATTTCTGAGTTAAAAGGCATCTATGATATTTCTTAAACCCAAACAAATCTGTTAGTTTGGCCTAATTTTGTTTTCAAGTTGTGTAAAAAGACCCGAACATTAGATCTCATTGTTTTGTTGAAAGCCACCTTCTATACATCACCCAACCTCAACTCAATGCCAAGGAATTCTGTGGTTGGCTTAGTAAATTACAAGAAGAATGACTTACATTTTCATTGCTCCTAGTACTTTTTCAGTCTTTTCTTTTTGTTTAACATGCATGTCTTATAGGTAGCATGACCATATATCACGACTTACCTAGAACAGTTTATGCCTATTGTTCCAGGATAATTATTCATAGTACACCCTGTTTCACTGTCAAAATTGTTCCTATTTGGACTGATCCAATGTGAATGTTAGATAAATGTATTTGGAGTTTTAGAAATGAGTGGGAAAAGTATTTAGCACTCAGTATGTGGGAGGTGAATAAGGAGCAAAGAAATCATTGTTATCCACCCAAGATACCACCTGAAATTCCTAGTTTCCAAAGGGTGATCACCATTGGTACTAAAAGCTGGATATACTAAAGGGCCAAGAAGTCTTTGGCTTGGAGGGTACCCTGTGTTTCTGGTGGATCAAATATCATAGGGCATTCCCAGGAAGGTCATAATTATTAGTAGTCAGGTCATAGTTTACCAAGATGGGTAGTTCTATGGGAACTAAGTTTCCCTGTCAGAGCAAGTTGGTTTGAGAATTTAGGAACAGAAGGAGGTGTTTCAGGACTCTACTGCCTACTTGCAGATTTTCCTAAAGTCCAGTATGGTACTGTTATTTATTTCATGTACACAAGTCCTACTGTCTGAATGAGACATACTCTTCTTTTCAGTTTCTAAGGATATAATTCCGACATATAGTAATTGCTTACTAAATGCATTTATCATGAATAAAGGGGATAATATTGTAGTAGAATGCATAAGCCATGAAATTTGACATCCAATTTTTTAATTTCAAGGATCTTATCACTAACTTTATTATTTTTTCAAAACATATTTTTTACTTCCCCCTGCATCTCTTTCTTCTTCTACTGGAAGCGGAGCTTAAACGACTGTGTCACTGAAGCTCCAGCGTTGCTAGGAAGATTCAATTACTCCCATAGTGCTTTGCAGTTAAAATATATCTTTTCTATGTTTAAAAAATATATATTTTATATAGATATAGTCTATATATTTTATATAGATATAGTATATCTATATATTTATATAGATATACTATATATTTATTTTATAGTATATATTTATATTTATATATCTATATATTTATATAGATATACTATATATATTTTATATAGATATACTATATCTATATATTTATATAGATATAGTATATCTATCTATTTTATATAGATCTATCTATTTTATATAGATAGATCTATTTTATATAGATCTATCTATTTTATATAGATAGATCTATTTTATATAGATAGATCTATCTATTTTATATAGATAGATCTATTTTATATAGATAGATCTATCTATTTTATATAGATAGATCTATATATTTTATATATATATTTTATATAGATCTATATATTTTATATATATCTATATTTTATATAGATATATATATAAAATATATATATAAAACATGTATATAAAAATATATATCTATATAAAAAATATATATATTATTTCTCTGGAAGTCATGCCAGAGATGCAACATATCTCTTTTAGTTTGAGGAGTATGTTTTCATGAAGAATCAGGTGGCAAGCATAATTCTCCATTTTCACTGATGAGAAAGACATTTCTAAACAGTTATGGTGGATAATTTAGCAGTGAAATTTCCCTAGTTAACCATCCACCTGTCTGCCATCAACTTGTCACGTTTCATGAGCAGAGATTTGGTATTTTTTGTAAATGCAATTCTTATTCTGGCTATGACAAAATAATAAGGTAGATCAATGATCAACCTAGCATTTTTGGTTATCAAGACATTTAAATAGTATTTGTAGTATAACCCAATTGATTGTATGGCCACTAGTAAAAAATGGATGAAAAAAATCACTTTGAAAATTTGTGCTCTAAGCATGCACCTTTAGTTCTAGCTACTCGGGAGCCTGAGGTGGGAGGATCACTTGAGCCCTGGAGGTTGAGGCTGATGTGAGCTGTGATCATGCCACTGCACTCCAGCCTGGGCGACAGAGTGAGACCCTGTCTCAAAAAAAAAAAAAATGTGTGTGCTCTAAATTTTACAGTTTTGAATTACACTTCCACAAACCTGAATTTTAGAAATATATAAGTGCTATATTTCCCTTTTTTATATGAACATTTTAGTCTAGAATAGTGTAATGGGTAGTGAAAATTTTAACAAAAACTTACCAGGCAAAAAGTTCACCTTTCTTTAAATAGGAAAGCATCTGAAGTTCATATTTGTTGAGACTGTGAGTCTATCCTAACCCAACTGAGTTGGCATTCTGATGATGGAACCTGTACCCCTTTTAATATTAGCTGTAGCCTTAGGTTTGTATGGTTTATTCAAGGCATTAACTATAAGCCTTAGAAAAATATAGGCAGTGTTTCCATTATCAAATGTTTTAATATCAGATTATGACGTTTCATGGAATACCCATGGAGCTCAATTGGATATTAGCACAAAACAACTTTATTCTTTTCTCCAAATGCTCAGTGATTTATGCTCTGGAAGAAAATCTCAGAGTTCTCAACATGTTTCCAGTTACTCTCATATGGATAAAAGCCATCCACTCATATTAATTCCAGTTACTCTCATATTGATAAAAGCCATCCGCTCATATTAATTGTCTCATTTTAGTAATTGACATTTCCACTCCAAACTGTACTATTTCCCCTCTCAGATCTGGCCTACTTCAGGTCTAAAAGCTGGGGAATGGGCTGGGCTAGAAGGGAAGAGTGTATGGCTTGGGAGGCTTCAGGCTTCTTCTTTCTTCATCAGCTCCACATCCCCACTCAGTCAGCTGGCCTTAGTTTTGGAACCGTCTGGCATAAGGAGTGGAGCTAGGGGGTAGGAAAGATCTCAAATAAGTCTTAAGGTTGTAATCTCCTGTTTATATTCTCCAGGCTGGGCTTTAGGTGAGCTGAGGAACATTTCTCTCCCTTTGCCCAGTTGTGGGAGGAAACAGGGAAAATACCACAATACCCTCCAAAGAAAATGTCCCTCTGGCTTCCTTAATTCCAACTTTTATTTACACCATCTTGATATGCTGAAATGTTCTCACCTCCCAACTTGGAGTTTCCATTTTGTACTTTTAATATCAGAATGGGAATAAGCAAATTATAGTGTATTCATACAATGGACTATTTTCATGAAACAAAGCAAAAACAACCCATATAAAACAAAACAAAGCAAAAAAGAAAAACCCACACAACTGATACACACAAAATATGGACGAATTTTTAAAATATTAGTTTGAACAACAGAAGCCAAGCTAAGAGTGCACAAATAATATCAGTCCATTTGTATGAAGTTCTAAGTCAGGTGAAATTAAGACCTGATGATAGAAATCAGAACAGTGGTTGTCTCTGGCTGGGGGAGAAGATTGACTGGGAAGATTCATCCCTGAGATGATGAGATTGTTCCATATCTAGATTTGGATGGTTGTTACCTGGATGTATACATTTATCAAAACACATTAAATCTGGTATGTGTTTACACTGAGTGAAATTATACCTCAATAAATAATTTAAAAGAACTTAGATTTTATTGGATAGCTCTTGCAGAATATCAGCATGGAGAACATTAAAGACAATCACACCAAGGACACCGTAAAATTCTCCTCTCTCAAAGTTGTCTTATGTACTTGGCTTAGCATTTTAGCCGATCAAGATGGTTTAGAAATTCTATTCTCTCTTGTTTTTTTGATGTCTATTAACATTATTTTGTCTTCTCTTTAATCTACATCTTCAATATAAATGCTGAAAATCTTCCCCCCAACTCCTTACAGGTTGAGATCAGGTCATTCCATCAACATGCCTATACTGGTGCTCCTTAATAAGTCATGCTCATAAGCATATTAGCTCAGAATGAATTTGCCTCAAGTCACCTACGTGAATGCCACAAAACACTTTATCAAATACAGTATTGACTTCAAGATGCACTCCATTTTCATGATTCCTCTAACTTAAAAAATTACCAATATTTTCTAGATGTATTTTCTTTAATAAACTAAAAAATGTAAAATTGAGACATCTTTTCAAAACCATTCTGATATTTTTAATGCCATATACCTCTTTTATGTTTTTTATCTTTTTCATCATATTTTAGTTTTATGTTTATAAGTATATGCTATAGAGAACACTTGAAAGACTATAGCCCCTTGCCCTTTTCAGATAATATTAGATAAAATGGAAAGTGCCTCAAAGCTTCCAGTAATATGGCAGGCAGAGCTGATAAGGAAAGGCTTAGGCAGAGATACTGGACAAAATGTAGTAATCATCTTCAACACAGCTGAGCTTGAAAGAAAATAAAGAAAATCCCCTGATAGCACAAGTGAAGAGGAAACTGAACACCAGAGTACTAGGCAGGAGCTGATGTGATGGAAGCCCATGAGAGTATCAGGTCCTGGGGGTTGGAGACTGGGTTTTGATGCCCAGGCAGGAATAGGATATTTGTGCTTTAGCCTGCACATTTAAAGAATCTAGAATCGCATCCCATAAATAAAGCTACAAAGCCTCAAAAGGCTGCCCCAATAATGCAAAGTGGATAACTTCCTCTCCTAGTGTAAAATACAAAGAATATTGCTATCTGCCCTGGTATGTGGTATGAATAAAAGAGTTGTCTGTGAGAATGAAAACATCATGTAGAATGAGTTCTGAATTGATATAACCTGTATGGCCCAGAAACCTCAAGCTGAAAAGTTAAAACAAAAAGTGTAAGTGAGATGAATGAAAACCAAGTTCCAGTGGGAGAAAAAAAAATCTGTTCCAAAATCCAGAGTAACAAAGAACTCTCCCCTACTTCATGGCACCTCAAAAAGATAAAGTCACAACAAAAAAATTATACATAATTGTTGTTGTAGCAATATTGGTGAGCTTCCTAATAGGAACACTCTCCTGTTATAAAATTCCTAGAAACGCTGGACAAACTATAACAAGCTTTACTTTAAATGTGTAGTTGGCAAAAAAGAATGCAGGCAAAAAACAAAGAGGTCGTAGTAAACATGAAATAAATTTATGACCTGAAGTTACAACTTCCCTGTAGTGCATGCAATGGAGGTTATCAGTCTTAATGTCATCAAAGATTAGGTTTTAATATACGGAAACAGGAAATGTTTCCATTCACTTTGATTTCAAATGAGGAGAAAAGTTTGAACCGTGTCTTCTGGATAAACCTAGGAATTTGAAAGATCATATCCTTAATTTACTGAATTGTTTGTTGGCATGAAGCACGTGTCTCAATTCATATGCTCTGTTCGATATTGGAGTAGCTAGACGCCTAATAACAGCATTCCTCCAAATCCTCTGTGCATAGTATTCTGTCTTAGATTTGGCCAACGATATAGAATTATGAAAGATCTGAGGGTGGAAGAGAAGCTGAAGTTATCGTTCTTCCCCTGGTGGTCAAGCACAGATGTGTAAGCTGCAGATAACTAAGTTTTGCTGTTGCTTCTTGGTGTAATACTATGAACCACCCTCCAAGATTGTGCAGAAGTTGTGATCCTCTGAGGTGTTTTCTGAAGTAATTGACTTGGATGGTGCACTAAATTCTTATTCTCCTGAAACCAAGTGGTGAAACAGAGCTGTGTCAATTGTCTTTAAACTTCATATTTCCAAAACCTATGATGATTTACATGAATACTTCTTTACATTATTCCTAAAAGAAATACTTAGACTGAATCCTGACTGATAGACTTAGTTAAAGGGTGGCTAGGAAAAAATATTCTTAAATGGAGTGGGTAGACATCAAAGGAAGCTTGTCTGTCTTGGCTTAGACTTTCACTGGGGTAAAAATCTCCTGTGAAAATTTGTCATAATGGACCTGCACCTCAAGCAGATGGTCCAGGAGCCACAAAGTCAAAGATTTAACATTAAAGTGACCATAAACTAGTGAAACTCTTGGTGTACCTGGAAGAAGCACATAGAAATCCTCTTTGGAGGGATGTATACTCAGTACTCGGCACACAGATTTTTACCCATACAATGCCATTGAACTTGAACCCATAATCCAAAATTAGGAAACTCACAGGATAGCAATCCCCCATAACTGAGAATCACCGGTCATAAAAGCAGCAGAACTATACCCTCAAGAACTTTAGATAATAGAACCATTTGATTAAGATGGTAAAATAAGTATGTTTGAAATAATTAAAGACATAGAGAGATAAATGAAAGATAACTGCAAAGAATGGGCAAATTTGAAAAATAAACAAATGGATTTCTGAAAGGAACAATATAGCCAAGACAATTAAAAACCCAGTTCCTAGTTTTACAGCAGAGAGAACTAGCATGCACTAGAAAATAGCTTCAGAATGAAACAGAGAGGGTTAGAGATAGAGAAACAGGAAGATAATTAAGAGAAAATTAAGAGAATGAGAAGAACCAACACATATTAAGAGAATTAATTAATTATCATTAAGAGAATGAGAGGAACCAACACACATCTAATTGGAGTTCTAGAAAGAGGAAATGTGAGAGAATCAATTATTTGGCAAAAATAGTTGAGATGTTTTTCTATAACTGGTGAAGGAACTAATCCCCAGATTCTAGAAGCACAAATATATAAAGGAGGATTAAGAAAACTAAAAGCACATTGGGAGGCCGAGGAGGGCGGATCACGAGGTCAGGAGTTTGAGACCAGCCTAACCAACATGATGAAACTCCATCTCTACTAAAGATACAAAAATTAGCCAGGCGTGGTGGCGTGCACCTGTAATCCCAGCTACTCAGGAGGCTAAGGCAGGAGAATCGCTTGAACCTGGGAGGCGGAGGTTGCAGTGAGCAGAGATCGTGCCACTGCACTCCAGCCTGGGTGACAGAGCAAGACTCCATTGCAAAAAAACAAAAACAAAAACAAAAAACAACTAAAAGTACACCTAGACATACCATTGTGAAATTCCAGGACACAAAACACAATGAGATAATCTCTGAAGAAACCAACAAAAAAAAGATAGGTCCTATGTTTTAGAAAGTTTATGATTTAAGTATCAGACAAGTTACTTAAGCTTTATCCATAACCTGAGATGTCATTTTTTTAAACTTTATCATCTTTGGGTATTTTTGATGAGTCACTATAACATCACCATTGGTAAGCTGCCCATCCCCTTTGGCACTTACCATTCCCGTGGACTCAGATGTTTCCAAGTCCCTGTGACAATTTATCTATAAATACCCTTTATGCTATATACTCTTTTATGTATATAGCACATACCTATACATACACTATATATATAGTATATACTATGGTATATACATACGTACATAGTATACATATAGTATATATGTATATGTTTAACCTTCAGACTTGTGTAAGAAGAAAAGTTTCAATCTCTTACAGAATCAAAGCAAATGAACAGGTAGTTTTTCAATGTCAATGGGACTTTCAGACTCGATTCTAAATAAATTAAGTGACACTTGATACAGTGAACTGTTTCTAAGAGTGTCCTTTATAGAAATACAAACAATCCTACTTCAAGGGAAATAGATGTTCATTTCAAAATTGTGCTTTAAATATTTATGAAACCGATATGTTCTGTTTTATCAGGTTGTGATACAAAATAATTTGTCATGACTTCTTTATTTGTACTAACTTACTCCCAGCTGTGATGCCTCCTATTTACAAGAATGTCTTCCTTCCATCCCTACAGTCCTCACTTGACTATGATTCTAAGAACTTTAGTTTTGCTCATTTGGTCCAAGGGTCTAAGTTCTGACTTTTATTACCTTGAGCAAAACCCTGGAAATACTGTGCTTTTATTGTTGTCTTGGCCCAAGACTCTTCTATTGCTGCTGTTTTTGTCTCATGGTATTGCTGATAGGCAAACAGTCTGATGCAGTTCTCCTGTGTTGTGAAGACGAGACCAAGCTCACACTACAGGACTGGAAGCTTCTTTAGGTACAATGAGGAAGAAGGAAGTCTCCACTCTTCACCCCCACACAGATATGTCTAGATCTGAAGGTATTTCAATATCTGCCATGCACTGGAAATGGAATCAGCCTTCCTTACAACCTTGAAGAAGGGCATAGCTTATCCATGTTCAAGAAGTGTTACTCCTGACTTTCATGCTGCTTCCTGCTTCCTGGTTGAGCTGAATTCTATAACTGTGCTATCCCCACCAGCGAAGTGAGAAAGGAGGGAGAGAGAGGAAGTGCTGGGGTGGAGTTCACTGTGCCTTCCTTACATGAGGCTGGAAGAAACTAACTGATAACCCCACAAACCCACTGTCTTCTGCCTTTTTGAGCCTCAATGACTTGTCCCTAACCTTGACCCTAACCTACTCCAAACTTCTGTGGTCATAAGCATTGGTCATTCCTGATTGAGATGACTGGATATTTTAATATACAATGTCTTGCCAGTAGAAAATCACAGCTTAAAAAATGTTTTCTAAAATCTTTTTTTCTCATATCCGCAATCACTTTATTATGTTTGGAAGTAAACAAGTTTTAGAACAGCCATCTCTAAAATCAACTCTGGGGCTTTCTTTAAGTATATAGTTCTATTATTGCTAAACAGAATTTCAATGGGCAATTATAACAACTGATTACTTATTCAAATAGCCATGTTTCCTGGGCAAAATCACACAAATAAGTTGAGTGCTGATGCACCAGATTATAGGGCTTGGTGAACAATGCTGTGCACCTCTTTTCTTTCCAACTGCCTGGTACAGTTCTTGACACTGGAAAGGAACAAGACAGATATGCAGATCACAGTCTAAAATGGTGAGACAGGCAATAAATAAATAATTTCACACATGGTGAGAATGAAGAAAACAAAAGGGGGTTATGGGATAGGGTGACTAAGGGTAGGAATTTCTTTGGCTAGGAAAATCAGAAAAAGCCCAGAAAGCAGCCATGAAAGATCTTGAGGAAGAGAATGTATGCTTTACCAGGGAAAACATTTTTGTGTGTATAGTTCATATAAACTAGAATAGTGTCTGAAACATGTAAGAAATATTTGTAGACTGAATTAATAAGGGTTGTTTCAGGCAGAGGGAATAGCAAATACAAAAGCTCTGAGATAGAAATTTTAGTGCAGACGGAAAAGAGTGAAGGGAGAGTCAAAGGAGATGACTTTGGAGAGGCATATAGGGGATATCAAATTTTGTAGCAGCTATTGGTTATTGTAAAAAGTTTGAGATTTATTCTATTTATAATGAAAGCCCATTGAAGGTTGTTGAGCAGTGGAGTGATTTAATCAGGATTTTTAGTTTATGTACCCAGTTGCCAGGGGATTCTCCATAGAAACAGAACCCAGAGGAGACTTATATATAGTAAAAAATTGGCTATTATGACTTCTCAGCTATTATGGAGGCTGAGAAGTGCCAAGAACTGTAGTCAGCAGACTGGTGACCCAGGAGAGCTGATAGTGTAATTCCAGTCTGAGTCTGAAGGCCTAAGAACTGGGAGAGCTGATAGTATAAATTCCAGTCCAGAAGTTGGCAGGCTCAGGACCCAGGAAGAACCAATGTTTTGGTGGGAGTCTGAAGGCAGGAAAAAACAACAACAAAAAAAAAAAACAAAGTCCTAACTCAAGCACTCAGGCAGGAGGAGTTCCCTTGTATTTAAGAAAGGGTCAGCCTTTTTGTTCTATTCAGGTTTTCAACTGACTGGATGAGGGTGACCCATGTTAGGGAAGGCAATCTGCTTTACTCAGTCTACCAATTCAAATGTTAATCTCATCCCAAAACATCTTCACCCACAAACACAGAATAACATTAGATCAGATATCTAGGCACCCCATGGCCCAGTCAAGTTGACATATGAAATTAACCACCACAGATGACTTGGCATGAGAAAGGTGGGTAACAAGCTTGGAGGGCTTACTACATGCCTGGGCTCAGCCCTGCCATACAAGAGTTAGGCATCTTGACCTAACTCCACTCTCCCTAGAATTAGTAGAATTGGAGGATGCCCAAGGCATGAGTGGCTCAAGACCAGAAGTAAGGCTCGGGGGTGTAGGTGGTTCTCAGCAGTGAATACAGGAAAAAGATGTGACAAATATGGGAACAGGAAAGGGCTGAAAAAAATGCATTATCAGGTGATCATCTGCAAAAACAGCCAAAATAATGAATTGCATTAGGAAAGTGATCAATTAGAGGCATTGTGTTTGCATGTATTTCCTCGTTAGAGTTAAAGAATCAAAATTTGCTTTCAAGTAGACTCACATTATGTCAGTTTTTGGCCTTGCTTTGATCTTTTTAGAACGAAATCATTTGGGCTCATTGTTCAAAATGAGTATATTTTAGGAAAAAATTAATACAACCTTAAAGAGTCTCTTTGTTACATAACCTCAATGTATAAAGGTTTTCTTTCACAAATGAACAAATATACTTATGCAAAGTAGCTCTGCTGTGAAATAAAAATTTGATCAAAATATGATTTAAAAATATATATTTTTGGAAAGTTTGGATTTTAACTATTTTCCAAATATTTGTGTGTATTTCTTTGTATTTTATTTTGCTTTTTCCTCCGAAGTCCAGGATTTGCCCAGGCAAATTCTATTATTTTTGAATTGTTAGATGTGTAGGAAATGCTACATTTACAAGTTGGGAAAATCTGGCTGGAAATCACAAAGTTGTGAAGATACTTAAAGCAGAAAACACGATCACTTTAACAAAAGTACTCAAATAAACAGAGATGATACAGCTATTTTATTCTCATTTACTTCATACTTTTCTTCAGTTTTGATATGCTCATATAATAACCATTCTGTTCACTGTAGAATTAAAATCTGTTCCACTTAATGAACATTTATTGTGTTCCTGTACCTGATAACACAGCCTAAACTTACTGATATACAAGCATGGAGTGGTCTCAGTTGGCTCATAGCACCTATCATTGGCTCAGTAGCAGGCATTGGTATGAGTGGGGATGGGAGATATGGTAGGTTGCAGAATGGCTCCAATTCTTCTCCCTTCTCTGGATGCATGCCTTTTGCCATGCCAATCTGTAGTGCCTCCTTTCCGACTTTGGGCCAGACCAGTAAAATGAAGTGAAAGTGGCAGTGTGCTCATTCTGAGCCTAAGCCTTAAGGAGTCTCGAGTATTTATGCTTCTTTTCTGACAGCTCTGCTGTTGCACTGGAATATGCTTGGGCTTATCTGCTGGAGGATGAGAGGCACACAGAGCAGAGCAGAGCTGAGCAGCTTCAGTTGCCAGGCCAACAGTCAATTAGCCTCCAGACATGTGAATATTCGCAGACAAGGCCAGCAAATGAAGCTGGTTGGCCAGCCCTTAACTGACCCATACTTATGAGCAATAAACTTCTTGTTGCATGCTACCGAGGTTTGGTGGCTGCTGGTTACACAGCCTTATTATGGCCTGTGGCAGATGGAATAATGGTTACCCAAAGATGTCAACATCCTAATTACTGGCAATTATATTTACCTTACATGACAAAGGAGATTTTGCAAATGTGATTATGTTAAAAATCTTGAGATGGGGATATTATTCTGAATTATCTTGGTGGGATCAATTTAATCATGTGAGTCCTTAAAAGTAGAGAACCTTTCCCAGCTGGAGTGAGGGGAAAGGAGATGTGATATGGAAGAATGGTCAGAGAGATGCTGGCTTTGGAGAGGAAGGATACCAATAACCAAGGAATATGGGTGACCTCTAGAATCTAGAAAAGGCAAGGGAATGGATTCTTCCCTAGAACCTTCAGAAAGGAGTGCAGCCCTGGTGACATTTTGATTTTAGCCCAATGAGACTGTGTCAGACTTCTGACATCCAGAACTGTGAGATAATAAATCTTCATTGTTTAAGCCACTGTTTATAATAATTTATTATAGGATCAGTAGAAAATTATGTATGACCATAGATAGCTGGCACAAGAAAAAAATTAACAGATTTTCTCTCTCTTCTGGTTTAAATATTCTTTTTTATATGACTTGATCCATGTTCTCTAATACTCACTGAATCCAAATTTTAACTCCTCGTTGAAGCTGTTGTTTTCCTTCTTATCCTTCTTTCCCAGTTTTGGTTGGATGGGGAAGCTTGTGGTCCTTTTAGTGTTAGGAGTGAGTGGTAGATGGCCGAGACTATTTCCATTGTTGGGTTGGTCTTGTCTGGATGGGGTTTGGCTGTTATCCTCTGAGGTATACTTGCTATGGTCCTGGCTCTGGCTGCCCTCTGGTATTCACTGCTGTAGTCCATGGCTTGTAGATCTTATAGTTTGTTTTCTCATTACAATTAGCCATCTCTCTTTGCTTCCTGGGTCCCACCTTAATTCTCTCTGGCTTTGTGTAACCTCCAAGGTTTGACTCACTCTTCTGACCAGCTATTTCCTGAATGACCTTTCTTGTATCCCTCAGATATTGGGCTACTTTTCCTTCCACAGAGACCCTCTGTGGCAAGCTACCCAGTAGATTCTCAAGCTTCATTCTCATCATCCTTTGGAACATGTGAAAACTTTTAGATCCACTCCACATATGGGCAGTTAGGTGTTACCCAAGAATATCACATCAGGACTTCTCTACCAAGTATGCTTCTCCCCACTTGCCTGCCATCTCAGAAGTTACCAATTAGGAGTGCACTTTGAAACCACTCATATTTCAACTTCTTTCTCAGACCATGTAACAGACCTCTCCACTACAAGGATTCAATCCATAGCAGAGGGGTCAAGACACACATTCTCACTCTTTCATTTCAGTTCCCCTACTTCCCTCTTCCTCACATTCCTCCAGGGCAGAAGGGGTGGACTTTCCCCTTCTTTCTGTCTGAGGGAGATTCCCACTGCATCCAGCCTCCTCCTAAAAAAGGTAGTATTTCCCTTGTCTCAATAACTGGATTCACAGTGGCAAGTGGGATGTATGGAGAAAAACAGTGTTACTATTAATGCAATTCAAAAATATATTTCCTGTTACATGCCTATTACATGCCAGGCACTAAGCTAGGTACATCAATATGAAGTATAATATTCTCCAAAAAGATACTTCTGCTTAGAAAAAGATGTGAAGAGTGTGTGTGTGTGTGCATGTGTATTTTCATGTTGCTGAAGTTTTGTCTGGTGTAACAAAAAGAAAATTACTTATGCAATGATTTTTGAGTAAAGAACAGGGGAGAGACTTTTAAAAATGGCATATAAGACTGGATGATCAGAGGATTCTGGGAAGATAGCTGAGTAAAAAGGACCAGGAATCTGTTTTCCCACCAAGACGACAATTGTACTGGCAGAATATGTCCAATGTACCATTTTTTAACTTTGGAGGCTAATGAAAGCTTGCAACTTCCAGGGGAAGGCTTGGATTGCAAATTATGATTAATTTCAGTCAATTTCAGCCCTTAGCACAGCAGCAGATACCCCCACCCCCAGCTCCACGAGAAGCAACTGTGCTTGCGCTCCTAGAGCAGCTTACAGTTTTCAGGAGACAGAGTGGGCAAAAAGGATCCTGTCCTCCAAATATCTGTAACCTGTGATCTGACTGCTGATTGTTTCTTCTGATCACAGAGGTGCAGACAAAGAGGTGCTGTCCATGGTTGTTGCACCTCTCTCCATTGCTGCAAGCCCCTCCCACTCTGGCTGAAATGACTTCCAAGTGATTTAAAGGGCCAGTACCCTTTCTCCCTTTATTTTTCTTTCTTCCCCTTTTGGGAGTCAGACATCAAAGACTAGGACATTCAAAAGCAATCACGTGTACAGGGAGAATTAGAAAGTCATTGTGCATGCACAGGGAAAGGCACAACTTCAAAAAAGACCTGAGAAGACCTTAAGTTTACATCTCAGGCTGATCCTTGGCACAGGGGCAGCCTATAACAATAAAAACAAAACAAGAGAACAGCAACAACAAATCAAACCCTGGGATAGAAGAATCTGATATGCAGAGTTATCATAATATTGGATTAAAATGTAGTTTTCAACAAAAAGTTACAAAGCAGACAAAGAAACAAGAAAGTATGGTTCGTCATTCAAAAGAAAAAACAACCCAAACCAACAGAAGCTGTCCCTGAAAAAGACCTAATGGCGGACCTACTAGACAAAGATTTTGAAAACAACTGTCTTAAAGATACTCAAAGAACTAAAGGAAAACGTGGAGAAAGTGAAGAAAAAAATGTATTAACAAAACGTAAATATCAATACAAAGACAGAAAACCTAAAAAGAAAGGAAAAAATTCTAGAGCTGAAAAATATAATAGCTGAAATTAAAAATTCACTAGTGGGATTCAAAGGCAGATTTGAGCAGGCAGAAGAAAGAATAAATGAACTTGAAGATAGAACAATAGAAATTATTGAGCCTCAGAAACAGAAAAAAGATTGAAGCAAAGTGAACAGAGTGTAAGTGACCTGTGGTACACTATCAAGTGGACCAACATGCATATTTTCAGTTTCAAAAGAAGAGAGAAAGAGGCAGAGAGAATATTTAAGTAATTATTGTCTGAAAACTCCTTAAATTTGATGAAAAATATTAACATAAACATCCAAGAAGCTCAACAAACTCCAAGTAGAATGAATTCAGAGACCCACACCAAAACACATTATAATCAAACTGTCAAAAATCAAATACAAAGAGAGAATCTTGAAAACAGCAAGAGAGAAGTGACTCATCATATACAAGTGATCCTCAATAAAATTATCAGCAGATTTCTCATCAGAAACTTTGGAGGCTAGAAAGCAACCAGATGATATATTCAAAGTGCGAAAAGAAAAACCTTCCAACTAAGAATTCCATATGCAGCCAAACTGTCCTTCAAGATTAAAAGATAAATTAAGATATTCCCAGATAAACAAAAGCTGAGGGAGTTTGTTACCACTAGACTTTCCCTGGAAAAAATGCTAAGGGGTATCCTTCAGGTTGAAATGAAAGAACACCAGACAGCAACTTGAAGCTGTCTGAAGAAATAATGATCTCAGTAAAGGTAAATACATGGGCAATTATGAAAGCTAGACTATTGTAAATGTGGTTTGTAACCCTGCTTATTATTTCCTACATGATTTAAGGGAGTAATACATTCAGAAGCAATAATTAATTTAAAAGATAGAATAATTATAACTTTGGTTTATAACTCCATATTTTGTTTTCTATATAATTTAAAAGGTCAATGTATTAAAAAGTATTAGTTTATGTTTTTGGACACACAACGTATAAAGATGTAATTTTGTGATGTCAATAACTGAAAGGAGTGGGGATTGAGATGTAAAGAAGCAGCATTTTTGTGTGTTATTGAAGTTAACCTGGTATAAATTCAAATTATAGTGTATAACTTAAGGATTTTAAACGTAATCTTCATGAAAACTACAAAGAAAATAGAAAATATACAAAAGGAAATGAGAAAGCTATTGAAATATTTAAACTCAAAAATTAACTAAACATGAAAGCTAGTAACGCAGGAAGTGGGAAATAAAAAAGCTATAAGGCACATAGAAATCAAATAGCAAAATGGCAGAAGTAAGTTCCTCCTTATCCATCAGCCTTATCAAGGAAGGAAATTCTGACATATACTACAACATGGGTGAACTTTGAGGACACTATGCTAGATTAAATAAGCAAGTTCCAAAAAGACAAATACTGTATGATTCCATTAATATGGGGTCCTTAGAGCAGTCAAAATCATAGAGACAGAAGGTAGAATGGTGGTTGCCAGAGGCTGGTGGGAAGGGGGTAGTGGGAAGTTATTGTTTAATGGGTATAGAGTTTCAGTTTTGCAAGATAAAAAAGTTATGCAGATGGATTGCTGGTGATGGTTGTATAACAATATGAATATACATAATACCAATGAACTGTACACTTGAAAATGGTTAAGATGATACATTTTGTTATGCATATTTTACCACAATAAGGAAGTGAAAAAAAACTGGGTGATGGATTACTTGAATCTGAAAAAAAATAAAGATTGTTCTACCAATAGACAACTGTTGTCAAAATTATGAACTTTTATAGAATGCATTTTGGTTCTGAAGCATAAGACAAATCATTTGTACTAAAACCAGGAATGGTATGAATGGAGAAGTCTTTGCTAAACAGTAATTCTTAAAAAATAATCCTTTCTGCGTCTAATAATATCAGATATAGGGCTTCAACTTGGTGAGATCTTTAATAACCTCAGATTTGGTATAAATGGAAAGTAATTGTCTTGACTTGTTGGAAAAACTCCCAAGTCAGATTTTCGGCTTCATCCTGGTACTTGCTATAAAAAAACCCCATACATTAAAAAATCTCATCCCGGGCAACATAGGGAGACCCCACCTCTACCAAAATTTTTAAAATTATCTGAGCATGGTAGCACATACCTGTGGCCCCAGCTACTCAGGAGGCTGAGGTGGGAGGATCACTTGAGCCTGTGAGGTTGAGGCTGCAGTGAGTTATGATTATGCCACTGTGCTCCAGCCTGGGCAACAGAGTGAAACTGTCTCAAAAAAAAAAAAAAAATCCCATGGGAGAGTGAACAATAAAAATCCACAAGTGACATTAAACGTGGTGCATGTAAGAGCAATTTGTTCATCAGAGCGAGCTGTTGTAGTTTGGGTTCTCTGGAAGAGACCCTCAAACAAGGATTCCTGTACACATGATAAAAGGAAGTGTTTCTGGGGGTGATTAACAGGGAAATGGGAGAAGAAAGGAAGAGGAGGAGAGGATGCTACACAAGCTTGCAATCTTAACAAAACTTCCTGAAAGTTAGCTTCAGTCTGATCCTGCAGGAGAGCCCTGGAGTGTAAATTATGTTCCAGATTTTGCCTCAACTTGGAGGAAAGGAGGTAGGCTTTCATACTCCAGCATCCTATCAACCATTTTGCAGGCCTGTCAGGGAGCAGGGCAGTTGGTGGGTAACATCAATCCTAGATGTTTCTGGCTCTTCACAGTTGCCTGTGGGGATGCAAATCCAGTTGCCTGTGGGGCATCCTCTAAAGAGAGCCAGAGGTACAGGTGTTAGAAACAAAGGCACACAGAAACCAGAGAAAGTATCCACTGAAATGGCAAAAGGGATCAGAAGGTATCTGGGTGGAGCACTGAGAGTGTCCTCAACACATGTCAACTAGACTAATATGAAGTTTTATGATGAGGAAAGACTAAGCTTCCCCAACATATTTTTACTGTTCCCTGGTTTCCTTCCACAAGTAAAAGGTAACCATAAAGCTATAGAGGATTTTGAAGCAATCAGTATCAGCTCAGTAACAGCTGATATACTATTTTGATGCTGCTTAAACTCCAAGTTATATTAACATCTTTCCCCATTCTAAGAAACTTGCTGTGTTCAGAGCTAAGCTATCACTATCAAGCTCAAATACTTTTTGATTTCAGCAATCTTACTTTGCCAAAGATGGCACCATCTGTCATGACAGAAAACCAAGGACATCCCTTTCACTGACCCTCCAATTGCCTAATGTTACCAGCATAGGCTCCTTTGCCTGGCTTCTGAGGTCTTCTGTAATCTGACTCCACTTTACCTTGTCCAAATTTGTACTTTCTTACCTTCCTCCTCTTGCCTGGTTGACTCTCAACTGTCCACATTGCATAACATGCTCACACCTGCTTTGTTCCTTTATCCTTGCAGTTTCTGCTACCTGGATTACCCCTTCACTCTTTTTCACTTGTGCAAATTTCATTCACTGTTCAGAGTTCAGCCCTAGTTACTCCTTCCTGATCACCCCTTTCTGGACAACTTCAGGCCTCATTGCAGTCCTTCTTCTTTAAACTTGTATGGGTATTTATCACTGGAGCATTTTGCATGCCTTTATATTGGCTTTATCTATTTACTATGCAAGTGTTCCGTGAGTTATGCTCACCTTCAGTGTTACAGTTTGGCCCAGTTCAGTTGTTTTCAGCCCTGGCTACATTTTTGGAAAAGTTTAAAAAATGCTGACGCCTGGATTCCACCAAAACCAATTGTATTATACCTCTGGAGGTAAGGCCCTGCATATCATTTTTTTTAAGAACCCACTAATGTACCATGAGAGTTGAGAATTTGATCTGAGATACAACTGAATAAAATCACTGTTGTAAGTAATCACCCCTAGAAGACAAACAGATTCTTATATTGTGACAATGGGAAAAATCCAACACTGGAAAGAGAAACTCATTAGCATAAAATGTCACTTCTGGTTACAGGATTTCCTAGTGAAGGTGACTAAATTTTGCTCAGGGTTCACGGGATGCCAAGATCAGCTAAGCCCTCGAAGAGAGCAGCATTCTAAACCATTTTACAACCATCCTACTACAAGCCCTGCAGGCATTGACACACAATCCTTAGCTAAACAAAACAACAAAAAATGAGAAGGAAATACCCATCTACTTCCACAACTTTCAGATTCCTGTGTTTGGCCTTCTAAGCATCGTTTTTACTAGCAATAACTCACGGTGGTACTATAGACCTGATTTTCATCAGGTTCCCTGGAATAAATCTCTCTGGGTATCTCAAGCAGAAAGAAATGTAACGCAGATAATTAGTTATTTACCAAACTATTGGAAAAATTTGAGATATCAAAATAAGAGGCCTCCTTTAGGCTGACTTCAAGGTCATCTACCAATTTGACTGTCATGCAGAGACCAGGCAACTACTACAGGGATTGTGAAATCCATGCAGCATCATCCTGTTGGGCCAGACTTTTATGCCCAAAGGACCATAGAAGACAATGGCCTCTAACTCCCTCCTGCTTTTCATATTGCCTATGAGTGTATGTAGTTGGCAGAACCTATATCACATCTGGAATTGTAGTGTCAAGGGAGTTTGGTAAATGTAGCTTTTAGATTTCCAGTCTTTTAGGTACTGTGGGTCGATAAAGATACTGAATGCCAAAAGACAGTATCCTGCATACATTCCTCAGCAACTGTAGAGCTGTTGCTGAAAAATAATAATGTTTCACGTCAATGGTGTTGCCTTGTGTCTGGGTTACAAAGATGAAAAAGACTTGGGTCTTGAAATGGTAAGTTCTTTTATAGCTAATACTTATATCTCAGGTTCCATCTGTGTCCTATAGCTCCTTGGAGGGTTTGCCTTGTTATGCCAATCACTCCCTAAGCCTTTCTTAAATTAGATGGACTCATGCCAGTAGTGCGTGCTTGGGATCATCACTTAACCTTCCTGAGCAAGTAAAATTGATGCATGAAAAGTTGGTATCCCTTTGGCAGCAGTTAAGCACTGCTTTTCCAAAGACAACTCAAAGGGTAGGACAAATCTTAAACACATAAATTGTTCGATACAAGGAGCTTTGAAAGTTTCCGGTTCTTAGTACATATGGAACACTTAGATTTTTAAGGTTTTTTTAATTGTTTTAGACAAAAACAGTGGGAAAAATGACAGTTTGAAATGTCAGTGCTAATATATAATAATATATCCTGAGAAGTTAAGATTGGCCTTTATCTTGCTTGTCTGTTCAGGCTGAAATTTAAACATCCATGGAAAATTTCTAATTAAGGGAGCTGTATAATTTGGGGTAAATTAATAACTTCTGTAAGCCTCAATCTCCTCAAGTGTGAAGTAGGGAACATCACACATTTGTTAGAATTAAATAAGGAAATGCCTCTCAAATTTCTTCATTAATGTTCCCCTAATGGCAGAGAAAGTGTAAGTGTACCTATAGAAAGTTCAAATCTTTTTTGAAGACTTTTGTTTCACCATAAGCTTTTAAATGAATTCTACATTCAAATCCACATTATATTCATGACAGTTTTATTATAGAAATATCTTAGAAGATTTTTAATAATGTGAAATTGACATTGTTAAGAGAATATGCCAGTTTTATCCTATGACTTCCAGTATGTTCTAGCATGCTCTTCTGAAAACCAAGGCTATAATTGAAAGGTTTGCCAGTAAGTTCATATAGGAGACCCCTAATAACTCTTAGATGAAATTTGAAGAAGTTTTTAGACATAAGGAATTTATAGTATAAACATGGAAGAGTAGGTAGCACTTTTGAGCTTCTGAGGGTAATTGTTTCTGTCTTGATTTTACAACTCTTCAAAATAATTTCATTCTTTTGGATATGTTGAGATGTGCCTCTTTCCTTTCCTTGTCCCATCCATTTACAGATTCTGAAAATTCTGACGTCTGCTCTGTCTAGCTACTTAATCAGTCCAGACTTAGACTACCTTTATGCCTTTATATAATATATATGGACTGTAGCCCAAATGCCCAAGTACCACAAAGGTATGCAAATTATCTCCTCCCTGCCCCGCCACCATACTGCCAACCAGCATCAGAATGGAGCTTCCTCTCTGTTTCCCTGAATGCATTCCATATTCTCCACTGGGTCAGGAGAACTTTCCTAATTAATAAGCTCTTCTACTGGGATGCATCATGGGAGCACAAAAACAAATTTAATTTCCCTTGCAAATGTGCTGGTCCTGTTCTGCTCTCCATGTGCTGACTAGCCAGATGCATAGGGTCTGTATATTTATCAGTCTCCAGTAAACACCTACTTAGAGTTTCTCAGTCTGTTAATCTTTCCCCTCCTAGATGCCTTTTGTTTCACCTACCATCTCTTCCCCCCTTTTTTTCCAACCAAGGTGTTCTAAGATTAGACATATATTTCTATTTTAGCATTGACCACATCATATTGGTGATTGTTATGTACTGTCTATCTCCATTGCTGGCCTGTGAACTTCATGAGGGAAGCCCTGTCTTAGTGATTATGGCATCTCCAGTGCCTGCAAAATATGGGTGACTAAATGTTGATTTAGGGAATGAATGAATAAGTAGCAGCCCAGATCATAAATAGAAGCACAATTCAAATAGCTGAAATGCATTAGTACCATCGAATGTGTTTTCCTTCCTTGTGAAATCCTTGTGAAAAACAACATGAAGAACCGAAAGAAATCTTTACATGAAGGTACTTCATTTGCAAATGAAACATATATAGGGCATTGGCCTAATAACTTAAATCTGCTTTCCTGGGAGGGCTATTTCTGAGTCAAACACATTAGGAAGATGACCACACTCACCTCCCTCCCCAATTCTTGTTAGAAATATTACGGAAATTAGAGTCTGCATGCCTGAAAGTCAGTAACGTGTAGCTTGAGTTTGTGAATTGGCATTGTGTCTATGCTGTCAGTTAATTATTTTGAAGTTAGTAGATTAATTAATGGTTAATGATTATGTGTGAATGATGCACAAGCCTCTTTTTCCAATATTAAATTTAATAATTAATAATTTCATATTATTTATGAGTCAAAGGCAGTCTTATGGAACCTCCTTTCTCAAGAAAATGTAAAACAATTCCATTTTTAATTTAGCACTGAGATTGCTCTTTCTTTGTCATAGTAATTATGGGCTTTTCTGCCAGGGTCCCATTTTTGCTTCTACTTTACAACATGGTCATGGCTGAATAGCTTTAATCAGGCACCAATTAGTCCCAACTCTATAACTCATTTAGGCTGGGTCTTTGGTGGTTGTGCTTTCTCCTTTCAAACTGGGAGGGAAATATTAGAAAAGTAAGAGCAAACGATCTCAATCCCTGTTGAATAATTTGTAAAGAGATATTTCTGTAACCTGCCCAATAAACTGGTTATCATATTAAACTCATTTTTAGCAGCTTATATTCACTTAAGCATTGCACCAGATGGTGGCTGTCAAAATGTTTCTTATAATTAGCATCAGTAAACTTCTCTCGGGCCTTTGAAATTCATTGCAAATCACATGTTGTCTATAATCATAAGATTGGAAATGTTATTAATATCCTGCTCAGTATTTTGCTACAGTAGTTTTTGTAAAACTGCATGGATCAATAGAGCCAACTTTTCTGTACTGTGCTGTCTCAAAGGCAGTTAAGTGGTAAATGTATCTATATCTAGATGTACAAATTGATTTGATCATTTTCATAGGGTTCAGTAATCAACTCTCAAAAATAAAGACCAGCCAAACCATTTATTTAGTTGAGCCTACAAATGTTCTGTTAATATTAACATATCTAGCAAAATAACCATTTTGAATCACATCATATTCCACTGAACTTGGTGTCTCAGTTATTGAATTAGTCAGATCTCTTTTGGTTGAAAATGACAGAACCCCTACTTGAACTTGTTTATGAAGAGGAAACGGGATTGAAATGAGAGTACATTTCATATGTTCTTACCACAAAATATGATTCATATTTGAGGTGATGAATATATTAATTAGCTTGATTCAAAAATTCCACATTGTATTCAGAAATCATAATATCATTTTGTACCCCATAAATATATACAACTATAATTTGTCATTTTACAATTCAAAATTAAAAGAAATGGGAGCCGAACCGGACGGCGGCGGCGGTGGCGGGAGGCTGCAGCGCGCGGGGGTCTCCCGCGTCCCCTCCGCCTCGCCCGGAGCTAGCGCCTTCGCTCAGCCGAGCTCCCACCCCACCCCCTTTTTTCCGAAGGCGCTGGGCGGCGCCACCCTCCGGCCGGAGCCAGGCACTGCCCAACCCCCTCCGACTTTCAATGTTCCACACTCCCCGGCCAGGCCAGAGCCTCCTCAGCTTCTTTTTGTCTCTCCCCCCTCCCCTCCCCCAACAGCTGCGTCCATTTCCTTAAGGAAGGGTTTTTTTTTCTCTCTCCCTCCCTCACACCGTAGCGGCGCGCGAGCGGGCCGGGCGGGTGGCCGGCCGAGTTTTCCAAGAGTTAGCTTCACCAAGATGTCCAGTGATAGGCAAAGGTCCGATGATGAGAGCCCCAGCACCAGCAGTGGCAGTTCAGATGCGGACCAGCGAGACCCAGCCGCTCCAGAGCCTGAAGAACAAGAGGAAAGAAAACCTTCTGCCACCCAGCAGAAGAAAAACACCAAACTCTCTAGCAAAACCACTGCTAAGTTATCCACTAGTGCTAAAAAAATTCAGAAGGAGCTAGCTGAAATAACCCTTGATCCTCCTCCTAATTGCAGTGCTGGGCCTAAAGGAGATAACATTTGTGAATGGAGATCAACTATACTTGGTCCACTGGGTTCTGTATATGAAGGTGGTGTGTTTTTTCTGGATATCACATTTTCATCAGATTATCCATTTAAGCCACCAAAGGTTACTTTCCGCACCAGAATCGATCACTGCAACATCAACAGTCAGGGAGTCATCTGTCTGGACATCCTTAAAGACAACTGGAGTCCCGCTTTGACTGTTTCAAAGGTTTTGCTGTCTATTTGTTCCCTTTTAATGGACTGCAACCCTGTGGATCCTCTGGTTGGAAGCATAGCCACTCAGTATTTGACCAACAGAGCAGAACACGACAGGATAGCCAGACAGAGGACCAAGAGATACGCAACGTAATTCACATAATTTGTATGCAGTGTGAAGGAGCAGAAGGCATCTTCTCACTGTGCTGCAAATCTTTATAGTCTTTACAATACGGACTTCTGTGTATATGTTATACTGATTCTACTCTGCTTTTATCCTTTGGAGCCTGGGAGACTCCCCAAAAAGGTAAATGCTATCAAGAGTAGAACTTTGTAGCTGTAGATTAGTTATGTTGAAAACGCCTACTTGCAAGTCTTGCTTCTTTGGGATATCAAAATGTATTTTGTGATGTACTAAGGATACTGGTCCTGAAGTCTACCAAATATTATAGTGCGTTTTAGCCTAATGCATTATCTGTATGAACTTATAAAAGTAGCTGTAGATGACTAGGAATTATGTCATTTGTATTAAACCCAGATCAATTTCTGAGTATGTGGTTCATGCTGTTGTGAAAAATGTTTTACCTTTTACCTTTGTCAGTTTGTAATGAGAGGATTTCCTTTTACCCTTTGTAGCTCAGAGAGCACCGGATGTATCATCTCAAACACAATAAACATGCTCCTGAAGGCATAGTTTCCTGTCGTAATATTTTAAGTCGGTCTTGTTAGAAGGTGTGTCTGAGATGACTGTTGATGAAATAAAAATGTGGCTATGAAGATTACTAAAGACTAGCACAAATAAACCAATTCTTGAATTGAAAACATTTTTAAAAAATTAAAGACATGGCACTGGGAATCTTAGTAACCAAACTTCTGAGGTGTACTGAAGGGTCCCAGGGATTATTAAGGACAGAAACTTGCTTGAAGAGCATCTAAGTTTGTGTTTTTAGTGCTCCTTAGAGAAACAAGTAAGGGAGCATGAGAAGCATGACAGAAAAGGGTACGAAGCCAAGCAAGAGGCTGTTCCAAGCCAAGTCTCAGCGTCAACCAAATCCTACAAGGGAGTTCTGAAGTGTAAATTATAACTCAGAGTTTGCTCCAACCAGAGGCAAGGGAGTTTGGTTTTCATACACCTGCACCAGTTAGTTAAACCCCACTCTCACCTGGGGAAACATAACCCCCAAGCACTTCTCTCTCCACCTATCAGGGCAAAGAGCTCTAGTAGCCCCAAAGATGACATCCTAAAAGAATCACAGGTATGGACCATTAGAGACAAAGCACACAGAAGCTGGGGAAGGAGTACGCAGGATGATTAAAGGGATTATCAGAGGGCTCATGGTGGGATGCTGAGAGTGTCCATGACAAACCCTATTTAAATTATTTTTTGACCTTTTCTCTGCCTGTTGTCTTTACCTTTTCCCCAAAATACTAGCTTCCTCCATGAGCCAGGGAACATGGTTGTCAATTACTCTTAAGTATCACATCCTGCAGGTTTCACCACCAAATTGGAAGCTTTGTACTCAGTGCCAGTTAGGAAAGTCATGAGGAAAGAAGAACTTGTATTGGCCTGGCTTGAATACAGTGCTCACTTTTGAACCAATCTAGCCTTGGGGACAGGGTGATATAAAAACATGGTGGCCCTACAAGAGCTACATTTGAAGTAAAGTAAGAAGCAGTTTCTAAAAGAAGAAGGGCTGTGATATTGCTAGAAGAAGGTAGATATGCTGATGAGACTAAAAAGAAACCAAACCCACTTGGTTGGAGAATGGGGTTGTCATGGTGAGAGTTACGTGTTCAGTCCTTATAGGACTTGTCAGTGCTCTACATAGAGAACCTAGTTAAGATTGCATCCTTACTATAAGTGGGTCTGCAGGTGCCAGTTTCTGGTCACAAAAAAAATATGCATATGAAAGAAGAAATTGCATATTATTTGCAGAAAAAATCTCAAATGGACACCCTGTTGGGGTACATACAAACATGAATTCAGTCTTCATTAATTTAGTCTATTGGATCCTTATGCATGGATTTCCTTGTTAAATACAAAAGGGATTTTCAATGTAGGAAATATACAGCTGGAGGGGGACTGGACCATTTAGATTACCTCAATTTATTCTCTTAGCCTGAGTTTTCTTTGTGAGGCTACAGATGCTTAATAACTGTTTAATCCAACTAGAGGCTCTTCTCTCTAGTATCTTAGAGGTGAGATACCTACATTTATTTCTTCAGTTTAAAGAGATGCTGTCTTTGCTCATTTAACACCACTTTCAACCTATGTCTCTGCTTCTGTTTATCAAGAATTTTTAGTGTAACATGCTCTGATATTAACATAGTCTTGCATGAATATTGCAATGTGCAGAGGGACAGTGTTGTTATCACGTATCAGCAGTTGGTGTTTATTGGTGATAAATGAGTTTCGTTCCCATTGAGAGCAATATCCCTGGTTTTTACTCTATTATCTAGGTAGAGATGAAAGATATAATATATCCTTAAAGCGGTATTCATACAGTTATCCAGTTAATGAGGCATTAAGGGAAGGGGTTGTGGAGAGACACACACACAGAAGGGGGAAGAGCGGCGGAGAGAGACACACACAAAGAGAGACACTCAGGTACAGAGACACACAGAGACAGAGAGGAAAGGAGAGACATGTAGAGAGGCAGAGAGAGAGAAGCAAGGAAAGAGAGAACACAAAAGAGAAGCAGAATCTGAAAATACTGTGAATCCTGTGCAGTATATCTCCAGGGTTTTGCTGTCCTATAATTTGTAAGAAAATATTATCAGACTGGGTAAAGTGGTGAATCATTAGTATTTATGATGAACAAATTTCCAAGATTGTATTTCATGGTAAGCTGGGTGCTTCTTTTGCTGTTTGGAGTTAGTCTCCCTAGTGCTGACAGCAGAGGCTTAATTCAATGAGTAAATTCATACCTACATGTTGGCGGAGGCACCACTTTGTTTACCTCTGTCGAACATTGAATCAAGGGAGTTAAGTGGAAACAGTTCATCGGCCCGGGCATTCGGATCCACTATGTGCAGGGCAGAGAAGTTTCACCTGTTGAAAGAATAAGTTCAGGGAAGATGGACTTTGAAAGCTGGCTATTAGGAGTTGCTATGTGGACCTTGGGGCTCATTTTAGGAGCTGCACTAATTCAGGTCAATTCAACAAACATTTCTTGAGCATATGCCATATGTCAGATCTTATGCTAGGCACTGGGGATTCCAAGATAAATCATAGTGCCTGTCCTCAGCCATGTAAATAGATTATTTCTAATCATTGTGGTACATGCTGTGGTGGAACTGAACTCATGATGCGTGGAAATACAAAAGAGAGTTACCTCATGCCTTTCAGATGGTAAGCGTGGGCCAGGAACATTTGTACGTATGAAATATGGCAAAGATAAGGAGGTTAACTGGCTAGGATGGACTACATGGACACCACAAATCCAACAACTGAGTTTTCTGGCCTGAAGATTAGATCCTGTATGGTTATCCTTAGTTGCTATTTATTAAATGCTGGCCAACAATTGCTATCCTAATGCTGGTCAAATTAATGCTTATCCTTAATGTTTATCATTAATACCAGTTGACAATGATTATCCTAGGGTTGCTCGGCATAATGCTTATCCTTAATACTGGTTCACAATGGTTATCCTAATGCTGGTTATCATAAGGCTTATCCTTAATAGGAATAATAAGGATAATGCTTTTCCTTAATAAGGATAGTAAGGGTAATGCTTATCCTTAATAAGCAAGTCAACAGTGGTTATCCTTAATGCTGGTCAATAGAATGCTTATGCTTATTGTTAGCCTAAGTGCTGGTCAAAAATGGTTGTCTTTAATGGGGGTAAATGAAGGCTATCAATACTGGTCAATAATGTCTATACTTAATGGTCATCTTTAATGCTGATCAACAACTATTTAGGTCTTTCTTTGTTTTCTGGTCACATGGTAGGAGGGCACTCTGTGGCCCCCTTAGAGATGGGTAGTCTCACTTGATTAGTTATGGCAAAGCATTGCGACTATAGGTGATGTGTGTCACTTTGAGACTGGAACATTTAATCCCAGGGGTAAGAGCCTCCAAGCCTCTCTTTTCTTCTTGGATAGTGACCAGCAACATCTGCAGTGACAGTTGCTCCATCAGCTTGAGTGTTATGAGCAGACCAGTCCAGTAGCCCTGCAATGGATATGTAGCATGAATGAGAAATAAATGTTTGTATTTAAGCAATTGAGATGTGAGTGCGATTTGTTCCTGCAGAAGAACATAAACTAACTTGACTGGCTCTCAGCCTCAGTTGCACACTGGACTCACCAAAGGAGCTTTGAAAAGATGCCTATGTCTGTGTTTGGCTGAAAATCAGCTGGATTAGAATCCAAAGGTGCGAGTCCTGAATATTATTATTTTTGAAATTGAATTTTAAAAATTCAACTATGGAATGACTAGAATGTAAGCTTCATGAGGGCAAGGATGTGGTATTAATTACTGCTCTATACTCTCATGGCATACGCTAAATAAATACTTGTTAAATGAGTGAATAAACACTATCATGCCTAGTTTATTGAGTTTCCTACACTAGGATTTGTATCCTGCTTCCTATGTCATATACTCAAACCATACCCATTACCTGGGGTCGTCTTCTTAAAGAATGCTTGAGAAGAGGACCCCAGGTTGCTTTGTCTACCTTCCAGTACCTCGACTTCTGTATATGTGTCAGCCCACCTCTGTTTTGAGTCTGTCTGTTGTAACTCCTGAAACACTGATCATTAATATGTCCAAAGGTGTCCACAAAGGCCATTAGTCATTTCCTTAGCCCCATTGCCTATATCCTGCATGCTCCTGGCTTCTCTCTCTTCCCATAGACTCAGATCATACATTGTTTCTTAGTTATAATTCAAGGAACTTGCATAGTTATATTCTTGTCTTTAATACTCATTATTGTGATAATACTTTGTATTTCTTTAGTAGTCATTTTTATATAGTTATTTACATATCATTTAAAGCTTTCATAAAGCTATTATTCTGCTACATAAATGTGCATTACCAGTTAAAGATTCACAACAGACTTGAAATACCCTTGCTATTGAATTTCAGAACCATGTTCTTGGAATCTAAAAGAAAGCCATAGCAAAACTTGCTTATATTGCAAGCCAAATGAAAGAAAAGCTCTTTTACCCCATTTTTACTTCTTCCAACATCTTATTCATCTTGATTGATATTCCATTTCTTTTTTTTTTTTTTTTTTTTTTTTTTTTTTGAGACGGAGTCTCGCTCTGTCGCCCAGGCCGGACTGCGGACTGCAGTGGCGCAATCTCGGCTCACTGCAAGCTCTGCTTCCCGGGTTCACGCCATTCTCCTGCCTCAGCCTCCCGAGTAGCTGGGACTACAGGCGTCTGCCACCGCGCCCGGCTAATTTTTTGTATTTTTAGTAGAGACGGGGTTTCACCTTGTTAGCCAGGATGGTCTCGATCTCCTGACCTCAAGTGATCCATGCGCCTCGGCCTCCCAAAGTGCTGGGATTACAGGCGTGAGCCACTGCGCCCGGCTCCATTTCTGATCATAGATATGAAAACAGAAAATGATATTCATACTGTAATGATCTCCAAGGCCTAGCTGAGTACCTGCTCTTCCACCAAACCTTTCTCTAGGCTTCCCAAACCACAGTGATCTTTTTATTCTCTGAGCTCCCAAGAAATTTTGTGGACTGAACTAATCATCTTGGCACTTGGATTGTGTTTAATTGTGTGTCTGCTTGTGTGGATATTAAGTTCATTGAAAAATTATGAGTTATCTAGTAATTATTGTATATTCTCTGTAGTGCTTAACAGTGAAAGAGAGTTGATGTTCAATACATTTACTCAGTAAATACTTAAACAAGTATATTTATTCAAATGTTATATATATATGATCCTTGACTGAATGAATAGGAAAATTTATATGTACACATATATATATTATATATATAATTATATATATATAATTATATATGTATATAATTTATTACATTCATCAAATGGAAATTTATGGTTTATATCAAGACCATAATTACAGTGAAATGATTCTAAATCTTGAAGCTCTTCTTATTTAATTACTTAAAAAATTAAGAGTTTTTAAATTCAGACATCCATTGTGTTCTGTAGCGTATCGCCATCATTGTGGCTCTTGGCTATGACTTTTGAGCAATGCTTCCAGCAAGATAATGCCTGAAGTATCAAACATAATCAAATATTGACTAGTTGTACAACCCTGCTAAACACTTATAGAAAAAGCTGGAGGTGCAATTCTATTAGCAAGTGGTTAGTGTTAATGATTTTTTTTTTTTTTGAGACAGACTCTTGCTCTGTCGCCCAGGTTGGAGCACAGTGGTGCGATCTCAGCTCACTGCTACCTCCACCTCCCGGGTTCAAGCGATCCTCCTGCCTCAGCCTCCTGAGTAGCTGGGATTACAGGTGCATGCCACCATGCCCAGCTAATTTTGTTTTTTTGTATTTTTAGTAGAGATGGGGTTTTGCCATGTTAGCCAGAATGGTCTTGACCTCCTGACCTCATGATCTGCCCGCCTTTGCCTCCCAAAGTGCTGGGATTACAGGCATGAGCCACCATGCCTGGCCACTAATGAATTTTTCATCAGATATATAAATGCATAAATCTGGCACTCAGCCAATCATTTCTTTCATTCCAGTAAGGAATAAATGTATTTAAACCAATTGAGGGAATCTGTATATGATCATTGGTTTCACGATCTTTCTTATAACCTTATTTTTAGCCATTTAATAATAGTGCTTGTATTTAATGAATTTTTTTATTTAAAGAATATTGTCTTTCTGAATCAATTACATGCTTCTTGTGAAGAAGAATGAAGTTGTCTTGGTCACCACCTGCAACAATGTTCATTAACTGTTCATTGACCTGATTACTTATTAAGTTGAATGAAATAATTGAATACAGTTAAATGTGCATGCAATATTGATTATATATTATTTGTTATAAAATACAGTTTCATCAAATCAGGCTGGTTTTTCTTGTATTGTGGACTTCTTTAGCAGTCTGGTGAAATCTGTGGCCTCCTTCTCAGAATGATGTTTTTAGATGTATAAAATAAAATGCATAGAGTTAGGAGGTATCAACTTCATGAATGCCTTGAATTCTGTCCATGGTACTCCTAGTCCATGATCTCCAAGTTATGAACCCTTGGGCCAGGGGCATGAAAGCCTTATAGAATGAGTAAATCATAATTGATAAACAACTCTTGTTACTATATGCACACATTCCATGAAAAAATTCCATGTGTTTTACTTGTGATAAAAATCTTATAGTGGAATTAGCTTTTCTAAAAGTGTCAGCAATATTGTTGGTAACTTTGTGTTGTGAAATATACATTTTTTGACATAAGTAAATGAGAATATGAAGTATGAATGATTTGCATAGATTCTTGTGAGAAAAGGAAAATTTACCACATTTCTCTTTGAAGACACATTCAATTTTTCTATGTGTCACATACAAAATAAACAGAAAACATAAAGATGTATTAATAAACACTGATACGTGATTGATATTTTTATTGTATTGGGTTTGTATTTGTCTATGTGTTTAAATATTCCCTGCTAACTCAGTTGAATATATTGTCATGACCCAAACTAAAAACTGATAATAACCAGTTTTCCATGATTTTTAATTTGTTAGTCATTATTTATAGTAATCATCTATTAAGAGTATGTGGCATGATATACATATGGTGTGCGTATACATACATGCAGACACAAACACACACACACGTACACACTGGAGGCAGTGTTGCATAACAGAATGAAGTTGGGTTTGAAATCAGATGGATATGGTTTTGAATCCTGTCTCTTCCTCTTAGAACTTTTGTGACCTTAGGTGTCTCCTTTTCTCCCTTTCTTCCTCTTTTGCTTCATTCAGAAATATTCATACTGTGCTTAGCAAGGTATATGGGGGTAAATAAACTGATGTGAAATCTGTGTCTCTAAGCCTCAGTCTCTTCATTTGTAAAACAGGGAGCATCATATCGACCTTATTGGATGCAGTATGAAATGGCTTTTCTAGAACATTTTGTTGTCTTTTGATTATGTTTACCCAGGAGAAGAGTTCAAGACATACTCACTCTACCCGATACTTGCATCTTTCTTACAGTGGTGAAGCTCACTTAGAACTCATGAGAATATGCAACTAGCAATGATTTAAAGTAATGAAGACTGAGATAAATAACACATATCAGAAATATAAGTCTAGATCAGTGTTTCCCTAATTTAAGAATAAATCACCTCAAGGACCACAAATTTCTGAGCCATATCCCTGGAATTTCTGATTCAGAAGTTCTAAGTGGGACCCAAGAATTTGCATTTCTAACAAGTTCTAGGTGATGCTGATATGCTTTTCCACACTGAAGATCACTGGTCAAGACTTCACCACACTACAAATGTAATGTAGCAGAAGATCTACTAGAGCTCAGAGCATCTTGCAGTTTGCTAGTGGGCCACAGAACGTCACTTGAGAGCTCCAATTTTAAATAAAAAAAGGAAGACAGGAAGAAAATACAGTACACAGAATAATGGCCCTCAAAAATGTCCATTTCCGAATCCCTGAAACCTATAAATATATTAGCTTACATGGCAGTAGGGACTTTGCAGATGTGATAAAATTAAGGACCTGGAGATGGGGAGATCAACATGGATTATCTGTGTTGGCCTAATGCAATCATACAAGTTCTTATAAGGAAAAGAGAGAGGCAGGAGAGTCACAGACAGGGAAGGAGGTGTGATGACAGAAGCAGATAAGGAGAAGGAGATGTGACAATGGATGCAGAGGTTGGAGTGATGCAAGGTAGGGGCAACGATCCAAGAGACGGAGGGGCCGTCCAGACACTGGAAAAGGCAAAGAAAATGGATGTTTCCTAGAGTCTCCAAAAGGAATGCAGCCCTGCCAACCCTTTATTTTAGCTCAATCAGACAAGTTTCTAACTTCTGATCCCCAAAACTGTAAGATCATAAAATTGTGTTGTTTTTAAGCCGTGAAATTTGTGGTAATTCTTTATAGCAGTAATAGGAAACTAATATATCAAGTAAGGATAGGTAAGAGACAAATTAGCACCTTACTCAATTTACCCAAGCAAGAGATTATCAATGCTTCAGAATCCAATTATTTATCCTTTCCCTTAAGGAGGTTGGTTAAAACAGTTAAAAATGAATTTTCTAAGCTATTTAATGGGTCTGTAGATATGGTATCAGTCATTACTCTATTCAACAGCAACCCTCAATATCCTCATCACCCTTAATTCGTCCACTGCTACACCAAGTCTGCTGACCCTAGACTGTTGGTTCGAATGTAGCCACATGAGTCTGAATGTAAAATCTGGTCTGGTCTGATTCACCTATAAGAACTTCAGGTGTGTTGGTCTTACTACTCTGAAACTGTGAAGATAAATAAAACCCAAATGTGCTGTGTGCACCCAGCCAAAGAAATTGCGTACACTTCTTTCTTAAGTTTAGAGACTTCTCTACCCCTTCTCAAACATAGATTGTACAAATTGTCATGAAAGCTAAGGAAATATAAACACTCATACACACATATTTCTTAAAGAATGTCTCTCTAATCATCATTTGGCTCATCTTAATGCATCTGCATATCTGGACCAGTGCAATGCATATTTTCATAACTTTTGTATGGTACCTACATTCTTTATATTTACAAATGTTGGCAGGTATCTCCTTATTTTAGTAAATCCCAAATGAATTAGGACATTGCCTCAATACTAAGGCATATTCCTCTCTCATATTTTGATGTTTCTGATATAATTATATACAATCAATGTGGTAGTCTATTTTTTCTTCTCAACAGCCATTATTAATCTGATGGTAATTTTTACAATTCTTGGTGTGCTAGATAAGCACAAGTATAGGAGTATTATTGTTGTTGTTTGGCTTGGCAAAAATATTTATATTGAATTTTAAACATACATTTTGAATTTCCTGTAAACATTTAGAATGCTAGGGATAATTAAGAAGGGTTAAAGTTACAGTTTACAAAATCCTTTCATAGTAAAGCCACAGTTTACAAAATTTTTTCAAAATACTTTCAAAGTTTCATAGTTGAGCTTCATGACAAATCCATGTTGTGGAAATTATTGTCCTCATATAAAACTAAACTAATAAAATATATATGTGGATTTGATTATCAAAGAATACAGCTATTACCCATAGTGAAGACACACTTTCTAAATAGGCAAAAGCTTTCCCTGAGTCATGAAAGAGTTGGAGACGATCTGGAGGTCTTTATTTCAGGAGTCATTACTAATCTAGGATGACAAGTGTGCCTGCAGTCAAAAGCAGAAGTTG
Organism: Homo sapiens; assembly: GCF_000001405.40. Lineage (NCBI taxonomy): Eukaryota > Metazoa > Chordata > Mammalia > Primates > Hominidae > Homo > Homo sapiens. Next base: position 14,255,088 of record NC_000023.11, read on the forward strand.
GAATCTGAGTGAGTTGCTTATGGAAACAAGATTTTTCTTTAGGGAGTGAGAATGCTGCTTGTAAAGCAGAAGTGATTATATATATATACACACACACACACACACACACACACACATATGTAATTTCAAAAAATCCTGTATATTGATTCTGTAGGATTTTCTCTGTCAGGACTCATAAGAACAAATGACCTCATTGATTTTTGCAAGTATGCAATCCTCACATGGTGTATAGCTGCACCAATGATTGAGAATAAATTAGAGTTATCTAAGTTCCTCAGGCTAAGCTTTGGTAGGAATAGAGTGGGGTTCATTGGTTTCAATGTTAAGATACTGAGGACATGACTTTTGAAGCCTCTAGCATTCAAGGGGATGTGATATGGTATAATGTTTTCTCCCACTCATTTGACATCAGCTGTCATTGTATTTATTCTAAGAATTAGGGTAAATCAATGTCATATATTTGTTTTATTACTACCTTTCAATGCATGAACAAGTAAGAGTAATATATGCAAATTAATTTAATACTCCCTATTTTGTGTCCCTTTCTAATGCAGCAGAGAGAAGAGTTTTCATTTGGTATTGTAAGGAAGAGAAAGAAAATTCACTAAAATTAATAGGTAAGTTGGTGATACCATTAAATTAGAGATAATGTTGATTTCACCATTAATTTACAATTTATTTGCAAACGTATTTCTAATGGAATAGCAATTTAGGTCAATAAATAATTTACATTCAATGAATGTTTGTTGAAAGAATGGTTATGACAAAAACATATAATTGGACTGTTCCTCATTGAAGATTTATTCATTTACATATGTTTATAATTGACATACAGTTGGCCTGAGGGGCTCATAAAGGCAAGATTTGTATATGTGATTTTGGAATTTTGGAAAATTATATTTTGCTTCACATATTTTCCCTTCAATGACTTTAGAATGATTTTCTCCTACTGCATGAATGACACTTCAAAAATGTTTCATTCCTTGCACCTGTGTTGAGGTACAAGCCTCCTTTCATGAGACCTACATTTTCCTTCTATTTTCAGATTTTCTGTCTTTATTGGTAAGCCTATTACAGATCTGTTCTGACACAAAGATCTTCTTGTTTTTCCACTGTAATGTCAGCATCAACCCCTAACACTTCATGTCCCTTTGTTGTCAGATTTTAATTAACTAGATGCATGCATTGTTGATGTTTACATGCAACAGATGGCTTAGCTGGAAGAGGTAGATAAATTTAGCTTCTGTTGGGCATGTATGACTAATATAGTGGAACAAAAAATGTGTAGAAAAATGACTTGGATTCTTCTGTGTTTTGAAAGCTTTGTAAATTCAGCGTTGGGAAAGTATATCTTTTTATAAAACTGAAGTTCCTTGAAGGCAGAGGTCTGGCATATGTTTGCCTTGGTAAAGAACTGGCATGAGCAAAGGGAAGTTTATGGCTTTGGATGTTGGAGCAGAACCCTTGGCTAATCATAGTCACTCAGAGAAGAGGCAGGTGGCTGATCCTCAAGGACAAAACTATTTTTCCTTGTATTTAGAATAGTGTTAAGTTCTCAATAAATAATTGCTGGTAGATAAATGAGTGAGTGAATGAATGCGTGTATGGATAAATGCATGAATGGCTGCTAGGGATAATTAAGAAGGGTTAAAGTTACAGTTTACAAAATCCTTTCATAATAAAGCCACAGTTTACAAAATTTTTTCAAAATACTTTCAAAGTTTCATAGTTGAGCTTCATGACAAATCCATGTTGTGGAAATTATTGTCCTCATTTTACAGCTAAGAAAGCCAAGGTTAAGAAAGATACAGTGACTTGTCCAAAGTCGCTAGCTGGTAAATGGTGAAGGCATAATTTAACCAGAATTTCAGGCTCCAAATTCTCTACTCCTTTGGTTATATACTGCCATGTCCTATTTTCCCTGTTCAAAGGGAACTTGGGTGTCTAGGAAGATAATGGAAGGATTTCTGGTGAGCTGGATATTTATAGAGCTACAGATTTCTTTGAGGCCCTAACGTAGATCTCCCTTTATTCATGGCTTACTAGAGAGACCCAATGATCCCTGCCCTTGGGGAACTACACCTGACCTCTTTCATAGCAACAGATTTCAACATTGAAGCCAGCAGCCATTTAAAATAATCACACTTGAATAGAGTCAGATAATGTGATATATTACTTTTCTACTTTTCCAAAAAGAAGCAAAACTGTTTTTTGAAACCCTAGAAATAAATTTAATAGAAACCCTTAAATGCATGCCCATACACATTTTCAGAAGAATTCCTAAACTTTTGGGCCTGAGATTTTTCCTGAGTAGCTAATGCTAATAAATATAATGATTTCCCACACTCAGACTTGCTAATTTTTAAAATCTGTTTTTGAAGATTTCTTAACACACAGACTTTTGAAAACAAATAAATACAGGCCAATTCTGTGGCTCTCAAAACATAGTCCCCAGACCAGTAGTGTATCACCAGGGAGCTTGCTAGAAATACAAATTATTAGGTCCCACCCAAGACCTACTGAATCGGACACTCTGGGGGTGGAGTCCAGCAATTTGTGTTTTAACAAACCATCCAGGAAATTCTGATTCTGATGCGTGCTGAGGTTTGAGAACCACTAAGGTATATTAAGAGTGCAAAGACCTATGCAAACACCTGCCTTCAAGTCCACTTTCTAGTCTGGAAAGCTGAGACTGATCTTAAGTTTCTGCATTATCTTTCCTGTGTATGTGTTTCCCATACCCAGAAGAGTAGCCAGCATGGAGTTGATACTGTGTGAATATCGGTTGAATGAATGAATAGTTGCATAGAGTGTTATTTATTTCAGACTTACGGTGGACCTATTAAAATGTGTTTAATTATTGTTTACCAGCTTCAAAATTTTAAATGTGTTTTGAATATAACACGAGCATAATTTAGTTAAGGAATTGATAGATATTAAAACTGGAAGTGAATTTTAAAAGATTTTGGAATGAACAAAGCGAGAAGAAAGTTGTCATCATAACATCCTGCAATCTACAGTTTGGCAAAAATGAGTATTCAATCCTTCTCAGTTTTCCACTCTCCTAAGTTTGTTTCTTGATTTAAAAACTTTAAGTTTTGCTTTTAAATGTTGACTTTCATGAATAACGCAACCTGTAAGTTATATACGTGATAAAATGGATTATGAATGATCTAAGCATTCCAGAGCAGGTTATCAGGTCACATTTTGAAGTTTCCATCTACAGTTTTGTCCAGTAGAGCTTGCTGAGAGATAGATGACGGAAATGTTCTGTTATCTGTGCTGTCCCATATAGTAGCCACTTACCACACGCGACCATTGAGTACTTGAAATGTGGCTAGTGCAAGTGAGGAAATAAGTTTTTTATTTTAATTAACTTAAATTTCAAATTAAATAGCCACATGTGACAAGTGGCTACCATATTGGACAGTGCTGTTCCAGAGGAATTTACAAATCTATTTGGGATGGTTTTGTATATAGTTCTTTCTGGAGGCAAGGTATAAAGTATTTTGGAACCCTATAACTTGAAGAAATGTATGACATTATCTGTCAACTCTCTGCTTTCTCCACGCCTTGACAAATAAGGACACTAGAACCTGGAAAAGTGAAATTG